>NC_000015.10:30246570-30549601 GCF_000001405.40 Homo sapiens | reverse complement strand
ACAGAAGGAAAACTTAACACTGAACACAGATTCTCACCATCTGCTCTTTGTCCTGAGGCTCCAATAGAAATACAGTGAAGAATAAACATTGTATAAGCACACCATTACAAAAAAGGAATGGGGTTACCAACAGAAGAGAATTCATCTTCATTAGACAATGACAGTACATGGAAAATGGTTAATTCATGGAGCAAAGCAACAAAGGTGGAGGTCAGGGGGATACTGAGAACAAGGAGGCTAATCTGTCCCACAGCAACCTGGAAAGGTTCTAGACTCAGACACGAGGTACCCCCGACAGTGGGACTGATAGGCAAGACTGAAAACAGAGATTAAGCAAAAGCCCGGATAGAGAACACATTTCACAGGCCCTGAAACACACTGCTGGCCCCATCTCCTTAAACAGAACCCAAGCAAACGTATCCACCTCAGGCAAGAGAATGTAGATTTTACATCCAGAGGAATGGAGTAGTCATCCAGCCATCATTTATGATTGCAACAGGAGATAAGATAGAGGGATGGAGGATAACAATTAGGAATCAGCATACATTCCCCTTAAAGCTATCAGTTGACAAGTCTTGGCCACAAAGAACTCCCAATCAATTTTTATTTATTTTTATTTTTATTTATTTATTTATTTATTTTGAGACAGGGTCTTGCTCTTTCGCCCAGGTTGGAATGCAGGAATGCAGTGGCATGATCAGAGCTCACTGCAGCCTCAACCTCCTGGGCTCAAGCAATCCTCCTGCCTCAGCCTCCCAAGTAGCTGGGACTGCAGATGGGTGTCACCACACCTAGCTATTTTTTTTTTTTTGTAAAGATGGGGTCTCACTATGTTGCCCAAACTAGTCTTGAGCTCCTGGGCTCAAGTGATCCTCCCACTTCGGTCTCCCAAAGCACTGAGATTATAGGTGTGAGCCACCACACCTCGGCTCCCAGTCTTTTAGTACCTCTCTCAAATATGAATGAACAAATAAAGGAATGGAAAAAAGACTACAGGTCAGGCACGGTGGCTCATGTCTGTAATCCCGCACTTTGGGAGGCCGAGGTGGGTGGATCACCTGAGGTTGGGAGTTCCAGACCAGACTGACCAACATGGAGAAATCCCATCTCTACTAAAAATACACAAATTAGCTGGGCGTGGTAGCACATGCCTGTAATCCCAGCTACTTGGGAGGCTGAGGCAGGAGAACTGCTTGAACCTTGGAGGCAGAGGTTGTGGTGAGCCAAGATCACATCATTGTACTCCAGCCTAGGCAACAAGAGCGAAACTGGGTCTCAAAAAAAAAAAAAAAAAAAGACTACAAATGATAAGCAACATAGAATAGATATTTAAGGAAAGGCTTTAAAAAGAAAAATAAGACCAAAATAAACTAAGAAAAAAATTATTAAAGAACAAGGAGATGCCAGGGAGAAGACAAAGAGTATCAAAATCACTTCATAAAGACACTTGTGAATATATTACATGTATAAAACAAAACAATATGAATAAGAAATAATCAGAGAAGAAAAAGTTCTTAGAACTCATGCTCCATCTTGGGAGTTGGTCTCCAATGAGCCATACCTCCTGTCATCATGTCCTCAGACAGGCCCATCCCATAGTCAATCTGGGTTGGCCCCAACACTCACTTTAACCTATAGCATGTGGTAGAAATGACACTGGACCTGTTCCAGGTCTAAGCCTTAAGAACTCCTGGCAGCTCCATTTCTGTGCTTCTGGAAGCCAAAAATAAGAATTGGCTACCTTCTTGGAGAAAGAAAAGCCACATGAAGAGATCCGAGAGGATGAGATGCTATGCAGAGAGAAAGGCCACATCAAGAATCACCAAGGCAGCAGACCTGTGGGTAAAGAAGCCGTCTCAGACATTCCACTGCAGCTGAGCATCCAGATGACCAGTCCCTGACACTGTTTAACCACACAGTGAGAGCTGCCAAATGAGACCAGCAGAAAAACTGTCCAGCTAGCCCCAGGTAATCCATACAGTCGTGACAGATAGACAGATGTGTAGTTTTAGGCCATTAGGTTTTGGGATAATTGGTTAAGCAACAATAAATAACCAAAACAAAACTTAAAGTTATGACAGTCCAAATAAAATTTCCTGAAAGTCGAAAGATAAGAAAATATTCCAGAACTGAAAATTTAAAAAACATTTAGAAATAACGTGAGATATAAGACTCAAGACAAGAGGTCTAAAATCCAATTAACAGACACTTCCAAATGAACAAATAAAATGGAAAAGAGAAAGTTAACAACAAAAATATGACAAGATTCAAGACTCCAACTTTGAAAGAGCCTATCCATAGGCCTGTTCATTTGGTGTACCCAGCATAATGAATGAAAAAAGACCCACACTAAGTACACTGTTGTGCTATTTCAGCTCACCAAGGAAAAGACAAACTCCTAAAAGCTTCCAGGGAGAAAGTCATGCATAAACAAGTGAAACTCAGGATGGCATGAGGCTTCGCCACCACGACTGGTTAGAAGACAACAGCACAGACTTTGAAATTCTAAGGTAAAATTATCCTCAACCTAGAAATACGTAATCAAGCAAACTATCAATCAAGTGTGAGGGTAGAATATGAGAGACGTGAATACTGATGGGGATGTGATATGCAGCAGGCACTGTTCTAAATGGTTTACATGTACCAACCCAATTAAGAAACTTAAAATACACACGCGCGCACACACACACACACACACACACACACAGTTTTTCCTGCTAATCATTTTACGATGAAACAGCCAAGTAGCTAACCCAGAGCCCACAAAGGCAGAGTAAAAATTCTAACACTTGGTAAAATAAAAATGCACATATACCCTGTGATCTAAAAAAAAAAATGCTTAAATATTCAAAGACAGACAGCAATTACAGCTACTGAGAACATCACTGTAAGCAAACTGAGGCAGAGAAAACAAAGGTGCTAATGAGGATTTGAACCACCTAACATGCAGAAACCCACTGGATGCTTTCCTAGGTTCCGAGCTGGCATTGTCTTTCAGAATGATCTAGAAGAGGTCACATGACACTGTTACAAAGGATCTGGAGAAAGGGACCCTTGCTTTATCACTCCGGCTCTCCAGTCATGCTTCACATTTTCACTTCTTACACTCTTTCACATGAAGTCAATTTACAGACCTCCATCATGCCCTTAGAGACCTTTTTGTAATATTCTGACAAGTTCTGGATGTCATCTCTGCACTTTTGACAAATTCTTAGCAGTTAACGTACAAGGCAGTTAACATTTTTGTTCACGGTATAGCTAGAAAAGGGTCATATACTCAATAAAACAAATATTTACCAAGCATTCATTGAGTGGAAGATAAAACGCACAAAGCATAATTATAAAATATTCTCCCCTGCCATGATACAACAAAATTTTTAAAGGCTTACAGAATATAGCATAACATGACCAAAGCAAAAATAGTAAGGACTAAAGAGGGGAGGAAGGGAAAATATCAGCATGAACTGAATATGACCCAGAAGAGTCTTGATGGTCAGACATGTAAAGATGTATTGGGCAGGGTTAAGGGGTGGAAGTCAGGGGCACAGGTCAGGGGCACATTCTACAAGGGAAAAACAGCTGATACAGAAGCCTGAAAGGTAAAGTGGGCAGAGCACCTGTACAGGACTCTTACCTGCCACAGCGAGGGCACAATGCGCCTTTCCAGAACACAGCAGCGCGCAGCCAGGCCTGGGGCAGAGGGATCACTCAAACAGCACCAGAGGCTGCATTCCTACTTTTCTTCCGTCAACAAGTCCATTTTCGTTGTTAGTTTCTCCTTCAACACAAACTTAAAAACAAATGGCTGAACACGCAGGAACAAGGAAAACCTGACTGAAGAATGAGACGTTAAAACTTAAGGGCCTTGGGTCCTGGCACGGTGGCTCACGCCTGGAATCCCAGCACTTTGGGAGGCAGAGGTGGGTCATTTGAGGTCATGAGTTCAAGACCAGCCTGGCCAACACGGTGAAACCCCGTCTCTACTAAAAACACAAAAGCTAGCCAGGCGTGGTGGCCGGCGCCTGTAATTTCAGCTACTCGGGAGGCTGAGGCAGGAGAATCACTTTAACCAGTGGACTGTCAAGAGAGGTAGGCTGCAGTGAACCGAGATCGCGCCACTGCACTCCAGCCTGGGCTACACAGTGAGACTCTGTCTCAAAAAAAAAAAAAAAGAAGTCATGGTCATGGTAAAAAACCTATGGCTTTGGAAGGCTTTCTCGGTAACGTCCTAGAATTAAGGTTAAGCCTGCGTTTCATGTTAACTGAACAGGAAACCAGCCTGACCAACATCCTTCTGCCCGGTGGCTTGCTCTCAGCTCCTCTTCGTTGGGCCTTGGGCAGCCAGACTGTCTAGTTTTAATCCTTGCTCTGCCACCTGTGACCTTGGACAAGTTACCTACCTTCAGTTACCTCATCTACAAAATGCAGATATTAATAATACCCTCTTTTTAATTTATCCAGAGGATTAAAAGAGTTAATAAAAAGTAAAAAATAAAAAGACTTGGTAAGCATAGGCACAGAGGAAAAAAAAGTAAAAATAAATAATTAAATAAAAAGACCAGTGCCTAGCACATAAAATTTCATCAGGAATTAATTCTATAATATGAACTCAATTTTGCAAAACTTCAAAGTACGTACAACTTTTAACTTACTAGGGTATACATACCAGTAATAAATTCACAACGGTAGACATGTTTGCCTACTGTAAATATAACAAAGACTAAACAAGCAGATACTAAATCATTAAGCAATTATCAGTTAGTATCTTTAATTTTCTTATACTTCTATATTTTCTATAGATCATCTTTGTAACAAGAAGAAAACCAACCAAATGAAAATGAAATGAATTCTCTCAAAAAGAATTAAGTCAAGACAGGAAGAAGGCTCGCAAAGTAATATAAAATATATCTTATGGTTTATGTAAAATTCTTAATAAAATACCTTCTTTGCTCCAAGCTGCACTCTGGCTTTGCCTTTGAGTCAGGTGGCATTTCTTTGCACGATGACTGGTTTTATTGAGTAGGCACTGCTTCAGCCCTACAGGAAGAACAAAACCTCTCTGGAACACAGCAGCATTCCTGACTCCCACTTGAGGAGGCCTAACAAAACGGCATATGCCTCAACAGCAGCAGATCAGTGTTAAAAAGTCTGGAGTCAAGGGGAAAAAGTAAAATTGGACCATTTCCAAAATCTCACAAAAAGCAACAAACTGACGTTCTAAGTGCCCAACATGAGCAAATTAGAACCTTAAATAAAGGTCACTCTTAATGCCTATCCCAGCATAGATGCAGCACCAAGTACAGTGTCATTTTACTGGTTTACCTTTTTCATTCTTGAAAGTAGGAGCTATGAAAAAAAAACACTAAAATTTCTCTAAGAGAACCTTCTACTTTCTGTCTAACTTACATAATCAAAACACTCTATTGAGGGTGAAAATTGAATATTATAAGAAAATAATCACGTGTTTTGCGAGAAGTTGCAAATATAATGCTCCTCCACCCAATACCTACCTTAAAAAGAAAAAAGGAAACATACAAAATTATCTCGAGAATTATTCCTGCTTAAACAATGTCTACGTGCCATTACTAAGAAAGTATGCACACAGTAAAGATGAGAAGAGAACATGCAAGCGTGAACATACTTGTTAGGGATATAGGACTATGGGTAATTTAAACATTTTAATGGTATTACTCTCATGTAATTGCTCTGAAATTCTAGTCAGTTGTTTGAAATGGCTCTTAGAACAGAATACTTTGACATTTTTATGATGTCAAAAACTAAGAACTTAGCCCTAAATATTCCAAAGAATAGGTGCAGAAGAACCCGTTTCCTTAAACGGCATTTGAGTATTCTTCACAACTCAAACTTTCTCTCCCATCCTGTGATGGCCAAGAGTTTTTCCTCTGACGACGGCACTGACCTTACCCTATCCAAAATATGAACATCTGCATGGTTTCCTGGTTCAAATTGTTTTTATCCATTCTGTCGTGAGAATCAAATGGTTCAGACCATGCAGCACCTCTCTGGGACTTCTCAAGTCCTTTCTAGATCTGAACACTATTCTCTGAACCAAAGACAACTTCTGGGGGTGTACCAAATCTCCCATTAGAAAATTATTAAGATCAAGATGTTTTAACCTTTTAACTCTTTCTCAAACAAAATAAATTCGTTTCTCCTTTACTGTTATTTTAAATTTCAAAATACACAGATAGTATGTCTAAAATAAAATCAAGAGAATGACAGTTTTAGAACACAAACTGTGGTAATTTTGAAAACACAAAAGCTAAGACCACTAATTAGGTCTATGTGGACACCAAGTCCACCACAACCTGTTCTGTCCTCCGGGGCTCTGCCCACGCCTTTCCCTTGCCTGAGATTCCTTCTGCTTCCTACCCTTCCAAATGCTGTATTTCCCCCTGGAAGACTTGCCAAGACCACTCTAACCTGCACATCTCCCATTCCAGCTAACCAAAGGCATCCTTGGGTTGACTAAACCAAGTTATTTTGCAGACAAGGCATCTAAACACTTCCACTGTAGACTATTCACCTTAATAATTGTTATTGTGACATTATTCAATAATAAAATGAGGGAAAGAAGTCCTCTTCAATCCCTTATCCTGGAGAACCCAAGCAAGTGTCTTTCCCACTTGCTTTGCCCAAACCCTGGGACCTTTCTAAGTAAAAGTTTAATGGAAGGGAAAGAAAATCTAAAAGAAAAACTCTCCAAGAAATTAAACTCGGGCAAAGATTCATGGGATTAAAAATTTTTATTCTTTGTGTATCTGATTTCCGAAACATAGAAATCTCTCTCCCACTCCTTAAACCTGCCACTGGGCTAAGAGAGTATTGTACAGAATATGCACTCACTGACTTAACAGAATTAGAACATCCAGGCACTCACTGAGATTTTGCTTCCACAACCGCTCAAAGTCTAGTCATTAGTTCATGAGTTAACACCACACTTGACCTTCAAATTTTGGAAATGCTGACGGTAGACAGGGACTTGTTTTGGGAAAGGAAGTACACAGTAGACATTGTTACCCATGACCCAACCACCACCACCTTTCCTTTAAAGAACCCCACTCTTCCTTTAAGGTTGCAGAGTCTCAGAAAGTGGGAAGAAAGGAAGTTTTTGCATTTTCAGGTCAAAACGAAGTACATTTGTGCAACCACATAATGCCCATGCAAAGGTTTCTTGAAATCTAAACACAAGACAGAAGTAGTTCTAGCACCTCCACAAAAAGTAAGGTAAGTAAACTTTTCCTTAATATACACTTTCAGCAGCATCAACACCTAAAAGTGGTTGACTTTACTACTGTACTAAATTAAATTACATTCATTTTGTGAATAGGTGTTCCAAATTCGTACTGATCTTTGTCTCCAAGGGGTTCCTGCTGAATATTGAGACAGTTGAAGATTACTAGGGGAAAAAATTCTTAATAATCGAAGTAAGGATCATCTAAGGATAATATGCCACATATACAGACACAGTCACATTTTCAGCTTTACAAAAGTTCAGTTATCAAAGTTGTACAGCAAACACTATCCTAAGCTTAGCGTCTTCAGGCATTTGATTTATAATCACTGTAAAGAAAAATCAGTCACAAAATGCCACTGTTGTATGATTCTATTTATATGAAATGCCCAGGATAGGCAAATCTACAGAGATAGAAGTTAGATCAGAGGTTGCCAGGATCAATGGTGGGGGAGAGAGGTACAGGGAGTGACTGCTAGTGGGTACGGGGTTCTTTTTGGGGAGATGAAAATGTTCTGAAATTAGGGAGTGGTAATGGCTGCATAACTCTGAATATACTAAAAACCACTGAACTGTACACTTGAAGGGTGAGGCTTATCATACAAAAACTGTATCACAATAAAGCTCTTAGTTTAAAAAATGTTTGTCTATGTCAAGAAACAAAGAAATAGGGTCATAGCTAGAAGATATGGGATATAAAATACTGGAACAAAACTGCTTAATAATATATCTAGAATCACACAATGCTTAGTCTTTACGCTAACTAAAATCACGAGATTTGTGTTTTATCAGTATTTCACATTTTTTACTTCTTCTAAGTCAGCCAGTAATTCCTCCTTCTCACTTAATCGTTGACTACAAAGACCAAGCCATTTTGACTCTGCCACCGATGAGCTTTCACATTTCTTTCCTCCTTCCATTCCCATGACTACCAAACCAGTGCAGGTTCTCCTCACTTCACTCTAAGACAACAGCGTGGCCCTCAAATACTGTCACACTCTTCAAGGCTCTGTGAGCACAATCTGTCTCATATTCTCTTCTGCTGTCACCAGATTTATTCTAAGACCGTTTCTTCACTGTTACTCCCCTGTTTCTCAACCAGTTACACAGAAAGACGAATATCCAGGCATGGTGTCATGTGCCTGTAGTCCCAGCTACTCAGGAGGCTGAGGCGGCAGGATCGCTTGAGAATGTGAGATTCAGACTGCAGTGAGCCATGATCATGCCACCGCACTCCAGCCTGGGCAACAGAGTGAGATTGTCTCAATAAATAAATAAGTAAATAAATAAATAAATAAATGAATAAATAAATGTGGTCTATCCATGCAACGGAATACTATAAAATTATCAGCCTTAAAAAAGAAAGAAGCCCTGTCACATGCTGCAATATAGATGAACCTTGAAAACATTACACTAATTGAAATCAGCCCATCACACAAAGACAAATGCTGTACAATTTCTCTTACATTAGGTTCGAAATTAGTCAAACTCATAGAAACAGAAAATAGAGCGGTTGTTTCCATAAGCCAGGGGATAGAGAAATGGGGAGTTGTTGTATAGTGGCTATAGTTTCAGTTCTCCAAGAGAAGCAAGTTCTAGAAACTCGTTACTCAACATGTATATTTTTAACACTACTGCACTGTATACTTACAAGTGGCTAATATGGTAAATTTTATGTTGTGCCTTATCACCATAATGTTTTTAAAAGAAGGGGTTTGTGTTTCCCTTCGTTGTGATCACCCATTTTTCACTTCAGCATTTTGAACTTGAGATTTCCTGTAGCGGTTTTACTGAGCCCTGCAGTTACCGGCTCAGAATGTCTCCACCACCTTGTAACCTTGTAGGCAGACACTTTTCAGCATCTTATTGGGCTCCGTGTGCTTGATGCTTAAAGTGACATGGAGACATGCCACTTGCTGAGAAGCAAAGAAAGGCAAAAGGTGACTGCTTTCCTGGCATCGATGAAGGCAGAGAGAAGGGATCTTGGAGGCACAGATATTAAGCCATAAGCAATAACATGGGTTGCCAAAAAGAGAACTAACCCCTCTCCTGGTAACATTTCCAGGTGTTTTTCACAGGGCCAGTGGATTTCACAATGTGAGTGCTGTCCAGCACCAAAGGGAATGGCCAACAGGCATGGAGCAGCCTACAGCGTCCAGCACCCAGTAGGATGGCCAGGAGGCACGGAGCAGCCTGCCTGTCCCAGGAAAGCAGGAGTCACAGGACACAACTGGACCCAGGTAGGCATGTATGTTACTTTCCTGTGGCTGTTAGAGCAAATTACCAAAAATGTGGTGACTTAAAACAACAGAAATTTATTTTCTCACAGTTTTGGATATCAGAAGTCCAAAATCAGTATCACTGGGCTGAAATCTAGGTCTCAGCAGAGCCAGTGCTCTCAGAGGCTGAGGGGAAAATCCATCCTTTGACTTGCGCAGCTTCTGATGGCTGCTGGCATTCATTGACTTGCAGCTCCACCACTCCAGGCTCTGCCTTCTTGGTCACAGGGCCTCCTTCTCTTCTGTCTGAAGTTAAATCTCCTTTATCTCCCTCTTATAAGGATATATGTGCCAGGATTTAATGCCCACGGAGACAATCCAGGATAATCTCTCCTCAAGATCCTTAACTTAATCATACCTGAAAATATGCTTTTTCCAAATGAGGTAACATCTACAGGTTCTAGGAGTTCCAGACCAGCCTGGACGACATGGTGAAACACGGTCTTTTTTTTTTTTTTTTTTTTTTTTTTGAGCGGAGTTTCGCTCTTGTTTTCCAGGCTAGAGTGTTTTCCGGTCTCGACTCACCGCGGCCTCCACCTCCCGGTTAGGTGGTTCTCCTGCCTAAGCCTCCTGAGTGGCTGGGATTGCAGGCATGAGCCACCATGCCAGCTAATTTTGGTGGTTTTTTTTTTGTACAGACGGGGTTTCTCCGTGTTGGCCGGGCTGATCTCAAGCTCCTGACCTCGGGTGATCCGCCCGCCTCCGCCTCCCTGGGTGCTGGGATTGCAGGCGTGAGCCACCGCGCCCCCGGTCCAATTTAGTAACCAGAAAGGAATAGATCGGCCTGGCGTGGTAGCTCATGCTTGTGATCCCAGTACTGTGGACGGCCGAGCGCGGCGATCGATTGAGCCTAGGACTTCCAGACCGGCCTGGGCAACGTGGTGAAACACTGTCTTTTTTTTTTTTTTTTGAGTGGAGTTTCGCTCGTTTTGCAGGCTGGAGTGCAGTGGCGTGGTCTCGACTCACCGCGGCCTCCACCTCCCGGGTTTAGGTGGTTCTCCTGCCTCAGCCTCCTGAGTGTCTGGGATTGCAGGCATGAGCCACCATGCCAGCTAATTTTGGTTTTATTTTTTTGGTACAGACGGGGTTTCTCCGTGTTGGTCGGGCTGATCTCGAGCTCCTGACCTCAAGTGATACGCCCGCCTCCGCCTCCCTGGGTGCTGGGATTGCAGGCGTGAGCCACCGCGCCCCCGGTCCAATTTAGTAACCAGAAAGGAATAGATCGGCCTGGCGTGGTGCCTCCCCCTTGTGATCCCAGGACTTTGGAAGGCCGAGTGTGGCAGATCGCTTGAGCCTAGGAGTTCCAGACCGCCTGGGCAACATGGTGAAACCCGGTCTCTGTTTTGAGATGGAGTTTCACCCTTGTTGTCCAGGCTGGAGTGCAATGGTGTGATCTTTGCCCACCGCAACCTCGGCCTCCCGGATTTAGGTGATTCTCCTGCCTGGGCCTCCCTAGTAGCTGGGATTACAGGCATGAGCCACCATATCCGGCTAATTTTGTAGTTTTTTTCTTTTTTTTAGTAGAGACGGGATTTCTTCATGTTGGTCAGGCTGGTCTCCGACCTCGGGTGATCCGCCCACCTCTGCCTTCCAAAGTGCTGGGATTGCAGGCCTGAGCCACTGCGCCCGACGGAAACCCAGAACGGAAAACAAAACAAAAACCACAAAGATTAGCCGGGTGTGGTGGGCCGCGCAGGTAGTCCCAGCTACTCTGAAGGCTGATGGAGGAGGATTGCTTCACCCCGGCTTCTAGGTGGCAGTGAGCTATGATGGCGCTGCTGCACTCCAGACTGGGCGACAGAGCGGGACTCTGTGGCAGGAAAAGGGAAAGGAAAAAAAAAAGAATGTAAATAAAATTGCTAACTCAAGGAACAGCTTGACAGTATATTATTGCGACAAATAGAGGCAAAGGTTAGCAGACACCAGTGTTCACTTAGTGGGACCTGCGGGTGTTCCCCCCATAGGAGGCTGCTACTTTCCCACAAGAAATCCATTACTGACTACCGATAAAAGAACACATCGTTGGTTTCTTACAATATACAAATAGCTAAACTTTATATAGCCACGACCCTCTTCTAGCACTGCTCTAAGCCTTTTCCTGCTCTGAAATAGCTACTATTGTTACCTCCATTGTAGAGAAAACAGGTGCCGGAGGCTGTTGTGGAAGGCCCAGGGAAACTGACTATGAAATTGACTTGTTGTAAGTTTCAGACTTAAAAGTTCTTCCTGCTCTGCGCCTTACATTGCTACATTTTAGTTAAGGTACCTCTTACAATACTGGTCCTTTCTGTATTTGGAGGGACTTCTCTTGCAAATTGAAGTTTTTTCTTGCGCTAAGCATTTGGTCATGAGATTATCTGCGTTTTACATCAGTTTAAATACCTCTTTAGACATTGTTCAGTTAGGAATGTAAATAGGAGCTAACATTGTGTGTAAAAGGAAAGAACATCTGATTACAACCACTTTTGTTTCATAATACAAATATAAATCAATATGTTATTGGAAATGCAGGCTGGGAGGGGAGGGAAAATATGCATAGAGAAAAGCCCCATCTCTGCTTGGAGTTCAGCACTGGGTCTCTTTTTCCTTTCCACCTTCCTTGTCAAGGCTGCCACAGTGACAAGCACACAGGGGTGCCTTTAGTGACACCTGCTGCGACAGACCTGGCAGAACGGATTGCAGATTTGCATGTTTCCTGGCTGCCTCTGCTAGCCTGAGTCAGCAGCCCACTCCAATTCATGCTGAGCTTAGACAGCTCAGGTTTGCAAAATTATCCCTTCCCTTGGAGCAACCGCTTTCCAGTCTCTTCATCATTCCTAAAGGAGAATGACATACATGCCAGCATGACAGAGGTCCAGAAATTTATAGAAGCTTCATTGTGAGCCTATATCCTTAACAGGGGTTCAAACTACCAACACCGAATGAAGAGAGAGGTTTTGCAGTAAAGCAGGAAGTCATTAAAATAATGAATCACCCAGCTAGGTTTTGAGCTCCTTTCCCACCAATTTAATGGAAAGTTTTATTGTCTTTACAATGTACACTTTCATAAATTTTGCATAAATTTATTATTCACATCTTAACATAGGTAACTCCTTAGTGTTTGATCACTGAGCAAATTATATGCAGCAAAACAATCCTATATTTTGGTGAACTCATAGCTTAGAAAATACTAAAGACTCATTGTAAACTGAGGGCAGCATTAAGCAAATTATATTTACCTTTGTGACTGCAAAACTTAATGATTCAATGCTTTTCCCATGAAATTTATCTTCCAATACTGATAGTTTTTTAAACAAAAAATATGAATTAAATATCAATTAAAATTTTATCATTGTTTTCAGAAACTGTGACTTCACTAGTTATGAACAGACTTGAAATGTATAGTTTTTAAGTTTGGAAATTCTTTGTAGTCTCATTTACTTTTCCAGGAAGGAAGTGAGATATTTTTTGCCACTGTTGCCTGGTTTTTGTTTGTTTTTTGATCATAAACAAAACTTAATGGAGCCTCAAATCTACTAACTCGGTCCTCCTCTGGCAATATGCCTTTTTCTGATTTCTAGATATCACTTGATATTTTTTAACACACTAATTTTATTATTTAAAAATTTATAAAAGTACTCAGAAGTAAGAGGCAAATTAAATTTGAAACCTTAGTGGTAATACCATCATCCAAAGTCATCATCAATAATATTTTGGCATATTTTATTTTAAAATACATTTCAGCACAGTTTAGTTATATTTGTTATATCTGTATCAATAAACTGTTTTCATATGTCATTACTTTTATGGATATAATTTTTGACGTGCGACTAATACGAAATCTTATATACTTGCTATAGTTGACCTTGTGAGACATTTAGATTTTCAACTGTTTAGTACTTTAATAACCAGTTTTTATTCTAATATCATTATTAGAATAATAATATTACTATAGTATTATTATTATTGTAGCAATAACTTGTTTTTAGAATAAATATCCTATTTCTCATTTAACTTGATCGGATCCGTGCATGGACAATTATGTTGGGAACATAGAATGTAACTGGCCCTGTTTCAACCCCTTAGATGTGGCCCTCAGTTCAGGGAAGGGAGGAGTTCTCTACTGGGCTGATAAAGCAGAATTCAGAAACATTGTTTTCTTCTCTACCTGGTGTCTTACAAAACCAGAAGATGTGAGTGTGACTCGTAAAGGCAAGAGCATGTATATTATGCAAAAGCAGCCTGAAATATTTTATTCACAGACAGACAGACAATGCTTGACTCCCTGCTAATCTGAAATACTTCGTGGGGAGGGCCAGGGAAATCAAAACAAAATTTCAGAAGTAGAATGAGCTATTTGGTGTATGTCTCCAAGGCCAATAAATAACAAGAAGGAAAAATAAATTTCTTTGCTAACAACAAGAAGGAGAAATAAACTTTTTTGCTCTAAAATATTTTCCAATTATCTCCACGACACTGGAGGGAAGGACTAACAAAAAAAAAAAAAAAAGAAAGAAAGAAAGAAAAAAAAAAAGAAAAGAAAAAAAAGGTGGGGCATGGTGGCTCATGCCTGTAATCCCAGCACTTTGGGAGGCCAAGGCGGGTGGATCACAAGGTCAGGAGATCGAGACCATCCTGGCCAACATGGTGAAACCTGGCTCTACTAAAAATACACAAAATTAGCCGCAGGCACCTGTACTCCCAGCTACTTGGGAGGCTGAGGCAGGAGAATGGCATGAACCCGGGAGGCAGAGCTTGCAGTGAGCCGAGATGGCGCCACTGCACTCCATCCTGGGGGACAGAGCGAGACTCCATCTCAAAAAAAAAAAAAAAAAAAAAAATTAACCATCACAGAGGAGCAGAGAAAAACCTTCTCAAAGACAGAAGTCATTGATTTATTTCCATCCCGGCACAAACCCCTTAATTCTGTAACTTGTCCAGAATGGTTTCCTGTCACTGTAGATTCTGCATCAGAACATCCTCTTATGCAAAGCTAAAAAACTCCAAACCACCTCTGTTAACTGTGCGGTGCTCCATGGTTTCACACAGTCCAGAGCTGCTTGTGTTTATCAAAAATGAAGCTGAAAACAAAATTCTTCCTTCACACAACCACTACATTCCATTGCACATTTACCAAAGACATTTACCACATTGGCATTATTTGTGCATCCATCAAGAAGTGCTGAAAAGCATTCCCCTCACACACTGCATGTGTCCTGTGAGTGGATCTTCCATTTTACTTGCCAGTTCTGGAAAACTTTGAATTTGTGTGTCGATGGAAAATTAAAGTTTAGTGGCATCTTTGCCCCACATTCACCCAACTTTTCTAAGGAACTATTTCAATGCTACTTTTCACTAGTGTCACTTTTCAGTCTTAGCCTCCTGGAGTACAACTTTATTAGAAGCCCGCAAAGCACTAGTGTTAAAATGAGAAATAGTAAACATCTGATTCTGTTGTGTTTTAACTCCATGCTTTTCTCTAATGTTTCATTGTTTTGAATTTAATTCTTTGTGCTTCCCACGTGAATGCAACTTACAGTTTGAATGTCTTCTTTCTTCACTAGCCGATGCATCTGTGCCAGTAACACATGGTGATTCTGTCCTTTCACCTTCAGTTATGCCTGTAAAACCAAATTCAAGACAGATGATCCTCAACTCACAAAGGAGTTATAGCTCATCATCAGTTGAAAATATAAGCCGAAAATGCATTTAAGGCCGGGTGCAGTGGCTCAGCCTGTAATCCCAACTCTTTGGGAGGCTGAGGCGGGTGGATCACCTGAGGTCGGGAGTTAGAGACCAGCCTGGCCAACATGGGGAAACCCTGTCTCTACTAAAAATACAAAAATTAGCCAGGCATGTTGGTGCGCACCTGTAATCCCAGCTACTGGGAAGGCTGAGGCAAGAAAATCGCTTGAACCCAAGAGGCAGAGGTCGCAGTGAGCCGAGATCATGCCATTGCACTCCAGCCTGGGTGACAAGAACAAAACACACTGTCTCAAAACATTAAATTAAATTAAATTAAATTAAAATGCATTTAATACACCTAAGCTAACATCATAGCTTAGCCTAGCTTACCTTAAACATTCTCAGAAAATTTACATTCACCTTCCATTGGGCAAAAATTCTCTCTCACAAACCCACTTTAAAGTGTTGAATATCTCATGTAATTTATTGAATACTGAAGTATGGTTTCTGCTGAATGCATATCACTTTCACACCATCATAAAGTCAAAAAATTATAAGTCAAACCATTGTATGTCAGGGATCATCTGTCCATTAGAAATAGTACTTCTGAGTAAAACGAGGACAAACTCCTTTGGTCTTCATGTCCTCAGAATCACTTTCATAATCATCTCTTGGTTTACAAGGTGCATCTTTTATTGGTTAAAAAAATTAATACAATTTATTTCACTCTCAAATTAGGTTTAATAATAAATAACACAACTTTCTTTTGTTTTCACTAATAATGCTAACATTGGCTTGATTTAAAATTAAAATTATTGCAAAAATAAGACTTTATAGAATAGATGTTCCCATTTTTCAGATGTGTGAGATTATACTATAGTTGACAAACTAACCTTAAAGAACACAGCTTGCAATGTGGTCCTTGTGTATGTGACTCGTTTGCAGCTCACAGCCTCTGCATCTTTCCATCGAGTCTGACAAAACCTGAGTTGGTCTGTAACTGCTCATTGAGACAAGTCCCCTGATGTCACATACAGATGCTGGGAGAATGTCAAGTTTCTATAGAAATTTCTAAACATTTACCCTGAATTTCTATGTTTCTGTCATTACATAGAGATGACAGAGTGTTGACAGACTTTGAGTGGTCTTTAGTAACCAATTGTTGAAAGTCTGGTTTAGCTAAACTAGTTTGTAAGTACCTTGGCAGGTGCCTTTGCTGTAGGAATTCTCAGAGTCTCTATAAACTAATGAGCATTGGAAATCTGCAGGGGGGAAACAGAGTATGCAGTATCCCCCATGATGATTCAACCCCAGATTTTATTTTTCACTGAGCATCTCACACTTAGTAGTGTATCTTTTCTATGCATTGGGCACTGGGAGACGACGTGTAGTCATCTCAACAGAGACCTGGCCTTCAGACGCCACCACTCACTGCCGCTCTGTCCAGGCGAGCATCAACTTGCACTGTTTCAGAAGCAAAAGGAAAATGAACCGCAGCCACTGAAGTCCCTCAGAACTGAGGAAAAGTTATTGACTTTCCTGATTTGTGTTCAGTCTGGCTGGCCATGGGTACAGACACAGCTGGTTTCCCCATTTGTGAGCTGGACGGATTTAATTCCTGGCTGTTTGAATGATGTATCCCCTCATCAGTGAAACCAACAGAGTAGCTCAACTTAATTTTCTCTTTCTATGGCATGCCATTTATACCCATTCAATTATGCCTGTGTCAATTAAGTCAAACATTCTTACTGTCTCTATTTCTAATAAAAAGTGGTAAACACTCGAAAACCCCTTTCATAAATAGGCATGTATAAAAGCAATGTTCTTAATAAAAATGTTGGACTTAATAAAAGTATTTTAAAAAACAGTAGGAACCATAGTATAATAAAGGCCTTGGCCGGGCGTGGTGGCTCACACCTGTAATCCTAGCACGTTGGGAGGCTGAGGCGGGCAGATCACGAGATCAGGAGATGGAGACCATCCTGGCTAACACGGTGAAACCCCATCTCTACTAAAAACACAAAAAATTAGCTGGGCGTGGTGGCAGGTGCCTGTGGTCCCAGCTACTCGGGAGGCTGAGGCAGGACAATGCTGTGAACCCAGGAGGGGGAGTTTGCAGTGAACAGCGATTGTACCACTGAACTTCAGCCTGGGCGACAGAACGAGACTCCGTCTCAAAAAAAAAAAAAAAAAAAAAAAAAAATATATATATATATATATATATATATATATATATATATATATATATATAAAGGCCTCATTTTGCAGGTGAGGACACTGAAGATTATAGGAGAAAGAAGGGCTTCATGCAAAACCACGTTCCTGATTGTTGGCAGAACCAAGCCGACAACCTGGAACTCAAGTTTCTCTACTTATAGTAGACGCTCAAAGAATTATAATACTTTATAACAACGTCATAATGATTTGACGTTTCTAAGCTGGTCATGTTTTCTTTCATGTGTACTTCTCCCCTCTCAACAATTACCGTGCCCTTGGCAATTTAATAAAGCAGGATAATATTCAACTCAGTGACCTACAGCTTGACAAGCATCTCCTGCTCCCAGAAAACAGAAGGTGTTGCTGTCAAACTAATACTAAATAATAATTTTCTGTAGTCCTGGAGCCTCTGGACTTCCCAATTACACGGCCAATAAACCCCCTCATTGTCTGAGCCAGTCTGAGCTGGGCAGCCTGACTGAAGTCTGGAACATCCTAACTGGCACAAAGGCCCTTAAGATGACCCCAAGCCACCTGTCTGGCTTTCTCTCTTGTCACTTCCTTCTACATCCTCTCTGCAATAACCAAATTAGATTACTCACCATTCTCCACACTGCCTTGTGATTTTCTTTCTTTTTTTTTTTTTTTGATGAAGTTTTATTCTTGTTGCCCAGGCTGGAGTGCAGTGGTGTGATCTCAGCTCACTGCAATCTCTGCCTCCTGGGTTCAAGTGATTCTCCTGCCTCAGCCTCCCAAGTAGCTGGAATTACAGGTGCCCAGCATCATGCCCAGCTAATTTCTGTATTTTTAGGAGAGACAGGGTTTCACCATGTGGGCCAGGCTAGTCTCCAACTCCTGACTTCCGGCGATCCACCTGCCTCGGCCTCCCAAAGTGGATTTTCTTTTTTTACCCATGCACTTGCCCAAGCTGACTTTCTGGCTCAAACCTTTCCCCTGGCCTTGCATCCTCTCTATCCATCTGCCCAAACCTCCCTCACTCTCCAAAGTCTCATTTCAAATGTTGCCTTTCCCTGAAGCTTCTCCCGGAATGACCCATCTCTCCCTCCTCATTCTGATCATTTCCTCTTTGAATTCCCGTAGTGTTAGGTATGCCCTCCTCTTCCAGCACTGAATCCAGCCTTGCCTCGCATTAGAGTCATTTGTACACCTGACCTTAATCCCCCTGAGGGCAGGGATAGTTTGTGTTTATCCCAAAGTCCTGAAACAACTAGTACAGAACCTGAGACACAGGAAGGCCCCAGAATTGCCTGCCGAATAGAACAGTGATAGTGCTGAATTTGGTTCCTCCTTTAACCTGTGTGACCCCAGACGTTTGTTTTCTATGAAGCCTCAAAACATGGTTATGTTTCCTAATTTACAACGAACACATGGAAACCCATGTTTTGAAAACGGGGGTGGGGAGGATGAACTGAAGGCAGCCTCTTCAGCCAAGTTCCAAAGGCCAGGTGGCCCACTGTGAACCTTGTTTAACCACACAGAACATATGAATAGCTACAACAAGGGATCTAACAGTTACCAGAATGTTTTCAGAAAGGTGACTTCAGAAGTGCCAAGCTTCAGGAAGACCTGGACTGAGAAGGGATCAGACAACTTTAGGAAAGCAGGTACCAAACAGCCCTTTTACAGTTTACACACAGGCCTTGGTGTCAGAAAAATACTGGTTTGAGTACTGGTTATGCATCAGAGATGCCACTCTGGACAAGCTCCTTATGCTCTCTGGGACTCTGCTTTCTCATCTAAAAAATGGGGATCACCTGAGGTCAGGAGTTTGAGACCAGCCTGGCCAACATGGCAAAACCCCATGCCTGCTAAAAATACAAAAATTAGATGGGTGTGGTGGCTCGCACCTGTACTTGCAGCTACTTGGGAAGCAGAGGCAGGAGAATTGCTTGAACTTGGGAGGCAGAGGTTGCAGTGAGCTGAGATCGCACCACTGCACTCCAGCCTGGGCAACAGAGTGAGACTCTGTCTCAAAAAACGGGGCGGGGGGGGGGTGGATAATAATAGTGCCTACCTCAAGAGGTTGCTGTGAACACCAGAAGAAGCAATACACACCAAGTGCCTACAGATAGTAAGCACTTGGTAAAAATGTAACTGCCATTAACAATAAATATGATGCTCACAGGGTCAGTGGAAAAAGTAGTGGAAAGTAGGAGTGGTGGGAACAGAATAGGAGGGAACAAAGCACCTCTGAGTAGACCTTTCTGTATAGCTCCGACTCTTATTATGTTTCACCGTAATAATTCATTAAAACTAGGATAGGAAGGCTGAGGGTGTTTTTGGAATACAAACACTAATGAACCAAACTGCATTATAAATAGTGGCCACACTGAAAGGGATGAAGAAGAAAATAACTAATTTTGGAAAACAGTATTTTGACTGGATACTGTAAGGCAAGCTTGTCCAACCTGCAGCCCAGGATGGCTTTGCATGTGGCCCAAAACCAATTAGTAAACTTTCTTAAAACATTATGAAATTTTTTTGTGATTTTTTTTTTTAGCTCATCAGCTATTGTTAGTGTTAGTGTATTTTTATGTGTGGCCCAAGACAATTCTTCTTTTTCCAGTGTGACCCAGGGAAGCCAAAAGTTTGGCCACCCCTGCTGTAAGGCTTAGGACAAAAATATTTCTCCACAAACAATGGACTCCAGTTAATCAATCTGTCACAGGCATATGGAACTACTTTATGATACTAGGGTCAAACAAATAAGTGAATAAAGTGTACATAACAAGAGCCACACTTCCCACTGTTGAAAAGGCTAAAAAGAAGGAAGAGGGGGAGGCTAGGATGAAATCTGTGCTTGGATTAAAGCGGAAACATTCGTTATCAACTCATGTTTATTTTAATATGTATACAGACAGATACAGAAACAGATGTAGATGTGTGTATATGTGTGGTTAGTATGCATGTTTTATTTCCTAATCCTATCCACTGGGAGGACCTACAAAAAATTTACAAATTTTTTATATGACACTCCAATAGAAATCGGCATGCCTAGTACCACATCCTGGTTTCTAACAGCATTCTCCAATATCAGAACCAGGGCTCCTTGAAGTAATGGCTGATTCTGGGTCAGGGTAGAGAAAACACAAGATGAGCCTTGTAGTGCCAGAGTGTATTGTAGTGCCAGAAAATAGACACACTCAAAAAAGGGTAGTGGCATAACAAGAGGACACGGGGCGATCGGAAGATGCGGGGCAAAAAGTTCCAGGCAGAGGAAAAAATTTCCAAGTTTGACAGAGGGCAAAAATTTCCAGCCACATGAAAAATAATCAAACCTTTGACTTATGTTCAGAGCTCTCAGATATTGCCATCATTAAAGGAACAGAAAAAAATGTTGGGAAAGGAAGTTCTACTGAAAAGCTACCAAGTTTGAATGTCACTTCACTCATGAATCATGATGAGAAAGTCCATTATGAAGTACATCCATATTGTGTAAAGAGAAAACTTGAAACTTTCTTTCTTTCTGTTTGTTTGTTTGTTTGTTTTTGAGACAGAGCCTCACTCTGTTGCGCAGGCTGGAGTACAGTGAAACAATTTTGGCTCACTGCAACCTCCACCTCCCGAGTTCTAGAGATTCTCCTGCCTCAGCCTCCTGAGTAACTGGGATTACAGGCACCCACCACCACACCTGGGTAATTTTTGTGTGTTTTTTTTTTTTAGTACAGATGAGGTTTCATCATTTTGGCCAGGCTCGTCTCCAACTCCTAACCTCAGGTGATCTTCCTGCCTCAGCCTCCCAAAGTGCTGGGGTTATAGGCATAAGCCATCTCACCTAGCTGATTTATTTCTATTATAGGTTGAATTACATACATTTCTGATGCTATGCCACTGCACTCCACTGCACTCCATAACCTTAAAAAAATGGCAATTTCATATGTATTAGCCTAACACATTACCTAGGGTCTCCAGTGCCATGTTCAGTAGATACAGCGATAGAAGGTACCCTTGTCTATGTCCTAACTTTGACGAAAAGCACTTCTAAAATTTTACTATTAAGTATGATAATTGCTTTACATTAAGGAAGATAGGGCCGGGTGTGGTGGCGCACAGCTGTAACCTCAGCACTTTGGAAGGCTGTGGGGAGGATTGCTTGAGCTGGGGAGGTGGAGGTTGCAGTGAGCCAAGATGTTGACACTACACCCCAGCCTGGGTGACAGTGAGACCTTGTCTTAAAAAAAAAGGAAGCTAGCTTGCTAATAGTGCATTATCTGATGTTGACTCTGCCCTTGCATTATTGTAATAAAACCTAATTCACCATGATGCATTATTTGTGTGTGTGTACATTGCTGTATTCAACTTGGTATTATTTTACTTAAAGTTTTGGAATTCATGTTCCTAAAAGTTAATAATAGTTAACATCTATTTGGTTTTCTATGTTCTGGGTCTTGTTAAGTTACTTTCCTTGAATTATTTCATTTCATCCTAGAAGGCTTATTGTAAAGGTTATTTCCCCCTTTATCAATGAGGAAGTGAAGGCCCAGTGAAGGCAAGTCATTTTCCCTAAGGTCACAGGGAGGATAAGTAGTGGCAGCAGGAATACAAATCCGGATTTCCTGGCTCCAGAGGCCAAGCACTAAGCACTGCCCTGTGCCCTCTCCCTGTGACAAAGACTCGTCATTCAGACTGTTCCATCGTGAACTTTCCTTGGACATCCTTTTGTGCCAAGCTTTGTACCAAGATTATATTATTCTTGATAGATAATTAAATAGCTCTTTTTCTTTTATTAAAAAAACTTGTCAAACTTTTATAAAAACCTATTTAATCCTATCACCTTTGCTAGCCTGACGTTGACAGTTTTGCAGTGGCCTACAGGTTTTACAGCATGTGCAAGCTCCTGTCCTGGGGATACTGGGAAGGTATACATCCCATAAAGCCAGGGATCCAGCACCCTTGGTTGTTTTTTGTTTTGTTTTATTTTGTTCTGTTTTTTTGAGATGAAGTCTCGCTCTTTTCGCCTAGGCTGGAGTGTAGTGGTGTGATCTCAGCTCACCGCAACCTCTGCCTCCCAGGTTCAAGGGATTCTCCTGCCTCAGCCTCCCAAGTAGCTGGGATTACAGGTGCCCGCCACCACACCCGGCTAATTTTTTTTTGTATTTTTAGTAGAGACGGTGTTTCACCGTGTTAGCCAGGATGGTCTTGATCTCCTGACCTCGTGATCTGCCCACCTCGGCCTCCCAAAGTGCTGGGATTAAAGGCATGAGCCACTGCACCTGGCCAGCATGCTTTCAAGTACTGGGGTACACCTAAGCTCTCAGCTTCTAGCTAGGAGTCATTTGGTACCCCTTTATCCCAAAAGACCTGTCACTGTCTTTGGTTTTCAAAGCCCAGCAGGCTCCAGGCTCTTCAGCCTCCAACCACTTTGCATTTCTTTACTGCTTTTCATTCATGAAGGTGATTAACTTATTTTTCAGCCTGGGCGTGTCTTTTTTATTTACTTAATTTTTTATTTTTATTTTTTGAGATGGAGTCTCACTCTGTCATCCAGGCTGGAATGCAGTGGTGAGATCTCCGTTCACTGCAACCTCCGCCTCTTGGGTTCAAGTGATTCCCCTGCCTCAGCCTCCTGAGTAGGTGTGACTACAGGTGTGTGCCACTATGCCTGGCTAATTTTTGTATTTTTAGTAAACACCGGTTTTCACCATGTTGGCCAGGCTGGTCTTGAGCTCCTGACCTCAGGTGATCAGCCTACCTCGGCCTCCCAAAGTGCTGGGATAACAGGCGTAAGCCACCGCACCTGGCCTTTATTTACTTTATATATCTCACCTATTACTGCTGCAGTTTGCAGAAGAGAGGATGCCCTCAACCCTAACTTCTCCACACCATCCCAAAGGGGAAGTCTGCTCCACGTCATCAGTGTTCTTGTTTTTAAAGACCATATGTCAACATGCCAGATTATAGCAAAAGGATGTCGAGGAAGCAATATGAAAGCAAGCCTCAGAGTCCTGGAGAGAAGGTGACAGAGCTGCCTTTTGAAGGTGGTCACTCCCTCAGATTCTGCCCTTCCTGCCTTGTTCCTCCAGTTGTCAGATTTGCTGTTGGGGCCCTCATGGGGGAGGGGTGGGGGCTGGACTGAGAGGGAGATGGAGAAGCTGCCAGGGGCCATTTGGATCCAGAATTGCAGCAGTTCCAGCCAGGTCCGGAGGTGGTTGCTGTCCCCCAGCCCCCAAGGGAATGGTACTGATTCCAGAACGTGGCGAGAACTCCCTGGCCAGGAGAAGGAGGTGCTTGCTCCCTTGAATCACCTGAGCCCAGGCTGGAAGGCCCAAGGGGGACGATGAGGCCAGCTCACTCCAGCTCCATCCCCTCCCTTTAACCCTGAGCTAGTCACCATCCCAGATTCCAGGCCCTTTTCCTAAGAGCCATCCCAGCAAAGTCTGCAGAGAGCAGCACTCCCTCATGCCAGCTCACCCTGCACTGTCCTTTCTTTCAGCAACCCCATGGGTATGAACTTGAGATGATTCATTTTCCTAAAAGCCTCTTTGGGCTGAGGGAATGTGTGGGTGGCTCGGCGAGGTTTGGAGTGGGGGCCACCTCTTCTCAGAGCTGCTGTGAGGGCCAGGGCCTCCTTCCCTGGAGGTCGTCTGCAGCCTGGGAAGCGGCGCCGAATGGCACTGGCTTTGCAGGCAGCCTAAGTCATCCCCAGCGGCCTGGGAGGCTGGGGGTGCACCGGCTCCCACTCCCGATAGGGCCGAGGCTCCTTCCTCACCTAAGAGGTGACTGTCTTGAAGAGTGGACACAGAGGAGCCAGCATCCTGGACGGTGAAGGCAGCCAGGAGAAAATCTGCAGCTCAGTCCGAGACAGACGTCTCCTGCAACACAGCTATTGTAGAGACAGGGAAACAAGGCTGAGAGAGAAGGGGGCTTGCCCAAATCACCAGACCTGGAATGTTTTGAGCTATGGGCGTGGATCTCCCAGGAAACGTGTTTTATGGCACCACCGCCTCTGGTCACCCACCCCGAGGTGTGGCGGGCCTGGACAGCCAGCTTGACTGAGGGCCAGGCTGGTGAAGTCAAAACTACCACTCAGGAAGAAGACCTAGCCCTTCTCCAGACAGAGTTCAAATGTGAGGGCTGCCTTCTTTGGGCCTCAGTTTCCCCACCTGAATTCCAAGGACCCTTCTAACTCCCACACTCTGGGCCAAGCCCCAGTCAGCCTAGAGGACCAGGGCTACATCTTCCTTGGACAGAGACCCAGCATAGGGGCAACAGGAGGTAGGGGTGGGGGTAGGCAAGGTTCCTGTAGGGAGGTGGAGCTGCCACCAGAGATGGTGACTGCAGGCAGTGGGTGTATCGTGGCTATGCTACTACTTCCTGGGTGACCCCATGACATTTCTTTCCCCACTCTGACCTCAGTTTCCCTATCTGTTCCGTGGAGATAAGATGCCTGCCTACATATTTGGGGACTGGGATGTGTGTGGGGGCCAGTTGCAGTGTTTCTTGGTGTGGTCCTGGGGCAGCCTGCACCACCCCATAGAGTTTGCTGGGCCCCACCCTAGGCTCACAGGACCAGAATCTCTGGGAATGAAGCCTGGGAATTTGCATTTCCACAGGCATCCGGCAGATTCTGACATGATTGAAAAAGCACTAATAGTATATGGCAAGCTCTTTATAAAAGGTAAATTCATAGCTGCCTTTTACTAAACATAAATCTCACCTTCCCTTCCTCAGTTAAGGACACACACCCCAGTTGAAAATCACTGTGCCTTTCCAGATGCAGAATCTGACCTTTCCAATAGGATTCTGTTAACTGTTACTTTCTGTAGTTTGTATTCCAAAACAAGGGGAATATCTTTCCATTTTTTCAATATAAATGTTTAGGTCAAATATGCTTTTTCAAACTGGACACACACTCACACAGTTTAGGATTTCAGCTATGGCTTCCTCTCAAATTATTAGCCCGTTTCTGCCAGGGAGCAGTTTTTCCCAGACAAGACCCTGGACAGAGGCTGGTGGGGCCCCCTCCTCATCAGAATCACTAGATCATGACTGACCCCTAGAGGTGGCTTTTCTGCTTAACAGTCAGCCCATGGGCTGGGATGGGATCCCCAAAGCTGTGGCAAAATCTTCCACCCATCCTGGGCCCCCCCTGCCATCTGTGGGGAAAGGCCTGTCCCTTGTCTTCTGGGCCCAGCCGGCCTCACACTCATTCAGCAGACTGGAAAGTCGAAGCATGTGCTGTGCTTGGCTGGGCTCTGCTGTGCCCCTTTTTGGGGTGAGGCAGAGTGTATTCCAGCCCCCAGCATCCCTGCCGTTTATTCCCACCCCTCATCCCCACCCCCATACACACTCACAAGTACAAACACAAGCACAGTCACGGGCACACACCACCCTGGACAGCACCATTTCCAGCCTCAGCGGGGCAGTCTCCTTACAGGGAAGTTAATGAGGCACTAAAGAAGGCTCAGGGGACAGGGAGAACCTCTGTCAAAAAGAGGTTCCTAGACCTGGTTCTGCCTCTGACTTGCTGGGGGTCCTTGAGAAAGCTGCTTCCCCTTTTTGGCCTGTTTCCTCAGCTGAGAAATGGGGGGTCGGCCAAATGGTCTAAGGTTCTGGGAACCCCTAAGTCAGAGCCCATAGCTGGTGGTCAAGATGAGGGAGAGGCCCTCAGGGTCAGCCGAATGCCAGAGAGGCAGGACAGGCCCAAAGGTGAGTAACCTGAGCACATCAGGTGGGTTCAGAACAGGTGCATGAGCCCCACAGCCTGCACAGCAGCTCTGAACTTGGGAGCCCACTTGCACCAGCCCAGTGGGACTTCAGAGATGTGGGGTCCAGCCTCTCCTACTATTGCAGGGCTAGGGGCTGGGAGCTGCAGATTCTGACCCCACAGCTGCCTTAGACATGCCAGATGGGCTGGGGAAAGACACACCCCTCTCTATGAAATGAGCACTCAGTCCAAATAGGTAAACTAAAGAAGGGCTGTGGGATGCACCCAGCTGTAGCCTGGGGCTACAGACTGGCTTCCAGGGTACTCAAGCAGCTGGCCTCTTGGGTAGCAGCCCCGGGTATGAGAGGCAGGACTCAGAATCTAGGCCAAGCCTCCACAGGAATCCCCTCTGGAGAGCCCGGGCACTCTGCAGGAAGGGCAGGAGGCAGCAGGTGCACCAGGAGCATGTTCCACAAGGTGCCCAATATTGCATCTGCTCAGATAGGCAGCGAGTTGGAATGTGGATGCAGTAGGCAGGGTGGCAGCTGCTCCCTACGGCCAGGAGTCCAGCCCAGCACCCATCTGAGTCCACCTCAGTCCTGCTCAACTGGGTCATCCGTGCTCTGGGCCCTCTGGTCCCACCCACAGAGGGAGGGCTTTGGAGCGACCAGGTGAGCTGGCCATTGTGGGAGGATGTAAAAACTCCTGAGCCTGGCGAGCCAGGCAGCCCCTTGCCAGCATCCCCACACCCACCTCTCCAGCCCCCCGCATTCCCTGATCCTCCCATCCGCTCCCCTGACCCAGCAGTTTCCTCTGCTCACTCTTTTCCTGCTCCCAGGCTCGCCTGGTCATGTGTCCTTTACTCTCCTCTGAGTCTCCCTCTTTCCAAGCCGCCTGCACTCTACTTGACACACTCTCCCTTAAGACACCAGAGTACACAAGCGCAAGTCCCTGCACCTCACCTTTACTCCCAGACATGGGAGGGAGATGACATGAAGACCCAAACGCCACTTAGCAGGAGATCTGGGGTATGCAGAGGGGCAGATCGGAGGCTGTGGAAGCTCCAGGGGCTCCCTGCAGGAGGCCGCATGTAAGCTGGCTATTGAATGTGGCTCTGAGCTGAGACCTCTCCTTGAAGCTCCAGACCAGGAGCCAGCTGCTAGCTGGACCCCTCCATTTGGTGCCTCAGAGAAACCTTGCACTCCATAGATCTGACTCTGAACCCCGAATATCCCATCTCAGCCCTGTCTCTTCATAGGGAAAGCACCACCTCTGACCCAGTTCTGCACCAAACCCACACTTGAGTGATGGGGCTCCTGCCCTGCACTGTGAGCACTCTGGATAAGCCAGAGCTGAGGGGGAAAGAGCTCTGAATGCCAAGCCAAAACATGAGCTTCAACTCCACCTCCAGCTCTGAGAGCTGTGGGTAGGGAAGGGCCCAAGTCCAGTTTGCTGTAGAAAGACCAGTCTGCCACTGTATGGCACATGGATGGCAGGGGCAGAGTGCAGGTGGAGAGAATAGAAGGTGGGCAGGGCGGGGGAGGCAGGGACATGGCTGTAGCCGTGGAGATGGGAGGACAGACAGGACTTGGTGGCCACTTATATGAACCAAGGGAGGGGTCAGGAAGAGACACCCAGTTTTGTATCAGATGTGTAGAGCGTGGGATGCTGTTCATTGATTGAGGGAGGAGGAGGAGGAAGAGGTATGGCATGGGAGGAGATAGCTGAGCTCTGTCGTGAATGTCATTTGAAGTCCCCAGGGAGAGCCAGGCCGGCCAGCCCCTTCACTGCTTCAGCCAGCTCTCAGGGTGTCTGTGCTCCCTGGCCCTCTCAGCTCCTGCTTCATAGCTGTCAGCTGCAGTGGGGGACAGCTGCACAAGGACCAAGCAGGTCTGTGTGTTTACGCAGGGTTCTGCCGCATGGCCCTGCCGAGCAGAAGCTGATGGACGACCTTCTGAACAAAACCCGTTACCACAACCTGATCCGCCCAGCCGCCAGCTCCTCACAGCTCATCTCCATCGAGATGGAGCTCTCCCTGGCCCAGTGCATCAGTGTGGTAGGTGCAGAGGGCACCTGTGGCTCAGGCTCAGGCGAAGAGGCAGCTCATGCCCAAGCCCAAAGCAATCAATGTCCAGAGGAATGAAATGACTAGAGTTGACTTAGACTCACCAATACATGGCGGGGAGGCTGGAGGAGGGTCCATGAGGTTTATAGGTGTCCAATATTTAATGAGGTCATGGTTTTGTTAACAAAGAAGAAATGAGGGTGGGAGCAGGATCACCACTGGCTAGGCAGCCAATGGGCCTGCAGAGACTCTGCTCAGCTGAGTCTCCAGCACGACCATGAGCTTCTCCTCCTCATCCTCCCAGCCCCACCCTACTCTCTCCCCCAGCTTGCTCAACAGGTGACCTTACAGGCTCCCTACTCTTTGCGAGGAATAAGAACCAGACTGCGAGAACCGATGGGTACAGAGGCCCAGGTGTAGGGGCAGGACCACAGGCAGTGCAGCGTCTACTGAGCAAGGCGGGTGAGGGTCTGGAGAGTGGGCATGGCTGCTGCAGGCATGGAAAGGAGGCGCAGATGGCGGCACTCCCAGGGCCCATCGTCAGGGTCTCCATATGTGGACGTGTGCAGAGGTGGGGGTGCTGAGCGAGGAGGTGCATGGAGTTTCTCATCTTCTCTCTACGGCCTCTGAGTTGGAGATGTCAGAGGGAGCCATGGCCCACTGTAAAGTAACACAATGTCCCCACCCACAGGGTTAGAACCTCTCCTCTGGAAGCAGCTCTGAGGGGAACAGTCACATGTAGAGAGTGCAGGGCGCTGTGTCCAGCCGGGGGAAGGAGGTCACCAAGCAGGTTGACCCTCCCCTGGCCAGGTGGCTGCCTTCTGACACACCAGCCTCTCTCTCTAGCATGGTGGCCCCCACACACCCAGCCTGTGAAACCTACAGCCCTCAAGAAGGTTTTGGCCGAATTAATGAGTAGCTCCCTCTCCCAGGAGGAAGCACAGCTGAAGGATGCGGAGGGCAGTAGAGTTGTGTGTGCTCCGCCCCCTTTCTCCACAGTCGGACGGGAAAGAAGGGGGCTTTCAACCAGGCTCACCCAGGCTGGGGTCTGAGTGTCACTGTCCAGCTATTGGCTTCTTGCTTAACGGGTGAGCCCAGCAGCTCCCGTGCAGCTGCCGCCCTAGTTAGGGTGAACCGGCAGGCGAGTTACATTTCTGAAAGCCCGGGAAGACAGTAAATATTAGGCTGTGGGCTGCTGGGCCAGGAAGGGGTGTTTATTTTTCAGGGTTTGTTTATCTATTGACTTGATGAGGGAGGGTTATACGTACAACCAGTTAAAAGATGGAAATTTTGAGAGAGTAGGCAGGGATTTAGTGCTGGGTAAGGCAAGAAGGCTTGTCAAAGCAGCTCTTCTGGGGAGGCCAGAATCCTGTACCAATGTCCTCAGCACGTTCTTCAGCTGCTGGGGGAGTGCCAGACAGGATGAAAGCGTAGGAGAACTTTCTGGATGATAGAAATACTCTATATCTTCAAAGGAGGTGGGTTACATGGGTAATGCATTTGTTGAAACTGATCAAAATGGAAACCAGATCTGTGCATTTCACTGAATATAAACTATACCTCAAATTAAATACATTTCTTAAAAGACAGATGGGCCGGATGCAATGGCTCACGTCTGTAATCCCAGCACTTTGGGAGGCTGAGGCAGGTAGCTCACCTGAGTCAGGAGCTCGAGACCAGCCTGGAAAATGTGGTGAAATCCTGTCTCTATTTAAAAAATAAAAATTAGCCAGGCATGGTGGCACACGCCTGTAATCCCAGCTACTCGGGAAGCTGAGGCAGGAGAATTGCTTGAACCCAGGAGGCAGAGGTTACAGTGAGCAGAGATCATGCCACTGCACTAGAGCCTGGGCAACAGACCAAGACTCCATCTCAAAAAAAAAAAAAAAAAAGAGAGAGAGACAGATGAAGGTTTTCAACTTTCACTAAAGGCAGAGGAGCTTGTTACAGATTCGCCTCCCCATAGGAACAGTTAGAAAAACTGGACAAAAATGTGCCCCACCACCAAAAACAATTGTTGGAAGGTAATTGGAGACCTCAGCCAGCACTTGAGTGACCAGGCCTGGGAGGTGATCCTGACAGTCTGTAGTGCTTTTCCCACATTTGGTGATCGGTCAACAGTAGAGGGCTAAGAGGCTAAGAAACTGAATATGAAGTGGTAGTTAAGGGGCTGGAGAGCCTAGCTGAATGTTGGCACTCTCACAGGGCTGAAATGACCTAATGAGAATTTGGGTCCCAGGAAGGAGATGGGACATTGGTGGGGACCCTGGAAGGGCCACCCCTAGGAGTCCAAATGAATAAAATATAGACCAGCCGTCACAAAACCTAAAACCTGCTTTGAACTAGCTTAGTCACAAACTAGATGAAGGCGATCTGCCCTTACTCCAATTGTGTGCCATAAAGTCAAAGTCAATACTCTCTGGAGGCAGATAAAACTTTACTAGGAATGCCATAAGACAACATCAGACTAAATGAGAAAGACCAAGAAAAAAACTAATAGAAACATACATGTAAGGAAGAAACTTTTTTTTTTTTTTTGAGACAGAGTCTCACTCTGTCACCCAGGCTTGAGTGCAGTGGCACGATCTCAGCTCACTGCAACCTCTGCCTCCCAGGTTCAAGCGATTCTCCTGCCTCAGCCTCCCAAGTAGTTGGGATTACAGGCATGTGCCACCATGCCCGGCTAATTTTTGTATTGGCCAGGCTGGCCTTGAACTCCTGACCTCAGGTCATCCATTCACCTCAGCCTCCCAAATTGCTGGGATTACAGGCATGAGCCACCGTGCCTGGCCAGTATTTTGCCAAAATTTAAAATAAATAAATTTTCTTTTTTTTTTTTTCAGGTTTGTGCTCAGACTCTATTCTAAACAGTCACATGGCAGCTTACTCTTCTCCAGGCCTTGCTGCCGGCTTTTACATGTTTATTATATTTGTGTTCTTGTCATCTGCTTGGTAGATGGCAGCTTCCAGGTGCTCCTAAGGGGCCAGGAAAGAGAGTGAGAAGGCACCGAGTTTGCCAGGTCGTCCCCCTCAGGGCCCCACCCTCATCAACTCCCTCAGCTGGGTCTCCTGCAACTATTGGTGGGCCATCTCAGCCACCGCTTCGCCCTGAGCTTCCTGCTGCTGCAGCTGGGCAGTGCCTCCTTCCCAGAGGCCAGCTGCTGATAGGCGGCCACGTACTGCTGCAGGTGACCCCGGTAGTGGTCTTGCTGCTGCTGCAGACTCTGAGCCTCTTGGCTCTTCAGCTCCACCTGCAGGATAGGCGTCAGGGTAGGTAGTCGCTGGCTTCCAGATTCTGGGCCCATAAACAGGGTGGCAAGGGCACTGCGGGGCTCTGTCGCCTGCTCAGGCCCCTGGCCCTGGCCCCTTCCTCCAGGCCTAAGTGACTGCCTCCCTTGCCTAGAGGCCCATGCCTCCCTCCCCAGCCTCAAATCTCACACCCTTCTTCCCACCATTTAAACTGTAGGCCGCAGACTGGTGGAAAAGCAGAGGGAGCCAACCACCATCTGCTAAGTTGTGGTGAGGTCGTTCTGTATGATCTCCAGGGTTTGCACACACCTCTGCCTGCTCCCCCCAAGAGCTCCGCCTTCTGCCCCAGCTTCCCCAGCCTCTCCTCCAGCTCCTGCAGCCTCACCTCCTGTTCCTGCATCTTCTCCTCCTGCTGCCACAGCCTCACTTCCTGCTCCCGCATCTTCTCCTCCTGCCTCTGCATCTTCTCCTCCTGTTCCTGCATCTTCTCCTCCTGTTCCCACATCTTCTCCTCCTGCCTCCACATCTTCTCCTCCTGCTCCCATATCTTCTCTTCCTGCTTGAGCAGCTTCTCCTGCCTCCACGTCTTCTCCTCCTGCTCCTGGATCTTCTCCTCCTGCCTCTGTATCTTCTCCTCCTGCTCCTGCATCTTTTCCTCCTCCTCCTGCATTTTCTCCTCCACCTCCCGCAGCTTCTCCTCCTGATCTTGCATCATCTCCTCCAGCTCCCGTATCTTCTCCTCCTGCCTCCACATCTCCTCCTCCTGCTCCCGTATCTTCTCATCCTGCTCGCGCATCTTCTTCTCCTGCCTCCACATCTTCTCCTGCCTCTTCTCCTCCTGCTCCCGTATCTTCTCCTCCTGCCTCCACATCTCCTCCTCCTGCTCCTGTATCTTCTCATCCTGCTCCCGTATCTTCTCCTCCTGCCTCCACATCTTCTCCTCCTGCTCCCGTATCTTCTCTTCCTGCTCCCGTATCTTCTCCTCCTGCCTCCACATCTTGTCCTCCTGCTCCCGTATCTTCTCTTCCTGCTCATGCATCTTCTCCTCCTGCCTCCACATCTTCTCCTCCTGCTCCCTTATCTTCAGCTCCTGCTCACACATCTTCTCTTCCTGCTCCTGTATCTTCTCCTCCTGCCTCCACATCTTCTCCTCTTGTTGCTGGTTCAGGAGGTTCCACAACTCGTTCTCTTCCACCTGGGCTTGGAGCTTTGCTGACACACTCTGTAGCTCCTTACCCAGGCGGTCAGCCTCCACCTGCAGCTGCTGCTGGAATAGTGAAAGTGTTGGTTCAAACCTCAGAAGGAAACAGACTCATGAGCTAGCCATATAAATGTAATCTATAAAATAATGGTTTTCATCTATGATCCTTTGAAAAATATTTTTTTAAGCCCAAACTCTGAGATTCTGATTCCCCAGGCAGGGCCCCAATTTGTATATTTTTAGCACACTCCAGAGGATTCTATGGTGGGACCAGAACAAGGACCCAAATTTTCCAGCTCTTGGCTGGAGCCTCCCCACACCCTACATGATCCCTAGACCATGGCCCCAGCCGGATGGGGCTCCCACAACCCCCGGGGCTGCAGCTGCTCGCCTGTGGCAGCAGGAGCTGGGCCCTTTCCAGCTTCCTTTTAAGGTCCTTTACGTTGAGCTGGATCTCAGACTTTTCAGATTCTACAAGTCGAAGTTTTTCTTGTAGTTCGGCATTTTTCTCCTTCAACTCCTCATCGGTTATGCTGTGGCCAGAGGCAGTAGAGAAAGGAATGAACGAAGAATAGAAAGGACCGCTTTGGTGATCAACCCTCTACTTTCACCACACAACCACAGAACGGTGGCATTGGAAAGGACCCCAGGAATTAAAAGTCACAGGTGGCAGGCCAGAGAGAAGACATGAGTTGCCTGAGGCTTCCCCATGAGTCAGTGGCACCGCCGGCACTAGAGCTTCCCTGTGCACACATGAAAACCTGTAGAAGCCTCTCACCATGCTCACCTGTACCCCCCACCTCCCAGCACACCACCCACTCTAAGGGCCCCCAGACCTCCCATTCCACCTTCCCCCATCCTACGTGTTCCTGTACAGTTCCAGACTCAGAGCGTCCCTCTCCTTTGTTAATTTCTCGATGTACTGCAAATAGAGAAAGGTTAAGTCAGGATAGAGCAGGCAGAGGAGTAGCTGGACGACCAGAACAACAGCTACACTGATACTCCACAGTAACACTCCCTCACTCTCAATCACACCTGACATGTTCTCAAGGCATTTCCAAGCCCATGGTCTCATTTGTTTTTTCTTTGTTTTCTCTTTCTTTCTTTCTTCTTTCTTTCTTTCTTTCTTTCTTTCTTTCTTTCTTTCTTTCTTTCTTTCTTTCTTTCCTTCCTTCCTTCCTTCTTCCCTTTATTTCCTTTCTCCCTTGCTTCCCGTGCTTCCCTTGCTTTCTTGCTTTCTTGCTTTCTTGCTTTTTCTTTCTTGCAGAGTTCGGCTCTTGTTGCCCTGGCTGGAGTGCAATGGTGCAATCTCGGCTCACCACAACCTCCACCTCCTGGATTCAAGCAATTCTCCTGCCTCAGAGTCCTGAGTAGCTGGGATTATAGGCATGTGCCACCACACCCAGCTAATTTTGTCTTTTTAGTAGAGACGGGGTTTCTCCATGTTGATCAGTCTAGTCTTGAACTGACTGATCCTGACTTATCCTTAGCCTAAAAAGAAAAATTTAAAATTACTCATTAAAAAAATGAATGATTTCCAGCAGAAAATGGGCAATGGAGAAACCGGCACTTCCCACAAGAATAAAAATGGCCAATGAGCAAACGAAAAAGATTCAAAAGCACTAGAAATCAAAGAAATGTAATGAAAACAATGAGATTTTCTGCTTAAAGACCAGCAAAGATGACAAATGGAAGGGGGAACCTGGAGCTCTGTCCCTGTTGGTGGGAGCATAAACTGAACCAATTTTCCTACAGAATAATTTGAACATTTCTTTTAAAAATCCTAAAACAGTTTTACATTATTTTCCTCTAGAAATTCTACTTCTATGAATTCAGTGCAAAAATCCTTACTGGAGTCCATTAAAATGTATATAGAGGAAATTCACCTCTGGGGTGGCAATGATTCACTTAACATAATCCAGCTATTAAAAATGATGATGCCAGGATATACTTCTGCCCTAGAAACATGTTTAAAATATAATAAGTGACAAAAGCCCATTTACTATGATTGTACTTTTATTTTTTTTAACAGTCACAAATCAGCTTTATTTAACTTTTCCAAAATATTTCTCAGGCCATTCTCTTTCAGACATTCAAAAAGAAAAAGTTTCTAACTTTAAAATAATTAAATGACAAATGGTAAAAGCTGCTAGTTATCTCCCAGTGGCTGTTCCCATGGTGGTAGGGCCTTAGATGTGTGGCCATTTGCAATGGACCCAGCATTTCTAGCTTGCAGCCAGGCACAGCCAATAGCAGGAGAGAGCGAGGTGTGTTCCTCCCCTCTCTTGTCTTCCAATCCTTTCCCTGTTCTGCTCATCTGGAATGTGATACTGGTAGAGGCCAGTTATTCGTGGCAAGCAACACGTTTACAGGGATTTTCCTGGGAATTTCAGATACAATGTCTGTATTAGTTAAGATTAGGTTTTGCGGCAATAACAGAAAACCCTCCAAAATGATAAATTAAAGAACATGGAAGTTTATTTTTGTCTCATAGGGATGTCTCAGAAGTGGTTCATGGCTGGCATGATGCTCCATGTTGTCAGGAACTCAGACTCCATTCATCTTGATGTTCTTTCCCGAAGGCTTCAACCTCACAGTCTCAACATGGCAGATTCTACTTTTAAATATGTTTATATGCATAAAAAGTGTAAAAAGCAACAAACCAGAATGTTTTGAGTGGCAAAATTAAAGATTTTTCTTTATATTTTGTCATCCAAATTATTACAAAAAGAATGTGATTTCCTTTATAATCAGGGAGAAGTGTTATTTTCATTTATTTATGTTTACATTTCTTTTCTTTTTCTTCTTTTTTCTCCTGTATGTATCCCATGTAGGCTAGAGAGCTTCAATCCCTGCCTCTTGAGGGAAATCAGCCCATTTTCGGGAAGTGCACTACACAAAGCTGCCCCATCTTCCCTTTATTTTTTATTTTTATTTATTTATTTATTTATTTATTTATTTATTTATTTATTTATTTTGAGATAGAGTCTCAGAGTGCAGTGGCGCATCTCAGCTCACTGCAACCTCCATCTCCCGAGTTCAAGCAATTCCCCTGCCTCAGCCTCCCAAGTAGCTGGGACTACAGGCATGCACTACCATGCCCAGCTAATTTTTGTATTTTTAGTAGAGAGCGGGGTTTACCATCTTGGACAGCCTGGTCTCAAACTCTTGACCTCAAGAGATCTGTCCGCCTTGGCCTCCCAAAGTGCTGGGATTACAGGCATGAGCCACTGTGCCTGGCCTGTCATATTATTTCTAAAAATTTCAGTGACATTTCAATTAAGTTAAATTTAATTCTTACTGACCTGATCTCTTTTCCTGTGTTTAATGATATCTTCCAGTTGAAAGGTATTTCCTCTGTAATCACAGGCACTAAAGGAAATACAACAAGTATTCTTTAGGTGGATATCCACTAAACCACGGATTCTCCCATTGTAGTCCTTAGACCCTCAGCATCAGCAACACGTGGGAACTTGTTAGACATGCAAATTCCTGGGCCAGCCCCACACCTCCTGAATCAGAAAGTGGGGAAGAGGGACAGCTGTCTGTCCTTTAATAAGCCTTGAGATGCTCCCTGAAGTTTGAAAACTACAGAACTAGAATACATATGGCAGTAAGTGCTCATACTTTATCCCAGGTACCTTCCCCTCTTTTCCATTCTCTTTTCCGTTGAAATAAAATGAGAGCTCTTTTTGACTTAATGGGTATAAGAAAGAAGGCAATGAGATGAGCAGGGTTTCAAGTTAGAGTTCAAAATTTAATCAGTGGATGGTGACAGGGTGCAAGCCTTCTAAACAGATTACTGCAAGAAAGCTGATTATAATCTATACAGTAGGTATCATTAGTGTATTGATGTTAAATTTTTGGGGTGGGATTAATGGTATTGTGATTATATAGGAGAACGTCCTGGTTCCTAGAAGATATCTGCGAAAGTACTTAACACTGAAATGCTGATACTGGCAACTTACTTTGAAATGATTCGGGGGGAAAAGGGCACATATACAATCTTCCATATGCAGGGGAGACAAAACAAATATGATAAAATGTTAATTGGTGAATCCAGTTGAATAGCATACTGATGTTCACTGTATTATTTTATCAACTTTTCTGTGTTTGCAAGTTTTTAAAATAAAAAGTTGAGGGAAAAGAAACATCACCCCAAATCTTCCTACAAAATGGAACCATAGAAAAACTTTGCAGAAGAGGGCACCGTACCCATCCGGACAGCATGGTCAAAGTGCAGGGTCTCCTCCAGCAGGCTATTCTCTGGTCTCTTCTGTGCTGTCACTTCCCCCAGACGCAACCAAGGCTTTTTTATAACAACTCTTTTTCTAAAGGTGTAATTTTTTTCATTCATCTAAGAAAGAGACAAAAGAATTAGTATACATTGAGAAAATCAAATTACACTTATACTTGTGTAAAAGCAAAAAATACTTTGAAAAGTGGGGAAGCAAGAAATGTACTGTTCTACAATTCTGTCCTTACCATCTTTTTATTCTGCCAATGACTTCCTATTCCTGCTGCCTATGGTGGGGTGAGCTGCAAATGATTTCTTTTCCTCATTGATTTGAAATGCCATGTTTATAATATACTAAACTCCCCCAGAAGCATTTGGGTTTATTTCTGGGCTCTATTCTATTCAAGTGATCTATCTGTTCACAAGCCACTATCAATTTTGATTATTAGAGCACCCTAAAGTTAAGTTAAATAATTCTTTTTTTTCTTTTCGAGACAAAGTCTCTCGCTCTGTTGCCCAGGCTGGAGTGCAGTGGCGTGATTTCGGCTCACTGAAAGCTCCACCTCCCGGGTTCACACCATTCTCCTGCCTCAGCCTCCCGAGTAGCTGGGACTACAGGCACCCGCCACCTCGCCCGGCTAATTTTTTCTATTTTCAGAAGAGACGGGGTTTCACTGTGTTAGCCAGGATGGTCTCGATCTCCTGACCTCGTCATGTGTCCGCCTCGGCCTCCCAAAGTGCTGGGATTACAGGCATGAGCCGCCGCACCTGGCCAAGTAATTCTTTGATTAGGATATTAGTATTTGATGGAGCCTGACCCTTTTGACTCTAAACTCAAATTCTTATTATCTCTAACTTCTAAAAGTTATGAACAATTATGACTTCAATGTATAAAATGTCAGCTTTTTCAGCTACCTTACAGAATTCTCTTATTTTCCTAATATCGATTCCATTTATCCATTCGGTTTTCTCTCCAAACACTAATGTTTTCGTTTTAGTATCCCTAATCTTTTTTTTTTTTTTTTTTCTTTTGAGACAGAGTCTTGCTCTGGAGTACAGTTGCATGATCTCAGCTCATTGCAACCTCCGACTCCCAGGCTCAAGCAGTCCTTTTACCTCAGTCTCCCAAGTAGCTGGGACCACAGGTGCATGTAACCACACCCAGCTAATTTTGTATTTTTTGCAGAGATGAGGTCTCACTACGTTGCCCAGGCTGGTCTCAAACTCCTGAGCTCAAGTGCTGGGAGCTCCTGAGCTCCCAAAGTGCTGGGATTGCAGGTGAGAACCACTGCTCCTGGCAGTTTTCCTAATCCCTTCTCTTTATCTTTTGTAGTTGCACTGGCTTATGTGGTTATTAACTGTTAGTGTTAATTAACAGGGATAACTGCAATACTGGACATTTTGTCTTATTCCTGATCTTAAAGGGATGTTTCTACAGTTTCACTCATCATGCATGATGGCAGCTTTTGGCTAGATGTATTTATAATCCACTAGGAGTAAAAAAAATTAGAAATAAATATTGAATTTTATCAAATGTCTTTCTAACATATATGGAGGGAACCATGTATTTTCTTCTTAATGTCTTGCAACCAGGAATCATACCAGATCTTCTAGTAGTGATTCAAGGGAATGAGCTTCATGTGATTGTGCGGCATAATTTTCCCACTGTGCTATGTTTGCATCACTAGCCATGAATGAGAGAGTGTGTGTGTTTTAATGTTACCTTTGTCAGGTACCTTTGTCAGGTTTGGGTTTTCATGTTCGAACAGTTTCAAAAGAAAAAAGTTTGAAAGTTCTACTTTATTCTTTATATGTGGAAATTTCAATAAATTATTTGTGATTTATTGAAAATTTTACTTGAAGGTCTGATATAATTTCAAAGCAAAACCAAACCTTTTTTTCTTTCTTGTTGGGGGAGGGTGGGAGGAGCGGGACAGGAGGACATTAACTCGTTGATATTTTATGTTTTGTTTTTTCCCTTTAGAATTTATCTTCTGGGGACAATCTGACAATGATGAATTTAATTTAGATTCACAGATTTTAAAAATAATTCTTTTGATATTCTTGGTATCATTTATTTACCTATTCTGCAGCTCTGTTGCCCAGGCTGGAGTGCCATAGTCCAATCATAGCTCACTGCAGCCTTGAACTCCTGGACTCAAGCGATCATACCCGATCAGCCTCTTGAGTAGCAGAGACTATAGGCTCACGCTACCACACCCAGCTAATTTTTTATATTTTTAGTGGAGATGGGGTTTCAACATGTTGCCCAGGCTGGTCTCGAACTCCTGGGCTCAAGCAATCCTCCCTTCTGAGCCTCCCAAAGTGCTGGGATTACAAGTGTGAGCTACTGTACCTGGCACTATTCTCATTTTTATAATAAAATTTTAAGATTGGATAAATAATATAGCCCAATTATTGGAGCCAGACTACATCTACAAAAATTAAATGAAATTTCACTTGTCTGAAATCATGACATACTTTGGAAGATATCTTTGTCATGGTATTAATTAAAATTACGGCTATTTGGCACTCACCAAAATCTGTGGAGCACCTTAAAGACATAGGCGGCATCCTCCGGAGCAGTCAAAACAGTTACAAGAAGAGGCTGTCGGGACAGCTTTGTCAGAAGAGACATGCTATGCATATAAAGACATAAGGGAGACAGAAAAGAAACAACCATTTTACACACAGGCCCCAAATTGAAAGCTATAGGCTGGGTAATGCAGGCACTGATTTTTGCAAATCAGATGTTTTCCATATGGCATCTCCATATAGTGTGCTTTTGCTTTAGAGAGTGGCAGCAAGATTTTTGGTTTTGTTTGTTTGTTTGAAGACAGGATCTTGCTCCACCGCCCAAGCTGGAGAGCAGTGATGTGATCATAGCTCACTGCAACATCAACCTCCTGGGCTCAAGTGATCCTCCTGCCTCAGCCACCTGAGTAGCTGGACTACAGGCATACACCACTATGCCCCCACTAATTTTTGTATTTTTTGAAGAGACAAGATCTCACTATGTCACCCAGGCTGATCTTGAACTCCTGAGCTCAAGCGATCCTCCTGCATCAGACAACCAAAGTTTTAGGATTACAGGCATAAGCCACTGCACCTGGCCAAGATATTTGTTTGCAAAGGATGGTTAATAGTTACAACAAGAAAAATAGGAAGGCTGGGGCACAGTGGCTCATGCCTGTAACCTCAGCACTTTGGGAGGCTGAGGCAGGAGGATCACCTGAGGTCAGGAGTTCGAGACCAGCCTGCCCAACACGGTGAAACCCCATGTCTTCTAAAAATACAAAAATTAGCCAGGCATGGTGTCATGCACCTCTAATCTCAGCTACTCAGGAGGCTGAGGCAGAATCACTTGAACCCGGGAGGTGGAGGCTGCAGTGAGCTGAGATCATGCCATTGCACTCCAGCCTGGGTGACAGAGCAAGACTCTATCTCAAGAAAAAAAAAAGAAAAATAGGGAAGATTTGTTAGTAGTCTGTGAGTTCCACAATCATGTCAAGCATATTAAAAATTCCTTAAATTCCTAATTACCTTTTCCTGTCTTTTTTTAAAAGAGGATTTAACTTCATCAGAATTTTTCTTTACATGTGAAACACCTGCATCTTCAATTGCCTCATCATCTGGCAAAGTGAAGGTCACTCTTTTCAAGCTTTCTTTACATTGTTTACTGTCTTCACTTTCTTCCAGGTCATCATCTTCATCCCTACACTACAAAATTCTTATAAAAAGAAATATACTGCTTTCCATTAGAAAAACAAAAGGAAACATATTTCCCTTAATAAAGTTCTTCTTTTATATGCCTAATGCAACCAAATACTCAGAAGTTCCAAAATCATTCAGGTATTAAGGAACAGAAGGTATCATTTAAGTGAAATGCTATGTAAGAAACAGAACAAAAAGTGTCCAATATATAGAAAATAAATTGTTCAATCTCACAGAAATAACAGGATTTTTGGGGCACAAAACCAAATCAAAGTTCCTGGTCAGAAAGGTTTGATTGCCATTGCCAGTAATATTTTTCTTCATTAAATGATCTCTAATGTCCCTTTAAATACACAGACTTTCCTGTGGCTATCTTGAGAATATCTGATAGGAGAGAATCTAACTTCTTAAAACAAACATATGTGAAAACCACAAGTACCAATACATGATTGGACAGTTCCAGCTCACAATATAAAGGATGGTTCAAATACTTACATTTCAGAAATGCTTAGTTCTTCTGCTGCTTCTTCAGCAATTTCATCAGCTTGTTTGAACCCAGATCATCATCATCATCACTTGCTATGTCTTCATCACTTTCAACTGGATCAAAAAAAGTCTTTGTCCTTCACATTTCTGGAACTTTTACCTGACTAAAATAAAAAGATTTTTAAAACTATTAATTAGGAAGAGAAAAATACATCGTTAGCACACACATATATATTTGTGTGTATACTGTATGTCTACGTTACTTTCTAACTTAATAACACTACAAGCCAAAAATAGTTATTAGGTGAAATCAGCAACTAAAAACATTACCATAAAACTATTATAAGAACAACTGGAACAGAAACTGAATGGAAGTACAGATTCATTTATAACTGATAAGATAGAGCACAATATTTCTTAGATCCAAATCTTCTAACTACAATTACATCTGTCCTAGAAAAACAGAACAAAAGGTAATTTGAGGAGGAGGAAAGTGCTCTCTCCTCTCTCAAAATTTTACCTTAAGTTTTTTTACTTCTAAACAGTGCCCCTTCATCTTCATCAGAATCAATATCTTAAAAAAATCAGTATCTTCTACGTCATCATCATTACCATCTTTTCGTTCCTCTTCTTTTTCTGTTTTCTAAATAGGCCTCCATTTCAGAGAGTTGGAAGAATTTCTCATCTGCTATGGACTTTTCTCTTGGTTTCCCGTGTCCTTTGTTTCGCACCTTGCTCTGCTGTTCCAATTTGTTGATATGAAAGTCAAGGTCAGAATCCTCATCACTGAGAACTGGGCTTTTCGTCGGATCGAATTTGCTTGAGTTTGCTCTCTCACTCACTTCAGGATTGTCACCACCCATATCTGACACTTCCTCCTCCTCCTCTAAATCTTCTAGGTCCTCCTGGCCATCAGCCTCTGTCTCTGAACCATCCTCTTCATGCTCCTGTTCTTCACTCTCTGGGATACTGATATCTTCATCTTTGTTTCACTAACTGCATTCTGGAAGCTTTGTAAAATTGGGTCATTTTGCAATTCCAGTTGTTGCAAAGTCTGCTTATCATCAAAACTTTCTATCACAAGTTTTTGTAAAGGGCTTCCATGGATCCTACCATTCTCTAATATTTTATTAAGGTCATAAAGCACTTTTGTTAAAGAAGTGAACTTTGATGCCAATCCATCTTGAATCCTAATGGGAGGAATTAAATGAGATTTAGAGTTATAGTTGATAATTTCACAGCCCTCTTAATTAAAAGAAAAATAAAAACCACAACTCTTCTGTAAAATCAAATTTGAATGAAGTGTAAGTATAGATTCTGGCCCCAACAACATACAAGCTGATGAGCCACACTGATATATAAAACCTGTCAACCAAGTATTTGTGAATCAGCTGTACAGATTTTAGGCAGGAAAAGCATTACAAATCTATTTGCTTGGAGATATATAGTGAATTAGCCTTAAATTATCAACTCTGCTACATTATATACCACTCCATTCTTTCACTCATGTTAGTCAGGATGGTCTGGATCTCCTGACCTCATGATCCACCCACCTCGGCCTCCCAAAAAAGTGCTGGGATTACAGGCGTGAGCCACCGTGCCCGGCTGAATTTTTCTTTTTTATAAAATAGGCTTTATTTATTTATTTGTTTATTTATTTATTTTGAGATAGAGTCTCGCTCTGTCACCCAGGCTGGAGTGCAGTGGCGTGATCTGAGCTCACTGCAACCTCTGCCTCCCCGGTTCAAATGATTTTCCTGCCTCAGCCTCCCAAGTAGCTGGGACTACAGGTGAGTGCCACCACGCCTGGCTAATTTTTTGTATTTTTAGTAGAGATGGGGTTTCACCATGTTAACCAGGATGGTCTCGATCTCCCAACCTCACGATCTGCTCACCTCGGCCTCCCAAAGTGCTGAGATTACAGGCATAAGCCATCGCAGCTGGCTGGCTTTATTTTTTTTTTTTAAAGCAGTTTTAGGTTCACAGCAAAATTGAGCAGAAAGTACACGCAGTTCCCATATACACCCTACCCACACACAGTCCCCATATACACCCTACCCACACAAAGTCCCCCTATACACCCTACTCACACACAGTCCCGTCCACTGTCAACCCCCCACACCAGAGTGGTACATTTGTTATAAACTATAAACATACACTGACACATTATTATCACTCAAAATCCATAGTTCACATTACTTTGTGGAGTTTCTATCATGAACAGGTCTTGAATTCTGTTTAATGCTTCTTCTGCTTCTACTGATACAATTGTGTTGTTTTTCTTAGTCTATTAATATTAATATGATAAAGTACAATGATGTATTTTAAAATATTGAATCCTTATATTCAGAAATGGACTCCATTTTGTTGTGATGTATTATCCTTTTTCTACATTACTGGATTTGACTTGCTAATGTTTGGTGGAAGCTTTTGTGTCTAGGTTCATAAGAGATACTGATCTATAGTTTCTTTTCAATGTTGTAATGTCTTTATCTGGTTTTGGGATTAGAGTAATGATGATATCATAAAATGAGTTGGGAGGTTTTTCCTCTGCTTCTCTTTTCTGGAAAAAAAATATGGAGAATAATTTTTTCACTGGTATAATTCACCAGTGTAATCATCTGAGCTTGAGCCTGTTGCTTTTTTGGAAGGTTTTTATTATTAATTTAATTTTTAGAAAATATGTATAGGGCGGCCGGGCGCGGTGGCTCATGCCTGTAATTCCAGCACTTTGGGAGGCCGAGGTGGGTGGATCACAAAGTCAGGAGATCAAGACAATCCTGGTTAACACGGTGAAACCCCGTCTCTACTAAAAATATAAAAAATTAGCCGGGCGCGGTGGCAGGCGCCTGTAGTCCCAGCTACTTGGGAGGCTGAGGCAGGAGAATGGCGTGAACCCCAGGAGGTGACGCTTGCAGTGAGCCGAGGTAGCGCCACTGCACTCTGGCCTGGGCGAAAGAGCAAGACTCCATCTCAGAAAAAAAAAAAAAAAGAAAATATGTATAGGGCTAGTCTGTTTTTCCTTGCATGAATTTATTAGTTTGTGTCTTTTAAGGAATTGGTCCACTTTATTTAAGGTATCAAATTTACAAGGATAAAGTTGCTTGTAGAATCTTAGAATCTTTTAAAAGTGCACGGTATCAATAATCAGTAGTAATGATTCTTCTTTCATTGCTGATATTGGTAATTTGTATTCTTTCTTTCTCTCATCTTGTACGCTCATGCCTGGGAAGAGGTTTATCAATTTTATTTACGTTTGTGAAAGCCTAGCTTTTGGTTTTGTTGAATTTTTCTATTGTTTTCCTGTTTAAAATTTTATTGATGTATATTCTAATTTGCATGGATTTCTTTTCTGTGTTCTCTTCAGGTTTAAATTGCTGTTCTTTCTCAAGCTCTTAAGGTGCAAGCGTAATTTATTTATATTATTAATTCTTACTTTGTAATATATGCATACAGAAACTGAGTGCTATAAATTATTTTCTAAGCACTGCTTTAGCTACAACCCATAAGTTTTGATGAGTTATATTTTCCTTTTCATTTATTCTGAAACACTTTTTGAGATTTCTTCTTTGGCTCATGGGCTTTTAGAAGCTACCATCTTAGTGCTGATATTATCCATTTGTTCTTGCACATTGTCTACTTTTTTCATGAGAGCCCTTAACATATTTATCACAGTTATTTTTACATTCCGTCTCTGGTACTCCAACATCTGTGTCATATCTGAGTTTGATTCTGATGATTGCTTTCTCTTCAGACTGTTTTTTCCTGCCTTTGACGTGTCTTGTGTAATTTTTTTGTTAAAAGACAGATATTGCATTAGGTAATAACAACTGAGGTACATAGGCCTTTATGTGAGAATGTATGTTAATTTGTTTAAGAGTTAAGCTATGTTTAATGTTTGTTGCAGCCATAAGTATCAGAAGTTCCAAATTCCTTTAGTGTCTTTGTTTTGGCGCTTCGCCTGGCTTCACAGCTTGTCTCTGCACTGCTCCTCATAGTGAGTCTGTGTCTTTCAGTTCATTCCACTGAAAACAGCTGTAGTCACTGCTTTTAAACTCAAGCTTTATAACAGTGATGATAGGATATAGAAGACAGTAAGCATTCTCCAACCTTCTAATGAAGTGTGGGTCATTTCCTAAGCCAGTAGCTCATGGCTGTAGCTATCCCAGCTGTGTCTGCCTTTCCTCCAGTAGCATGTTCACCTTCTAGCTCCTTTCCCTGGCTGCCGAGCTCCCAGTATATCTCCATGAAGCACTCTATCCATTGATGATTATTTCTGCCACTACGTGATGAAAGAAGGCTAAAGAGAGCTGAAGTGAGGGGGGATTCCTTTCCCCAAGCTTGGATACAGTATCAGAATGGAGCTCTGGTAAAGTCCTTCCCCTGGAGAAGGCTCTGGTTACATTTCACAATGGTCACTCTTTCCTTCTTCTGCAAAGGCATGAAGGGATCTTTTGGGGATTCTTACCACAAAAATATGGTGAGGTTACTGGAGGGAGCCTCCTAAGAAACTCTTCCTCCAGCAGTTTGTTAAAATTGTCATTTCATTGTTTGGACCAATAGCTCTAGAGGCTCCTGCTGTCTGAAGCACATCTCTAGGCTTTATCAGTTGCAGTGTCTGTTTGTACCTCTCTTTTTAGATTTTGGGGTGGTTATCTGTCCTGTGCAGTGCAATTGTCATGCTATCTACACAGAATTAGGTCAAACCTCACAGGTCAAGGGCACAGGGCCTGAAAAGGGCCTCCCTCATTTCAGACATCAGCTACAAGCAGGGGAGGGGGCTTCCAGGACACACACACTTCTGACCAACTGGCTACAAAGCTGGAGATTCCCACTACCCACTCAAATTGGATACACAACTTTGCTAGAATAACACATTACTCAGGAAAAAGCTGTAGTTATAATTACAGTTATATAATAAAGGATGTAAATCAGGACCAGCCAAAGAAAGAAACCGTCAGGGTAAGGTTTAGGAGGACCTGAGACACACGACTTCCGCTTCCTCAGGACAAGTCACCCTCCTGGCGCATCGATGTGTATCACTACCCAGGAAAGCACACCTGAGCTTCCGTGGCCAAAGTTTTTATCAGGGTTTCATTATGGACACATGACGGATTGAATCTTTGGCCACATTATTGAGCTCAGCCTCTAGCCTCTCTCTCCTCCCAGAAGGCTGGGCTGATAGCACATGCTTCGAAGCCCAACCCTTGAATCACACAGTTGTTCTTTCTGGTGTGATGGGCCCCATCCTGTGTCATCTCCACAGCATAAGCTCAGATATTGTCAGGCCCGCCATCAGTAACAAAATATAATTGTATCATAGGAAACTTCAAGGGTTTAGAGGGCTCCTCTCAGGACCCAGAGAAAAAGATCAGCCAAATTAATTACTATGCAACAAGCCACCCCTTGTTCTTTGACTGCGATTCTTGTTATATGACTAATATCTGGGGGAGCCAGAAAACTTTTAACTGAATTTCACAATACATTTGGCTCTCGATGTCAATATTATAATCTTACCAACAGTGCCAGTATTACATCACAGCATGGCAGATGTCACCTGACTGTACTTTGTCTGCCCTGAAACATTGGAGCTCTATCTATATTTCTCTTTGAAAGCTCCTAATTGACCTGAGAGAAATGGTACCATTTCCCTGTGGTAAAGCAAGTCCTTCACTAGTGACCTCATCTGGCATTGTTTCCTATAAGAGAGCTGTCCTGGAGCTCAGATCATTTTGGACATAAAAGCTATGTAGCCTAGAATATGACTTAAAGGGTCCAATGGCTATGCCCCCAAACACATTGTATCCTTATATATGGACTTTGCCTCGGGAGTCACTGCACCCACAAAACTGTAACAAGGAGCCCTTTGCTTCAGTTTGAGTCTTTACCTCTCCTCTCTTTTCCTGGCCCTTAGTTTTAAGTCATGAGCATAGACCATGCAGACCTTTATGGAAGCTCTCTTAAGTCATAGGCTGGAAGGGGCCCAGTCTCTCTCTTTATCGCTCTGTTCGTCTTATGTACAGTGAACATCTTGTCTCTCACAATTGACTTCAAGCCACACAGGTCCTCTCTACAGAAATATCTTATTGCTTGTTTTCAGAGCATCTTTCCAAAGTTCTTCTTATTCTATGTAATTCAAATTATTGTGATTTCTCACATGGACTCTTACAAATGCCTCCTTACTATTCTCCCAACTTCTTTCTACTTCATTATGTAGTACGGAGGCTTCCCAAGAAAAGAAGGATTATATATTATTAAAGAGGCTTGGCCGGGGGCGGTAGCTCACACCTGTAATCCCAGCACTTTGGGAGGCCGAGGCGGGTGGATCACTTGAGGTCAGGAGTTTGAGACCAGCCTGGCCAACAGGGTGAAACCCCATTTCTACAGAAAATACAAAAATTAGCTGGGCATGTTGGCACGCATCTGTAATCCCAGCTACTCCGGAGGCTGAGGTGAGAGAATCGCTTGAACCCAAGAGGTGGAGGTTGCAGTGAGCTGAGATTGTGCCATTGCACTCCAGCCTGGGCAACAGAGTGAGACTCCATCTCATTGAGGGAAGACAAAGACCCTCTCATATTGTTTTATATTGTTTCATACTCAGTACCTGTTTAAAGAAAAAAGAAAAAAAACAAGGAAGTGAAATCAAAGACAGGCAGCCTGGCACCAGGCCCAAAACCAGGCCTGGGCCTGCCCGGCCTAAACCTAGTAGTTAAAAATCAACTCATGACTTAGAACCCGATGTTACCCATAGATTTCAGGCATTGTATAAAAGAATATTATGAAACTCCCTGCTCTGTTCTGTTTCACTCTGACCACCAGTGCATGAAACCCCTGTCATGTATCCCCTCGATTGCTCAATCAATCACGACCCTTTCACATGAAATCTTTAGTGTTGTGAGCCCTTAAAAGGGATGGAAATTGTGCACTCGAAGAAGCTCGGATTTTAAGGCAGTAGCTTGCTGATGCTCCCAGTTGAATAAAGCCCTTCCTTCTACAACTCGGTGTCTGAGAGGTTTTGTCTGCGGCTCATCCTGCTACATCATAACATAACATAACATAACATAACATAACATAACATAACATAACATAACATAACATAACATAGCATAAAATAGCTAGGTCTCTTGTCACAAATTCATTTCATTAAGTATTGGTGAAAGGTATGTATTCTGGGTTTTCCCTGTGTGAATGAGTAATTCCTAAATGATAAGTTAACTCCATCATTCTAATTTTCCTTAGTCTTTGAATCCCTTCCTCTACATTAAATCAAGGGATATCTGGCATTTCCAATTCACTCACAGTGGGACATCTTTTGATCCATATTGCAGCCAACAAACCAAACTGGTAGAGCCTTTTGTAACTCCCTGAACTACAACATTAAATGCAGAATCTCTGCTCTGTGGGACCGTATCAACAAACGGGGAACTTTATGTTCCTTCCACCATTGTCTCATACCCCTGTCAATCGAGAAAAATGATGAGACAAATCTCAATCATTTTAGGAGGTTTATTTGCCAAAGTTAAGGATGCATGCCCAGGAGACAGGTCTATGCCTTTCTTCAAAGATGATTTTGAGGGCTCCAAATTTAAAGAGGAAAGGGCAGGATATTGAGAGGTACACAATTTTCATGTGAGAGTGGGGTAGGGAAAAATATTCATTTATGTGTCTGGCTCAGTGAATTTGCATTGTTTTACATAAGATGACATAGACAAATGGGGCAGAGGAAAAATGCTGGAATCTGCATTTTTACATAAGATAACAGACAAAATGGGGCAGGGGACCGATCAGATATGCATTTGTGTCTGGAGGGCAGGGGGGTGACTGCACTGTAAAGACAATTGACATTATCATGGTGAAATTTTAACAGACACACCTTAGGGTAAAGATCTTGGAGCTCACTAGGAATTTCCTCATGGACAAAATGTGGGGGAGGCATGAAGATTTTCATCTTGTAGCCATCTTAGTTAGGAAGCAAAAGGGGAGGCAGGTTTGCATGACCCAGTTCCCAGCTTAACTTTTCCCTTCGGCTTAATGAGTTTGGCATCCCAATATTTATTTTCCTTTCACACCCCTAATATCCATTCCCACACATGTTCCCCAGTTTCCTACCTGTTCCTGGATGTAGTCAGCCTCCTCAGAGATCATACTCTGTAACTCACCTTAGGGGATTGCGGGACTGGAGTCTACTTATAGGTCTAGAATACGGGTGTCCAATCTTTTGGCTTCCCTGGGCCACATTAGAAGAAGAATTGTCTTGGGCCACACATAAACTACAGTAACACTAATGATAGCTGATGGGCTAAAAAAAGAAAATAGCAAAAAAATTTCATAATTTTTTTTTTTTTGAGACAGAGTCTCGCTGTCGCCCAGGCTGGAGTGCAGTGGCGCAATCTCGGCTCACTGCAAGCTCTTCCTCCTGGGCTCACGCCATTCTCCTGCCTCAGCCTCCCAAGTAGCTGGGACTACAGGCTCCGGAGACCACACTCGGCTAATTTTTTGTGTTTTTAGTAGAGATGGGGTTTTACCATGTTAGCCAGGATGGTCTCGATCTCCTGACCTCGTGATCTGCCTGCCTTGGCCTCCCAAAGTGCTGGGATCACAGGCGTGAGCCACCGCGCCTGGCCAAAAAATTTCATAGTTTTAAGAAAGTTAACGAATTTGTATGGGACTGCATTCAAAGCTGTCTTGGGCCACATGTGGCCTGCAGGCCACAGGTTGGATGAACTTGGCCTAAAAGCAAAGAGGGGTGGTGGGGTGGCTCCTAAGGAGAATCAGCATTGTCTTGCTCCACAGCTGCCTTACGGGAGGCCATTCCCATTTCCTCAGGCAGTGCAGGGTTATCCCCTCAGACAGAGGTGGAAAGGTTGATGCCACTGGGGATGGGGAGGCACTTCCTCTGGGGTTGGGGAATTCACTTTTGCCAGGGGTGGGGTGGCTACTTCTGCTGGTGGTAGGGAGACCTGTTCCACTGGTGAGAAAGAAAAGTGGCTCCGAGTCGTCTTAGAAATGTGAGGTCTGCAAAATTTATCGGGCCCTGAGAGATGAGCACGAGGCTTCACTCATGTCCCGGCACCCGTGCCTGGGCATAATTGTTTAAAGGCACTTTGGCTTTCTTTCCTTTCCTGCAGTTTCCAGACTAGCGGATAAATTTCCTAAAACATTACCATAAGTTGCACAATGTGGCCCTCACCCAATATCTTCATGTTCCTGGAATCTGTGATACAAAAACAATGCATAGCCAACAAATAGTTTGTGTTGTGTTATTTTAATGAACCTATGTAGATTATTGATAAGCAACTTAGAAACTGCCCCCAGCTTATTTTTTCTCTTAAACACCCACTTGTAACTGCTGCTAATCTGGGTATATATGTAGGGCAACTTGAATCTATTACTCCTAGGCTGCAGTCCTTAATCTTGGCCCATATAAACTCTCTACTTATATTAATTTTGCCTCATTTTCTTTCCTTAAGTTGACATGGGCAACAAAGGCTCATCAGAGGGGCTCAATGTTCCCAGCTTTACCAAGGCTTTCCATCCCAATTTACAGGATCCCATTTTTTTCCCAGTCAATGCCCTCACTTTATCAGTGGGCACCCTGTGAGGCTGGGAGTTATATTTGCCTTGTAATTCAGCCAATCACAGGATAAAGTCTTGCATTTGATTTTCAGCAATTTCAGCCCTGAAGCTACAAGACCTAACACTCTCCCTCAGGGTGCACCTAGAAGGTCTTAGGTCATTTGTGTGGTGCTTGAGCTGGGAATTATTGTCATTATTTTCCTTAGTTTTCCAAAATCTTTTGAAAGTATTATATATCGCATTACTTTAGTTGACTAGGACTATCCAATGCAGATATTTTGGGTATCTCAATAAAAAATTCACGTCATGGACTATCAGTAATATCTTACCACTGAAAGTAAAGTCATTAGTATTTTCAAGTTTAATCATATTAGAGAAACAATTCCAGAAACCTCAAAACCAATTCACAGAATTTATCCTTAAAATTCTGTTCCTCTAGATCCACTCTTGGGGCAAAAATCTGTATTATTCAGGTTTCTCCAGAAAAATAGAACCAATCTGATATAGATAGGTAGATAGGTAGATAGGTACACAGCTAGCTAGCTACCTATCTGTATCTCATATCTCCTCTTGAAACAGGAGAGTTCCCTGATCCCCTACACAGGATGATTGGTGGGTGTGGCTCATCTGTTCTGCTGCCTCCTGCTCAAACCCCTCATGGGAGGGGAAGCACGCAGACAGGGAGGTGTAGGAGCTGGGGCAAGCACTTTTGGACTCTGGCCCCACGTTACCATATATGGGTGGGTGCCTGCAACTCCCAAAGCTCCAGTGGGCATATTACAGTACTCTTTAGCTCTGCCATCTGCAGACCACTTAAGTGTTAACCAGCTCAGTGCCCTCTTGGTACCAAGGTCCTTGCCTGGCATCCAGGAAGAATCAGGTGACATGGAAAAATTGAAGGATGACAAATGTGGGGGATTTTATTGCCAGACGGAAGTGGCTCTCAGCGGGGTGGATGGGGAGCTGGAGAGGAGTTGCAGTAGGAAGATGATCTTCCTCTGGAGTTTGGCCATCCCGTGGCCAATCTGTTCTCCAACCATCCCCAGCCAACCACCTCTCGATGTTCAGACGTTCCTTCTCTTCTCTCCTTCTCTGCCACCCTGCTCTTCCAACCCTCTGCTCTTCTGCTTGTGAAGCCTGGGACTTGGGGTTTATAAGGGTTCAGGAGAGGGGGGCATGGTGGGCCAAAAGGCAACAGCTGGGTGCAAAAACAGGAATGACTGTTCCCATTTAGGGCTGCAGGTTTCCTGGCTTCAGGGTGGGGCCTTTGACAGGGAACCGCCTCTTCTACCCAGTATTTCCCTGTCGCCTGTGCATATCACTCTTATCCCTGTAGATAGATAATAGATTCTCTATCTCTGTGGATAGGTGCAGAGATAAGAGGAGATCTATAATCAGAATTGGCTTACATAATTATGAAGGCCAAGAAATCCCACAATATGCCACCTATAACCTGCAGACCTATGAAAACTGGTGGCACAATTCAGTCTGAGTCCAAAGGCCTGAGAACCAACAGAGTGAATGGTGAAACTACCAGTCTGAGTCCAAAGACCTGAGTACCAGGAGATATGATGTCTAAGGGCAGGAAAAGTATGTCCCAGCTCAAGGAGAAAGATAATTTGCACTTCCTCTGCCCTTCTTGTTCTATCTAGGCCTTCAATGAACTAGGTGATGCCTGCCCACATTTGTGAGGGCAGATCTTGTTTGTCTATTGAATCAAATACTAATCTTTTGTCTATACCTCAATAAAGCTGAAAAAAACTAAAGTAATTGCACACTTCCAAAAACAAAAAATATAAACAAATACTATTTTCCAAAAACACCCTCACACACTTAGAAATGTTTTACCAGCTATCTACCAAGTCAACTTAATGTTTAACTTTAAACATTACATCCTTTAATCTAGCATAACATCTTTTAAATTCATCAACATTTGTGTAGATCAACAGTTACAGTTCTTTTCTTTTGGCACTTGAAAAATATTGTGCCACTTCCTACTTGCCCCCATGGCTTTAGATAAGAAATTCACTGTCATTCCAATTCATGTGCCCCTAAGGATAACAAGTCATGTTTCTGTGCCTGCTTTCAATATTTTCTGTCTTTTCAGAAGTTTAGTATGATGTGTCCTGGTATATATTTCTTTGGGTTCATACTATTTGGGATATATTAAACTTCTTGAATCTGAGTGTATTTCGTTTAACAAATTTGGGAAATGTTTACCCATTATGTCTTCAAATACTCTTTCAGCCCCACTGACTTTCTCCTCTTCTTCCCCAACTCCGATAATATTAATGTTGGATCTTTTGTTATTGGTCTGTGAAGTTCTGTTCATTATTTTCAGTCTATTTCCTCTATTGTTCAGATTAGGGAAATTCTACACATTTTCAAGTTCACTGATCATATCTCCTGCCCTCCACCCTCTACTATTGAGCCCACCTAGAAAGCTTTTAATTTCTGTTACTGCATTTATCTGTTTCATGAATGTCTTGTTTCTTTTTTATAACTCCTATTTCTTTGCTAGAATATTCCATTTTTTCATTTAAGATAATTTTTTTATTACTTGAACCATTTTTATGCTGGTTGCTTTGAAATTGTTGTCAGATAATTCCAACATGTGGTTTATTTCACTGTTAACATCAACTGATTGCCTTTTGTCATTTCAATTCCCATTTCCCTGTGCCTTGCGCATTTTTTATATTATGTTAGGAAATCTGGGTTCTATTTACATTTTGTTTAATTTTAGTAAGCATTCACCTTTTTGGATTCAGCATGCCGGTCTGGACCTAATTTGAAGGATTTGACTCCTACGACAATTTAATTTTCAGTCTTTGCAGAGCTATTTTAGTTTGCTTTTTAAAAAAATATCATTCCACTGGGGCTCCTACTGGTTTCTGATGGAGCTTCCCCAGGATCAGTTGTCTGTATCTCTAAGTGAATGAATGGAGACTCCGTCCTACAGGGGCAGAGTGCTTCCCTGGCCAAGTGCACATTGCAGTGTGAATTCCCTTCCCTGTGCCCTTGGTTGTGCAGTGTCTCTGGTGAAGGAGGTGAGTTGCGTCCTTTGTGGGAAAGAATTGGAAAGTTGGATTTTGGCAATTCCAGTTGCTAGTGCCCTCAACCAAGGGCTTGGGAACAGGGGTGGAAGGAGAGGAGTAGAGACGTAGAGAAAATGGTGTCTCACACTTGGTGAAAAAGTAGAGTTTTCTGGCAGCTTACCGTTAACAGGGCTTCTAATCAACCCGTCTCCATTGTTGGTTCTCCTCTGCTTGCCTGCTATTTCTGGCAGAACTCTCATTTGTTGCAGAAGAATGAGCCTACTTGAGCTACCTTCTGTTACTACATTGGGAGGTGGGAATTGTCAAGCCTGGATCACCTCTCTTGTTGGATGGGGGTTGTATTTTGTGCCTCCAGAATCGAGGCCCCGACCAATTCACCTTCCTCTTACCACCTTTCAGAATTCTCCTGTAGCTGTTCCTTTTACTATTCTCAGTGTTTATAATTGTACTTAGTAGGGAGGGGCAGAGAATGACAAGTCAAGGTGATTCTGTCAACTCTCAAAGTCTTGTCTATTTAAATTTTTAGAAGTAAAAACAGAATCTCTGAATCTGGCAAATACGTATCTGACAGTGGTAGCCTATTGCCCATTTTCTAGGTTTGGTTCAGTTCCACAGATCTAGATGTTGTATGATGAAGGAGAATCCACGTACAGTTAAGAAACGAGTTTGCGGCCGCGCACGGTGGCTCACGCCTGTAATCCCAGCACTTTGGGAGGCCGAGGCGGGTGGATCACAAGGTAAAGAGATTGAGACCATCCTGGCTAACATGGTGAATACCCGTCTCTACTAAAACTACAACAAAATTAGCCAGGTGTGGTGGCAGGCGCCTGTAGTCTCAGCTACTTGGGAGGCTGAGGCAGGAGAATGGCGTGAACCCGGGAGGTGGAGCTTGCAGTGAGCCGAGATCGCACCACTGCACTCCAGCCTGGGCGACAGAGCAAAAAAAAAAAAAAAAAAAGAAACAGACTATGGAATAAGTATCATTATATACCTTGGACAAATGGCAGAGCTTACTGCTTTCATTTTTAAAAAAAATTAAAAATGCATCAAGGTTTCAGAAATTAAAAAATTTTATTCTTGAAATAAAAATCTCAATAGATGGGTTGAATAGCAACATGGATTGAAGAGTAAATCAGTGAACCAGAATATCATGCTAAGTAATTCTCCCAGAATGCAGTGCAAAACAATAGATGGAAAGAATGAACAAAATGTTATGAGACATGAATGACAGCTGTAAAAGTTCCACTATCTGCTTAATATGAATTACAGGAGAGAAGAAAATTAAGGAAGGAGAGTGCCTAAAACAAGGCAAAAATTTAAGACAATTTCTTAGAAATTGGAAATACTCATATTGAGAGGAACCAGTGAATATTTACAGGAAGAATGTAAAAAGACTGACATGTAAGTAAATCATGATAAAATTTCAGGATACTAAGGATAAGGAGGAAACTGAATGTTTTCAGCGTGAAAACAATTGTGTGGGATGGAATAAGATCGATACCAGACTTCACATTGGCAACATGGTAAGTAAGAAAACAGAATAATGTCTTTACAGTTTTCTGGTGAAAATACTTGTGAACTTATGATTCTTGTTAAAGCGAACTAAATATGGCCTGAGGACTCTGTACTTCTGTATTTGAGTCCTTGTGGACTAACCATAACCTAACTTAATAGACAAGATTGAAAACCTAGCTTAGGAGTATGCATCTGTAACAGCAGCTGAGTCTTGGCCAATCCCAGCAACTATACTTCAATCACTCATACACTGCTGAGGGTTCAAACTGTGTTCAAATAAGGCAAATGCCAACCTGTAACCAATCCAGCTGTTTCTTTACCTCACTTTCAATTTCTGTGTGTCACTTTCCTTTTCTTGTCTATACATTTGTTCTGACCATGAGGCATCCCTGAAGTCTCTCTGAATCTGCTGTGGTTCTGGAGGCTGCCCAACTTGGGAATTGTTTTTTTTTCTTGCTCAATTAAATTCCATTTAATTTGAAGTTTTCTTTTAATATTGTTTAACCAGCCAAAGTGCAAGTGAATGTGAGGGCATCATAAAGACATTTTAAGACCCAAAAACAGATTCAAAAAGTTTATAATTCACTGTCCACATAGACTAACCTTTCTCAACAGGGTACCATTGGCATTTGGGGTGGAACAGTCCTTCGTTGTGTAAGATTGATCCACACATTGCAGGTTGCTTAGTGTCCTTGACCATCATCCACTAAATGCCAGTAGCATTTCTCCTCCCCGTGACAATACACAACAGCTCCACATTTGGAGACAGTGCTGTATCACCTCTGGTTGAGAAACCATGGTGTAGAAAATATATTCAAAAAGAAAATAAATCTGGGAAGAAAAAAAGGGATATAAGAAGCACAGGTGAGCAAGATAATCAGTGAAGTTTACTTTTAAGTCTAAATTATAAAAATAAACCTATAATAAAAAACTAAAATCTGAAATAACTCGGGATGGAAAGTTATGAAGTCTGGAAAGGAGGAAGGAGAGAGAAGTAAAAGCATGCTAGGAGTCTCATTTTATCTATACGATTAGCTCTGGATGTCAATCATATGTGTAGCTATGTGTATAAAAATATAAAGATATAGGAACTAAACATATACTTTTCAAGTCATTAGAAGAAAAATTAGTTGGGAACAAGTAAAATGCCAGCAGCTAACTGAAGATCAGGGATGAAAAAGAAACACAAAAACAGCATATAAAATAGAAAGCACGGCCAGGCGCTGTGGCTCACGCCTGTAATCCCAGCACTTTGGGAGGCCGAGGTGGGCAGATCACGAGGTCAGGAGATCCAGACCACCCTGGCTAACACGGTGAAACCTCGTTTCTACAAAAAATACAAAAAAATTAGCCGATCGTGGTGGCAGGCACCTGTAGTCCCAGCTACTCAGGAGGCTGAGGCAGGAGAATGGCGTGAACGCGGGAGGCAGAGCTTGCAGTGAGCCTAGATTGCGCCACTGCACTCCAGCCTGGGCTACAGAGCGAGACTCCATCTCAAAAAAACAAACAAACAAAAAAAGTGATTATATGCTTCATTTCAAAGATGAAATTTATGACTATACAGCAAAATAAAATTGGGATAAAAAATAACCTGAAAATCAGGAAACAGGAGAAACAGTCTAAACATTTATTTTGTGATCTTGCCTAATTATTTTTCTTATAGTCAATAAGGAATAATTTAAAATGACCTTATTCCTGAGTACCTGGAGACTTCTAAGAAGTTTTGAAAAATAATTTTATGTTGAAGAATCATACCACGAAATACTTCCAAGATATATCTGTGTTGCCATCCTAGTTACTATAAACCAGAGAAAAATGTTCTAATTACTCTTTTTAATGAATATGTACAAAAATACTTCATTATAAATCTAGAATATAGGAATATGTTCAATAATTGATTTTTGCAAAAAGTCTGTTATTTTTTTTTTCTCTAAAGCAGGCAGAGAACTGTGGCTTCATGATCTGAGATATCAGGCAAGGAAGTCCTCCCCTATTCTTTCTTAAGGGATAAGCTCTTTATATTCCTCTCTCCAGTCCCTCAGAGACAGCATCACATAACTCCCCTATGCTCTGTGCTCTGTTGGCTCCATCCTCGGGGACAAGTGCTATTTCACATCTTACTCTTAAATCACTTCTGAGAAACAGACATAGCTTCCACCAAAGAGGAGCCCTCCCAACAGACCTCTAATAACACCAAAGGGTTTCCATGTGTGTGCCCTTAAGCGAACATACACCAATGAAATGAATCTATAGATTGATAATGAAGCCAGTTTTTATAAGTGACACATGAATATCAGTCGATTAGACACACTCCTGCCGAGTACTGTAACAAATCTCTTCATTTTTACCACATACATGAATAGCTGTCCCATATATTCATAAAACATAAGAATTTTTTTCTTGATTAATAAACTTCATTTTTTAGAGTAGTTTTAGGCTCACAGCAAAATTGAGTGGAAAGTAGAAGAGTTCCCATAGACTCCCTACTCCCATACACAGCTTCCCCCACTGTCAACATCCTGCACCAGAATGATATATTTGCTATAATCGATGAACCTACACTGACACATCACTATCACCCAGAGTCCACAGTTTACATTAGGGTTCGATAAAATAATTTTTTACAACTTAAATCCCCCAATAAACTTAACATTACTTCTCTGGGCCAAACATTTTTCTGCATCAGTAAAATGGGATAAGAATATTTATTTGGAGCTGGGAGTGGTGGTGCATGCCTGTAGTCTCAGCTTCTTGGGAGGCTGAGGTGGGAGGATTGCTTAAGCCCAGGAGTTTGACGCTGCAGTGAACCATGATTGCATCACTGCACTAAAGCCTGGGCAGCAGAGTGAGACCCTGTCTCAAAACAAAACAAAATAAAACAAAGACAACAAAAAGGTAATATTTGGAAGGTTTTGTGAGTATTATTGGGATACATTATGAAAAGTGCTAGCACATTATAAGTATTCAGTTACGGTTATTTATCATTAAGATCGTTATAACCTGTAGGAACTGACACTGCTACCCCAGTCCTGTCTTTGAAGGAGCAAACCCATATGGGAGTAAAAATGACTGGCTCCCCTCCCTGCCTTGATCTGTCATTTGAGTCTACCTAATTATAAAACAAACAGGGTTTTAAGTTTTGAACCTATTCCCTGTCATGGTGGGTAGAAAATCAATCACTACACCTGTATTTATAAAACAATCAGAACAGAGGAAAAGACACAATTTTGAATTCCAGCCACACATTAAAACAACCCATATTTATAAAACAATCAGAACAGAGGAAAAGACATGATTTTGAATTCCAGCCATGCATTAATTGTGTGCATTTAGGCACATCACTTAAGCCTGTTAAAATTCATTTTATCCACTGAAAGCACTTTATATACTTAAACGAACTATGCTCATTTACAGGGTTCTGTACATGATCCTGCATCCGTAAAACTGAGAAACCAACAGAATGAGGACAGAATGAAAAAAGAAAAAAACTTTCAGAATGTTCTTCCTTTCCTCAATGCCATACAGTTTGTGCAGTCAGCTGATTGGCTGAAAAGAGTCAGTTTTGACGACTGATGCTTCCTGCTTATGTTTAGTTGGTTTAGGAAGCTCATTAGGATGCTATCTCGGAGATGAGTCTGGTGAGTAGAATATCTGATGACTCTAAGGCAAATGTACTTCCTTCAGCTGGTGAATTAATTTCTCAATAGACTCAATTTGCTTTTTACTGTCTGGCAATATCCCATATTTGCAATGGCCTTTCAAACACTTGCAATAAAATGTGGCTCACACATACAACCTGTTAGCGGTGAAAGAGAAACATTCATCACATTCAAAATTCTCCAAACATGAGAGCAGCTCAATGTGCTTTAAGACAGTATAACCTAATGATACATCTCTATTTTCCCCTTCCTTTTAAAATCATTTAGACAGATATATGAGAAGTAAATATGTGTTTAGAAAGTATTAGTCATCATAGATGTACCTCCAGTCATCCATTCAAATGTAAACATGGTAAAATATGCACTTATACAATTTTATACTATCAATGAGTATAGGTAGGTGAAAATTAGTGTTGCCAGAAAAAATTCAAACCAGAAAACTGAAAGTATAGAAAAATACTTTTTATTTTGTCATTGAAAAACCATTTTAAAATAATATATCGTGTAGAATAAAAAATTCCATGGATATATACATGCAAATTATACATATATGTGAATTTAATTTTGTTAAAAGGTAATTGGCATCTGCAATTTCATGCAGTCTAAGTGAAACCCATAAAGAAATGTGTATGAAATAGGAAAGCAACAAAAGCTCATAACATTTTAAAATTAGAAATCAGATTCAAAACCCATCATGATCTATTTTAAATTTATCTCTATAACATTTCAATTGAGACATAAAACACACTTTATACAACATGCCTCACTATTTTATTAACAGCATGACTTCCCTTTCCCCAATCCCCAAACCATGTTCCCATCTACACCCCACCCCACCCAAATCTCACCTCTTCCATTAGCATTATTACAAACATATTTTACAAATCTTATACCAAGCTTTTCCAGTCTCTTTTCAATGTAGAAATATCTTATATATAAACCCAAATACCACAAATCTTCACATTTATATTTTCTAAAGCAGTTAAACCTTTATAGACAATTCTACCTAAAAAGCCAAATGCGCTTGACAATATGTCATGTTATGTTAAGTTGACCAGACACAGAAGTCATTTCTGTCGGATTTCTTGTCGATGTTTGCATTAAGTTGGAGCTTTCTGATCTCAGCTCTTCTTGTGCCAGTAATTTGAAAGGTCACCTCTCTGTTGGCCTTTGGTTTATGCAATGCAGTCTGGCATTGCATAATTAAAAGTCTCGGCCGGGCACAGTGGCTCACGCCGGTAATCTCAGCACTTTCGGAGGCCGAGGCGGGCGGATCCCAAGGTCAGGAGATCCAGACCATCCTGGCTAACACGGTGAAACCCAGTCTGCACTAAAAATACAAAAAAATTAGCTGGATGTGGTGGCAGGCGCCAGTAGTTCCAGCTACTCACGAGGCAGAGGCAGGAGAATGGCGTGAACCCGGGAGGGGGAGCTTGTGGTGAGCCAAGATCGCGCCATCGCACTCCAGCCTGGGCTACAGAGTGAGACTCCGTCTCAAAAAAAAGAAAGAAAAAAAAAAGTCTTGTGAATTTGTACATAGAATATTGAAGTTAGAAGAGGCTTATCACTCTCTGGGCTCTAATACTGCCCAGAGGTTATTTGTTTCTTGTTTCCATAAGAAAATCCTATGTCTCTCCATTAGCATTCCTGATCCTTACCTCCAATTCAAAATGTGGCCAGTTCCACCTTCTAAGCCTTTATACCAAATTGACTGGGTAGGTTTATTATGAATCTGTGTTCTTGTCCAAACTCTACATTAGACCTCGCAGGAGAGTTCAAACTAAAAACTAATGAGTAAGTGCAATATTACAATTGAAACGGGAGCAAACATAATTTCAAGTAGGACACATAAAAACTGTGGGACCAAAAGAGGAAGAGTGCACGCCAAATGTTCTCAATTCTGAAATGGCTCTTGTGAAATATCTATGTGAAAACACTTCAAGGACCTGAAAAAAAAATGGTGAAAAAGCGAACAACCTTCCTTGCAAAACAACTCCAGAGTTAATGCCAGAGCTTTCTATCAAAACATCCATGTTAAGTTCGCCGGAAAGATTCAGAAGATCAATGACAGGAGTAAGGGAAAAAACAAGGACATTTTGTGAGTAGGAACGTATAATGACCCTGCAACAGGAGAACGAGAGAGGGGGAAGAAGGAAATGGAGGGTGTAAGTAAATTAATTGACTGTAACATGTTTAATGAAATAAGTAGACGTGTGATGCAAATTTCTTAATAGTCAAACATTATGCAACATATGATGCATAAGAATTGTACTATCTCAAATTTTTTTTAACGTGAGATTCTCTTGATGCCACTTTCATTTACCTACACACACACAAATGGCACAAATCACATATACATATACTGACACGAAAATATATATGTGGGAGGGAGAGAAAGAGGGAGGATAACTTTAATCATGATACACTGCCAATATAAGAACTCCCTTTTGGCCGGGCGTGATGGCTCACACCTGTAATCCCAGCACGTTGGGAGGCTGAGGAGGGCGGATCACGAGGTCAGGAGATGGAGACCATCCTGGCTAACACGGTGAAACCCCGTCTCTACTAAAAATACAAAAAAAATTAGCCGGGCGTGGTGGCGGGCGCCCGTAGTCCCAGCTACTCAGGAGGCTGAGGCAGGAGAATGGCATGGACCCCGGAGGTGGAGCTTGCGGTGAGCCGAGATCGTGCCACTGCACTCCAGCCTGGGCGACAGAGCGAGACTCCGTCCCCCTCAAAAAAGAAAAAAAAAAAAAAACTCCCTTTTTAGAAAGATCTTTTATTCAACTTACCAAAATTTTAATTGCCAATGGAACAGAAACCAGCACAAATAAGAACTTGTAACTTACCCAGGTACAAGTGAATTTCAATGACTGAAATTCAGGGGCATTCTAAGCAAGAATAGTTCAATAGTAACTAATCTCATTATTTTTCATTTTTATTAAGTAATATTTATTATTCGTAGTGTGATTTCTCATCAAGGAGTTATTTAACATGCCAAAAGCCTGCATCTCTTTAACTAGGTCTTTATGCATAGGGAATGTTTAAGTATCCACAAAAGTAATACATACTAACCAATTTTTTAGATTTTAACATATATATTTGAAGATATGTTTTCCCCAAATGTACAGTTCTTTGTGGCCTGGATTGCCTCAGGAAACTGCCTCTGCCTGTTGTGGGTATCATGGCAAGTAAGGGCACTGGTAATTTACTGCTGAGAAAATGCCTAGCCGTTTGCCTAATTATGCCATGTCATCTTCCTCACACTACAGAGCACGGTAACCTCATTTCCAAAATCAAAGACAGAACAAATCTGAACAGCTACTGTTCCTGAGGCAAACAAGTGAATAAATTCCAAAACATGCCATGGACTCACTGATGATGAATTTTAGACAATTCTTTTTTTTTTTTTTTTTGAGATGGAGTCTCGCTCTGTCGCCCAGGCTGGAATGCAGTGGCGCGATGTCGGCTCACTGCAAGCTCCGCCTCCTGGGTTCACGCCATTCTCCTGCCTCAGCCTCCCGAGTAGCTGGGACTACAGGCGCCCACCACCACTCCCGGCTAATTTTTTCGTATTTTTAGTAGAGACGGGGTTTCACAATGTTAGCCAGGATGGTCTCGATCTCCTGACACTGTGATCTGCCGCCTCGGCCTCCCAAAGTGCTGGGAGTACAGGCGTGAACCACCGCGCCCGGCCGGATTTTAGACAATTCTACATCGTCTGTTGAATCTATCGTCTGTTGAATCAGCTTTCTATTAACCACACACTATAGAAGTGAAACCAACCTGTACTACCAAGAGTGTATTAATTTTGCATGCATTTCCTAGTAAACAATGTAGACAGTATTAATTTTTATGTTGCCAAGGTAATAGTTTTGTCCCTCAACTCATATGCTAAATTTTGCCTCACCTGGCTCAGTCAGAAGGAACAGAATTGACAATATTAACTAGTCTCAGTTATCTCCACTGACAGAAAAAAAAACGTGTTATTTTCTACACTGACTGTGGGAATCAGCATTTTCTGTTATTAACTTAGATTTTTTTTCTTGCCATTTCTCTTTATGATCCCAATGTATTGATGTATTTCTAACACTACAACAAGATTTGTGTCACTCAACTGTGTGTTGTAATCATTGTCTTTTAACCATTTATATCCATGAAACTGATGTCATTGACAGATAGAAAACAGAAACAAAAAGCATAGAAGGGAGAGAGGGAGGAAGACTTTAGTCATGATACAATACCAATGTAAGGACTCCTTTTAAGAAAGATTTAAAAAAATTTCTTCATCAAAATTTCCATTGCCTCCTTGAATGAACTGTGAAGGATTGCAAATTCCTTTAAAACTTGGTTTTGGCAACGAATCTGGATTTCCTTCATTAACCAGGTATACAGAATTCATTTTCCAATGCTCTATTAAAAATAAGAGGCTGGGCACGGTGGCTCACGCCTGTAATCCCAGCACTTTGGGAGGCTGAGGCGGGTGGATCACAAGGTCAGGAGATCGAGACCATCCTGGCTAACACGGTGAAACCCCGTCTCTACTAAAAATACAAAAAATTAGCCGGGCGTGGTGGCGGGCACCTGTAGTCCCAGCTACTCAGGAGGCTGAAGCAGGAGAATGGCGTGAACCCAGGAGGCGGAGCTTGCAGTGAGCCGAGACTGCGCCACTGCACTCCAGCCTGGGCAACAGAGTGAGACTCCATCTAAAATAAAATAAAATAAAATAAAATAAAATAAATAAAAAAGGGAAGATTCCCTTAATGTTTCCCAGTCTATTAAAGGTTTCCTTCCAAAAGGAGCTCATTCTGATCCCATTTAGTACTACACCCTCGTGTATGCCAGATGGCACAGGCATCATAGCTTCACAAATGTCATTCTGATTCTCACCTTTAAAATGAAATTCCCTTAATCTACCTTTCTTTACACAAACTACAAAATTGTAGACAAAGATATGCCAAATTAAAAGCCTCTTTTGCTAAATATTCTAGAAATAATTTGAGAAAAATGGGCGCAATTTGAGACCTTAGTTGTCTTGGAAAGGGAGTAGGTGGGTATTTGACTATGATTCTGGTTGGTATTTCTCCTGTTAACTATTTAAATGTGTGACCTTAAAAGAAAATCATTCAGTCTTGTTGAGACTAATAAATGTCTCATCCAAAAAAAATGAACTTAAAATTTCTCCTATGTGTCTTATAGCTCAAAAATTTTCAATTCTGTTTCAAGCCATTCTAACATCCTGGATATTTTCCTGGATATTATAATATCCAGCTTATAATCTGGATAGGTAAAGTTTTATTTGTATTATGTTCCTTAGGTTTTGTTAAGTTTCTTGCAAGTAGGTTGATATTCTTTAATGTTTAAGTATTAAATCTGAGGTGAGCTGACCTGTTATTGTTTTGTGTACTCAATAATTTACAGTAAAATATATTTAGAATTGTTATAGTTGGTTATTAGAAATAGAGTTTCTACCTATTGTGGTTTTTAAAGTACCTGTGGTCCAGGGGCAGTGGCTCACACCTGTAATCCCAGGACTTTGGGAGGCCAAGGTGGGCGGATCACTTGAGGTCGGGAGTTCAAGACCAGCCTAGCCAACATGGCAAAACCCCGTCTCTACAAAATATACAAAAATTAGCTGGGCGTGGTGGCGCGTGCCTGTAAACCGAGCTACTTGGCAGGCTAAGGCACGAGAATTGCTTGAACCTAGGAGGCGGAAGTTGTAGTGAGCCAAGATCTTGCCTCCACACTCCAGCCTGGGTGACAGGGCAAGACTCTGTCTCAAAAAAATAAAAATAAAAGTGCCTGTGTATGCAGTGGGCATTCAACAAATAGTTGTTAAATGAATAAATTAAAACCTTGAGATTTGCTAAATGCTTAAAACCCAAAAGAAAAAAATAATATTTTTAAGAAAAATATTAAAAATCATTTTAACTATAGCCATGGATAAGTACATAAGCACACAAAAAATTAATCACTGTGTTGGTAAAAACCTTATTTCAATACCTCTTTATCCTTCATACAAGAATAAATCTCTGGAAGAGAAAAGAAAAGAAAGCCGCTCTGAGCGTACCTACCTTTCTACTCTGGAGAGAAGCTCTTTTGACACAGACTGCTCCGTTTAACAGACTCCAGCTGCTGGCACTGCCTTCTGAGTTCTTTCACTTCCGAATTCTTATCGTCCTGCAGCCCCACCACAGTCAATGACTAAGTTCCTCTGGACTTTCACATGGATCGTAATAGACAACTTCATCCTGTTTTTCTAAAAAGGTATTAATGATTGTTTAAAACATATTTTATTATTTGTAAAAATGCACTCAATTTTTTTAAATGTAAGGAAAATAAAGATCACTTGTAATGCCACCACTGAGAATCACTATTAACATATAAAAAATGTATGTGTATAAATGTAATATACATATACACGTGTATATATACATGACTATACACATGTATTAAGTAGCATGTGTGTATATACAAGTAGTATATGCATGTATATATACCTGTACAGACATACGTATATATACACACGCACATACACATACTACTTACATAGCTACACATATCAATGGAGTTCTAAAAGAACATTTTCCATGGGATGGAAATAAATCTTTAGGCCAGGTGCGGTGGCTCACGCCTGTAATCCCAGCACTTTGGGAGGCCAAGGCAGGCGGCACACCTGAGGGTCAGGAGTTCAAGACCAGCCTGGCCAACATGGCAAAACCCCGTCTCTACTAAAAATACAAAACTAGTTGGGCACAGTGGCGTGTGCCTGTAATCCCAGCTACTCAGGAGGCTGAGGCAGGAGAACAGCATGAACCTGGGAGGCAGAAGTTGCAGTGAGCCGAGATCGTGCCACTGCACTCCAGCCTGGGCAACAGAGCAAGACTCCATCTCCAAAAATAAAAAAAAATTTAAAAAGATAAATTTTAATGGCAGCATAGTATTCTCTAATTTAAGCAATCCACGTTGTTAGGCTGTTCCAATGTTCCATTATTATTCATTTCACTGTGATAAACATCTCTGTATAAATCTTTGTGTACACTTTTTATCATTTCCTTAGCAGATAAGTGTTTAAGGATCTTGATACCCATTGCCACACTGCCCTCCAGAAAGGCAACTTATATTCTACCAGCAATATATTATTAAGATGCCTTAGTGATATTTAATCTTGATTACATATTGATTTTTTAAAAGTCATGCTTACTGTAACAAATTCAAACCCTCCAGAAGTACATCAAATAAACAGTGAAATTCTATTGCTCATTCCCCAAACCTTCTGAGTCATTCTCAGAGGAAAAACATTATGAACAATTTGGCATGCATCCTTCCAGATTAACTTGTTTTTTAATGTAATTTTTTTCCTAAATATGTAAAATGCTTATAACCTGAAACTACTGAAAAAAATTCTGAATACTCAGGATTAAACTAAAAGTTCAGGATCTATGTGAAGAAATTTATTAAACTTGGAGGAACTTTAGGAAAAAAGATTTAAATAAATGGAGAGAGACATACCATGTTCTTGGGTAGGAAGATTCAAAATTGCAAAGACCACTATTCTCCCCAAAGTAATCTCTAATTTTAAGCAAAATCACAATCAAAATTCCAAAGAGTTTTTTGTTTTGAACTTGATTCTAAATTTCATCTGGAAGAATAAAGGAGTGAAAATAGTCAGAAAACTTGTGAAGTAATGTGGGGGGTACTTGCCTTACCAGACCCTAAAATGTGCCTCCAAGACAGTCGTGGGAACAGTATGGAGCCAGCAGCAGAAGCCACTCACGAACCAATGGAGGAGAACAACTCAGAAACAGACCAAAGTCAATCTAATGCTTAACTGGAGAAATGTTAAACATTTAGGGAAAATGTTTTTAAAATCAGTGATTGGGACTGCTTAACAATTTGAGGGAAAGGTTCAATTCCTACCACATTCAAAATAAATTCCACCTGGACTAAAGAATTAAATGTTTTAAAAAGTAACATCATAAACATACTGAAAGAAAACATAAGTATATATTGACATAATTTTGGGATAGGAGCCTATTGCCAGACATAATACTAAAAGCAGAAGCCATAGGGGAAAAAATCAATAAACACGACTTCATAAAAATTAAATATTTCTGAAAGGCAAGAAAACGCAAATGACAAGGAGAGACTATTTGCAACATATGACAGACAATAGAGAATATTATTCTTAATGTCGAAAGGAAATATTCCAAAGAAAAATGGACAAAGACTATGACTAGGCATTTCATAAAATAAGTACAAATGGCTTGTAAACATACAAAATTTTGTTCAATATTCATTCATAATTAAATAAATGAAAATTGGAAGACTGCCATTTTCTCTGTCAAGCAAGCAAAAATGCAAAAAAATGGCATGAGTCTGGGAAACATACACACTCATATTCTGCTGATGGGAGCGTCTTTTTTTTTTTTTTTTTTTGAGACAGAGTCTTACTCTGTCGCCCAGGCTGGAGTGCAGTGGCGCCATCTCAGCTCACTGCAATCTCGACCTCCCAGGTTCAAGCGATTCTCCTGCCTCAGCCTCCCAGGTAGCTGGGATTACAGGCACCCACCACCACGCCCAGCTAATTTTTGTATTTTTAGTAGAGACAGAGTTTCACCACGTTGGCCAAGCTGGTCTTGAACTCCTGACCTCAAGTAATCTGCTCCCCTCAGCCTCCCAAAGTGCTGAGATTACAGGCGTGAGCCACCACGCCCAGCCTGGGAGCGTCATTTTAAATGTACAACCTATCTAGAGGGCCACTACATAGTATGAAATTTAGAAATCAGAAAATAATACGCAGGTGAGGAAAAATGTATCTCAGATGATTGTTGTATTATTACGTAGCAAAATGTAAAATATACATTGTCCTTGACCCAATAATTCCATCCTTAGATATTTATTCTAAGGAGATAATCTGTCCTATACTCAAAAAGACATGTGTAAAGGAAAGTTCACTACACTACTGTTCAAAACAGCGGAAATTTGGAAATCACGGTATATCCATATAATGGAATACTATGCAGCCATTAAAATTTTGATACTTTTATTATTTCTGAAATAGACAATTAGTATGTATTAAATGAAAAAGAGACTATTATGCATTGTATGCCTGTGTCAAAATATCTTATGTAACCCATAAATATATATATCTACTATGCACCCATAAAAATTAAAAAATTTTTAAAAAGATGTTACTGAACTGGTTATGTAGTTTTGGTTAAAAATTTATATTTTTATATATCAGCATATTTTAAAATCTACAAAGTTATACAGCAAATTGTTACCACTAAGTATCTCTTTTTTTTTTTTTCTTTTTTAGACGGAGTCTCGCTCTGTCTTCCAGGCTGGAGTGCAGTGGCACGATCTTGGCTCACTGAAACTTCCACCTCACGGGTTCAAGCCATTCTCCTGCCTCAGCCTCCCAAGTAGCTGGGATTACAGGCACGTGCCACCACATCGGACTTTGTATTTTTAGTAGAGACAGGGTTTAGTATTTTTGTATTTTTAGTAGAGATGGGGTTTCACCATGTTGGTCAGACTGGTCTGGAACTCCTGACCTCAAGTGATCCGCCCGCCTCAGCCTCCCAAAGTGCTGGGATTATAGGCGTGAGCCACTGTGCCCAGCCAAACACTAAGCATCTCTAGATGATGGGATTGGAGTAATAATCATTTTTCTTTCTTTGTTTTGCTATGTGCTAACAATGAATATATTATTTGAATAATAAACTACTGAAGGAAAACTTTAGGAAATTTTCAGATGTTACAGTTTACAAAAAGTAATTGATAATATGGTCTGTATTTCCTTAAATTTATAAACATTGTAATCTATATACTTAAATATAAACTTTACTTTTTATAAGTCTTTTAAGAGAGTCCAACTGTGTAGTAAGCAGTATTTCTTCGTTTTTTAATATCTCAAATTTAACTTCATATAGTTCTAACTGAATTTCATAAAATTGCATTTCTAATTCATCTACAACATTTATATTTTTTTCTTGTTCTGGAAGATCTTCCATCTTATTTTCATAGAAAAAAGAAAAATAAGTTAAAATAAATAGTATATTAAAAACAAACTTCAGAAGCATTCTAGCTATTTTCTATTCCTTGTTCAATACTAAATATAAAAAAGCAAATAGGAAAGAAACACTTTTTCATTTCATCTAGTGATGCTAATATTTTATCTCATCCTTGAAACAGAAAAACATTTAGGTTTTGAGAAACATAAATGGCAATGAGGTATTATTATGTATTGCATATTGGTGTCCCCACAAAATTCATATGTTGACACTCTAACTCCCAATGTGATGTTATTTGGAGGTGGGTCCTTTGGAAGTAATTAGGTTCAGATTATGTCAAAAGGATAGCACCCCCATCATGGGATTAGTGCCATTAGAAGAGAAAGACAGGGATCACTTTCTTTCTCTCTAAACTTACACACAGAAGAAAGGCTATATGAGCACTCAGTTAAGAAGGCAGCTGTCTACCAGACAGGAAGAGGATCCTCACCGGACAGTGAATCTGCAGGCATCTTGGACTTCCCAGCCTCCAGAACTGTGAGAAATACATGTCCGTTGTTGAAGCCACCCAATCTGTGATATTTAATCTTGTTATAGCAGCCTTAGCCAACTAAGACAGGTGGTTACAGTGTTTTCTGCTTTAAGGTCATAAGATTATAGGAAAAAACTTAAGTGTCTATGATCCTTCAGTGAAGTATCTCTTTGATTATTTTAAAGCTGTACTGAAAACATTGCTGGATTGATATTCAAGTACAGTACCCACTTCAATACTGGGCTCGGTGTTACTATAAAGTAAATCCTATAATATGGTATTTTGAAACATCTTAACTAAAGGAAAACTTTATGTCTAACCTTCCATAGAAGATAGTGTTAGAATAAGTGAAGAAAAGAAGCTCTTTAACGATGCCTGGAAAGAAAAGTGCTATCTAAAAATAAAAGTGTGCTTTACCACATGGTCTCACTTATAAGTGGGAGCTAAGTAGTGTGTATACACACACAGTGTGGAATAATAGACACTGGAGACTCAGAAGAGTAAGAGGGTGGGAGGGAGGATGAGAAATATTTAGTGGGTACAATTACATTATACAGGTGAAGATTACACTAAAAGCCCAAACTTCACCACTACACAATATATCCATGGAACAAAACAGTACTTGTATCCCTTATTTACACAAACTTTTTAAAAAATAAAAGTGGGGCCAGGCATGGTGGCTCACGCCTGTAATCCCAGCACTTTGGGAGGCCGAGGCGGGCGGATCACGAGGTCAGGAGATCGAGACCAGCCTGGCTAACACAGTGTATCCCCGTCTCTACTAAAAATACAAAAAATTAGCTGGGCGTGGTGGTGGGCGCCTGTAGTCCCAGCCATTCGGGAGGCTGAGGCAGGAGAATGGCGTGAACCCGGGAGGTGGAGCTTGCAGTGAGCCGAGACTGCACCACTGTGGTACAGCCTGGGCAAAAGAGCGAGACTCCGTCTCAAAAAAAATAAAAAAATAAATAAAATAAAAGTGTAGTTTTAAAACAAAGTTACGTTTATCTTTGTCTTACCTTTCCCTGAATTTCAGCTCTTTTGCGATTTAAATACAATTCTTTCGCTCTCATGAGTTGCAGAGTCTCTTGAGCTAGCATTAGCTTAAGTTTTTCCAACCTGGGAATTGCTGTGGCCCAGGCAGCCTGGCCAAATCTCTTCACATCCTGTTCCATTTCTTTCTGCATTCCTGTTGGATTATAAAAATAAAATATAATTACACCTCATTAAAAAGGGAAACATTGATCATGAGCTAATTCTTTTTTTATTGCTTCCATACTACCTGCAGAACATCTTTTTTAAAAGAAATTTTGTTTTATTAACTTTTTTATTATTATAAAAATAATACATGGTCATTAATATACAATTTTAGGTATTCAATTTTTAAAAGGACAATAATAAGTCATGATCTCACCTAGTTGAGGCAACTGCTTCTTATATTTTGGCACACTTGCTTCCATATTGTTTCTATGTCTAGCTAGACAGACAGGCTCATATGGATAGTTTGACCAAAAAACCAGGATTATCATTCTGCTTTATATCTTGCTGATTCTGCACAATATATCAGACACTCTTGCCATTTATAAAAAAAATCAAGAATCATGCTTAATAGCTATGTAGTTTTCTCTTTTATGAATGTACCATAACTTAACAAACTGACAGACATTAAGTTGTTTCCTATTTGGTGTTTTTATTAACAATTATTTAAGACTGAAAAAAAGTCCTTCACCCAGCCCGCAAGCCCCTGCACGGTCTGATCCCTGCCTGTCTTGCCAGCATTCTCCCTCGTGCCACACTGTCCTGCACTCTGTGTGATCCAGCCCTGCAGGTTTTCTGTAAGCTCCTATTTGCCAACTTCCCTCAAGCCAGGGGACCTTTACCAGTGCTATTCCTTCTGCCCGGAACACTCCTCACTTTTTCTATTCTCTCAACTTCCGTTTACCCTTCAGCTACTGGGGCAAGCACCACTTCTCAGAGGCCTTCAGCGACCACCCTGATCAAGCCCAATTTCTCTCTCACAGACCCTCAGAGCCCGATGTCTCTCTTCTTTGTGCCATTTATTGTCACTGCCATTTTCCATGTGCTTCAGTGAATAGATAATTAAGATTTCTCTCCCTTCACCAGACTGTACAATGTCTCTTAATGCTTGACACTGAATTCTTGCCACCCAGAAAACACAGTGCCTAGTGCGTAAGAGGGACTCAAATGGTATATGAATAAAATGACAATCAATTACACGTATCTGCGTAAAGCATTTTTTAGATTATCACCTGCTAATGCTTTTACTGTCTAATTAAAATAATTCACTGTGATATCTTGAATAGAGACAACAGCTTCTTCAGCCCGTCTGGTCCATTCTTCAGCTTCTTTCTCCAGGGCAACTATCCTGGAGACGTAGGACCTACGTCATCCTCATCCAAGGAATTCTACAGACAGAAGAGAAAATTATCTTACTAAGAGCTAATAGTTATGTTGACCCATTAGGAAATTGAAAGGAAATTGGTCACATGGATTAATTTAACTACAGTACTACTCAGTCAGTTAAATTTTCATTCATTCAGCAGTCCCTTACTGCATATGAATAAGGCTCTAAGCTGAGCACCACCTGGAAGACAAAAGGACACTCTGGGGCATAAAGGGGAAAAAAAAACCTACTTTCACTTCACATGCCTAGAATAACTTTTTCTAGAGAGGAATGTTGTCAACTTATGCTTCTCTCTATTAATAATAATACACAATTGTTTAAATGAGTGATCTGTGTTGTCAAGCACTCAGCATAGGGCCTGGAACACAGCACTTAAGTGTTAGCTGTTGTTATCGTTTCTTTTAGGGATATGTAATATAATCACCTAAAAGACAGTATCTGTATATTCATGCTTATAACATGCACTGGTATTGGACTGAATGTTTGGGTCCCCCCAAAATGCATATGTTGAAGCCTAAATCCCCAGTGTGATGGTATTTGAAGATGGGGCCTTTGGGAGGTAATTAGGTCATGAGGGTGCAGCCCTCAAGAATGGGATTAATGCCCTTATAAAAAGAAGAGGAGACACAGGATCTCTCTCTCTGCTCTTCACCATGTGAAGACACAGCAAGACAGTCATCTACAAATTAAGAAACTGGCCCTCACAAGACACTGGATCTGCCAGCACCTTGATCTTAGACTACCCAGCCTCCAGAACTGTGAGAAAAAAAGTTTTGTTGTTTATAAGCCACTAATCTACGGTACTTTGTTATAACAGCCTGAACTAAGACATGTACAGCTATGTCATCCAATATGCAATTTTTCTTCTACAAAGCATAAGAAATATGTACAAGTTAGCCGACAAGGAATTACAAATCAAAACCATAACGAGATACCACTTCACACCCACTAGGATGGCTGTAACCAAAGAGACACACAATTACAAGTGTTGGTGATAATGTGGACAAATTGGAACCCTCATTTACTGCTTTTGGGAATATAAATGAGGCACCCACTTTGGAAAACCATCTGGCGTCTTTCAAAAGGTTAAACATTGAGTAATCACAGGACCCAGCAATCCTACTCCTCAGTACGTACACAAGAGCAATGAAAAGATATGTCTACACAGAAACTCATACACAAACATTCATAGCAGAATTATTCATGATAGCCAAAAAGTGGAAACAACCCAAATGTCCATCAACTGATGAATAAAATGCAATATATCCATACAATGAATATTACTGAGCAATAAAAAGAAATGAAATCCTGGTATTTGCTACAACATGGATTAGTCTTGCAAACACTGTGCTGAGTGAAAGGACCACATATTCAATAATGCTGTTGCTATGTCCAGAGTAGGGAAATCCACAGAGACAGAAAGTAGATTGGTGGTTGCCCAGGGTTGGGAGTGACTAATGGGTACAGGGTTTCTTTTGGAGGTGAAAATGTCCTGAAATTACATAGTAATGACCATTGTGCAACTTTCAATATACTAAAAATCACTGAATTGTACATCTTTTATATATACATATATACACATACATATACATACACATACACATACATATACACATATATACACATATACACACATATACACATATATATACATACATATATTCATAAATATATACATATATATATATACATATATATATATATATATATATATATAATCTGTGAATGGTATCTTAAAACAGCTGTTACTTAAAGAAAGGAAAAATATAGACCGGGTGCGGTGGCTCATGCCTGTAATCCCAGCACTTTCGGAGCCTGAGGTGGGCAGATCACCTGAGGTCAGGAGTTCAAGACCAGCCTGACCAACGTGAAGAAACCCCATCTCTACTAAAAAAATACAAAATTAGCCAGGCCGGGCATGGTGGCACATGCCTGTAATCCCAGCTACTCGGAAGGCTGAGGCAGGAGAATCGCTTGAATCCAGGAGGTGGAGGTTGCAGTGAGCTGAGATCACGCCATTGCACTCCAGCCTGGGCAACAAGAGCGAAACTCCATCTCAAAAAAAAAAAAAAAACAGAAGAAGAAAGCAAAATATATGCAAGAAGTAGACTCTCCAAATAATAGACTTTCAAAATAATGAACAGAACAACTTTATCCACAGGTTAGAGTGGCATGAGTTTCATCTAAATGTGATACTATTTTTATAGTACAATCATCTGGCAGGGGGCATGAGATTATATGTGGAAAGATGGCCCAGTGCAGGGGGCAGAAATCAAGAGATCTCTTAGGTGTCTTCTGATTCCCGTTGTTGAGACCCAAGGTAAGATATTTAACAACTCTGGACTCCAGATTCATTTGTAACACTGGAATAAGAATGTCTTTTCTGAATGGGGTCACACGGTTGTTTGATGGCTCAATGAAACAAGAGCGATAACAGCATTTACTAAAATTTAAGTTACTGAATTACAATCTAGGGTCCTGCTATTTAAATTTTCATCCTATTTTAAGAAATTTGGATGAGTCCTTAGAGGAAAACAAACTGAAGCAAATAAATATCACATCAAAAACAATTCATCAGGCTGGGCGCAGTGGCTCACGCTTGTAATCCCAGCACTTTGGGAGGCTGAGACGCGTGGCTCACTTGAGGTCAGGAGTTTGAGACCAGCCTGGCCAACATGGTGAAACCCCGTCTCTACTAAAAATACAAAAAAAGTTAGCTGGGCATGGAGTGCACACCTGTAATCCCAGCTACTCAGGAGGCTGAGGCAGAAGAGTCACTTGAACCTGGAGGAGGTTGCAGTGAGTCAAGATTGTGCCACTGCACTCTAGCCTGGCTGACAAAGAGAGACCCTATCTCAAAAAAAAAAAAAAAAAAAAAAAAAAAAGGCATCGATACAAAAAAACTCTTAACTCTTTAAAATCTGCAGGAATCTTAAGCTAGTAAGATGACCAACATAAATGTCTTCATTTTCTATCAATTTTAAATATAAATTCAATATTTAAACATGAGGGTGAACTAGGCATAGTGGCTGACGCCTGTAATGCTACGCTTTGGGAGGCCGAGGTGGGCAGACTGCTTGAGCTCAGGAGTTAGAAACCAGCTTGAGCAACATGGCAAAACCTCATCTCTATCAATAAATAAGTAAAGAAACATAAAAGTAAACCCAAACAAAGTGCAGAGATTGAACATTAAGTGTAAATAAAGAAATAATATATGACAAATAGTAAATGTGATAAAATAAAAATTAAAAAAAATACCAAAATATCAAGCTTACATAAAGTTGCAACTTCTCGCATAGCCCTAAATGGCTGCAGTAAGTACTGGAAAAACATGGTTGCCATGGTAACTAATTCCTGGTAGGCTTCATCTTCCTCTTGGTAAACTTTCATTAATGCTACCATGGTGTTGGCTTTTCCATGTCCTTGGATAACCTAGAGAGCAAATGTGAATAAAGCTCAAGTCAGACAGTGTAATACATACCCAACAAACAAAACTAAACAAAAGAAACCTTCATGTTCTCAACTTTCAATACATCAATTTAAAATATTGATTAAATATGAAAATGTCATCATCCTCCATCAAAAATGCCCAATAAAACAAGAATTGTTAAGTAAATTATGATATATCCATGGCAGAATATTATTACTGTAGTCATTCAGCACTGTGCTTCTGAAGATTGTTTAATAATATGGAGACTTTTGGCCAGGCACCGTGGCTCACGCCTGTAATTCCAGCACTTTGGGAGGCCGAGGCGGGTGGATCACTTGAGGTCAGGACTTCGACACCAGCCTGACCAACATGGAGAAACCCTGTCTGTACTAAAAATACAAAATTTGTTGGGCGTGGTGGCGCATGCCTGTAATCCCAGCTACTGGGGAGGCTGAGGCAGGAGAATAGCTTGAACCCGGGAGGCGGAGGTTGCGGTGAGCCGAGACAGTGCCATTGCATTCCAGCCTGGGCAACAAGAACGAAACTCTGTTTCAAAAAAAAAAAAAAGGAGACTTTTATAATTAAATGGAGAGGCAGAGTACAAAATTTAATCTCAACTATGCACTAAGTATGCAGCGAAAAGGACCCAAAAGAAGGTTTGAGGTGTGGATATTTTTTCATTTGACTTTTCTGACTGTGAAGGTTTTGTGAGGCTGTATTCCTTTTTAAAAGCTCCTAAGGGCCAGGCATGGTGGCTCACACCTGTAACCCCAGCACTTTGGGAGGCCACGGCAGGCAGATCACGAGGTCAGGAGATTGAGACCATCCTGGCTAACACGGTGAAACCCTGTGTATACTAACAATACAAAAAATTTGCTGGGCGTGGTGGAGGGCACCTGCAGTCCCAGCTACTGGGGAGGCTGAGGCAGGAAAATGGGGTGAACCTGAGGGGCAGAGCTTGCAGTGAGCCGAGATGGCGCCACTGCACTCCAGCCTGGGCGACAGTGCAAGACTCTGTCTCAAAAAAAAAAAAACAAAAAACCTCATAAAACATTACAGAGCTGTCTCCAAGTACTTTAGCATGTTGATTCTCTTAATGCCCCAGGTTAATATCCCCATGAAGTCCTTAGCAGTCAACTCATTTACAGAGCCTCAGCTGTGGTTCCAGTCTCTGCTGGTTATTGCTTGTGCTGCAGGGCAGAAAACAAACTGAACAGTGTATAATCTAGGTGGACTGATTTGGTTGGAAATTATTTTACTCCCACAAGAAGAGAAATAAAAATAAAATAATATAGATGTTTTTCAACCAATACATTCTTAAAATTCTTCTATTTCCATCCTTCTGCTTAAAGATAAAGTGATCTACTTTCAGCTGTATTTTTTATCCAGGTAATAATATTATGTTTTTTTTTTTAAGTGAAAGCCCCACTGAACAAAATTAAAACACACACGCAAAAGTAAACTTAAGGCAAGTGATACACTTCAGCCTTATTTCTTAGACTATTCAGAAAAATTCCAGAGTTAAAACATTCAGCTTCATTTTATATATGCTAGCAATGCTAGCAATTAATCTAATTCTAGAATCAATTGCTTTTCTATTTTAAATATAAAGTAAAATATTAAAATTATATATTTGGACATGTTTTGAATTTTAGCTTCCCCTCTCAACCCCTCATTTTTGAGTTCCAGATAAATATGTGAACTACACTAACATGAACAACTAGCTCAACAGAATGAACTACATTCACGCTATAGTACCCCAGAGTGAACTTAAATTTGGGAAAACTAACTTTTCTGATAGTAACTACAGTAAAATGCATCATATAAATGTTCGATTTTAAGGAGAAACCACCTATCTCTGTGAGAAACCAAGAGTGTAAAAAACAAGTCTGATACAAAATGATACCATTTTTGAAACTCCGGTGGGCTCGTCATATCCTAAGGTGAAAGTTATAAAGTTGAAGATCAAAAGCTGACTGGCCTGAAACTCCCCTGTGGTTTCCTCATAGTCTAAAGTGAAATCAACACATGTTAAGTGGGTGTGTAGACATTTACACATAAAGCTCACAGTACAAAAATGACCCCACTAACAAGCTCCTTTTATAAAACCATTTTAATTTAGAAAGCTTATTCTATATTTAGCTTAGGCTGAATTCTTCTTTTCACCTCCCCTTCCTCAAAAGAATGCACAGAAAAAAATCATTCAGGTTAATAAGAGCAGTGAGCTGAGACTCCAGCCTGGCTCTGCTTAGTAAACCGTGGGTGTGGATTTAGAAGGCATACTTTCTCCTAAACCCTTCTATGAACATGTACTTCCCCGTCCCCTAAGTTCAGTAAGTTTACCACTCAATTACTCTCTCAAACTACCTCTTTCAAGCTTAAAAGAGCACTAATGCGGTTAAACTGATGAATAAAGCTCACTTTCTACCGGCTTTCCATTTGACCAAGTCTGTATTACTTAAAACAAAACACCCTAACTCCTAAAAGCCATTTCTTCCTTTAAACCATTTTATCCCACTTGCGACGTCCCCGCAGACACAGACTTGGAATTGCTTACGTGTAGTCCGTGTTATTCTTTCCTACATGGATGGGTTGTTTTCAGTTTGCTTGCAGTATTTCTGACATTTCCCGTTACAACATCCTGCTCTGCCAGCATCTTCAGGGCAAAGGTTGGGGGCCTAGCCCAGCTCCCAGCGGCAAGTACACTAGGCTCTTAACTTCGCTTGTCCTCTCTGCAGGCCCTGCCGAAGCTCCCCCTGGTTTCCCGCAGCGATCCCGCGCAGGTGAGGGTACTGGGGAGCCCGTGGCCTTCTCCGCCCGCCGGCTCCTCCCCATCAGCCGTCAGCCAGGGCTCTCGGCGCCGGGGAAGCCTCCCACAGGGTCCCAGGCCACCCAAGCGCGGTCAAACGCCGGCGGCCCGGCCTCGCTTACCTGACGCAGCCGCGCGTCCGCCTCGACCCATCAGGCGCGCAGGGCCCGCTCTCGAAACTCGCGCGGGCTCTCGCAGTCAGCCGCGCGGCCTTTAGCCGCGAAAACAGCGTGGCGCACGGTGGCGCCGCCGCAGCCGTGGGCCGCCGCGCCCAGGTAGCGCTCCAGCTGCCCGCAAAGCTCCTGCAGCGCCACCTCGCCGGGGCCCGCGCGCGCCTGCCAGAGCAGCGCCCACAGCCCGAGCCCCAGACTCCAGGCCCCGCCGCCGCCCACGTCCAGCTGCGGGGAGCAGCGTTCCAGAGGCGGCCACAGCGCCGCTAGCTGCCAGCGCGCGCCGCGGAACCCCGCGGCCGAGAACCGGCCGGCCCAGTTGGGCGGGAACACGGCAGCTGGGCGGGGACACGGCAGCTGGGCGGGGACACGGCAGCTGGGCGGGGACACAGCGGCCTTGGGTTTGGGCTCCAGCCCCAGCCGGGCCCCCTCGCGCCGCTGCGGCTGCTGCGCGGTGAGGTCGTGACAAGTCACAGCTAACTTGCCCTCCGCGCCATTCCACGCCACCAGGAAGCGCAGCCGGTGCCTCTCGGCATCGGCGAAGAGGCCTTGCCGGACCGGCGCCCAGCCCTCCAGGCTGTCGAGCTGCTCGTCCTCCATGGCCGTCGGCGGCAGCGGCCCTAGGACTCGGCGGGCGCGGGCCTGACCTCGCCGCACTGCCTGTCAGGGGACAGTCCCAGGTGAAGCATTTTTCGCTCCACTATTGGTATTTTAACAACATGAATGAAAAAAAAAAAAAAAACTCAGCTGTTTTGATAGAAGTAACAAACGTGCTTAGGAATCATCTTCCTTGAAGGGAGAGGAGGGTCTTGTTGAACTTGAAAAAACTAAATAAGCAAAGTTGATACATAAGGACACCCTTCTCTTTACCCTTACCTATTCTTCTCTTAAAACTTTAATTCATTTCTGACAGTCACCAACTGAAAAACGGTCCGACTAAAAAAAAAAAAAAAACTGATCATAAAGGGGGGAGAAGTTGTGACGTGTTCTATCCTAATCCAAGATATCTAAACCAATTTTGCTGATAGAGAAAATATATTCGGTGAATGATGTAAGTACATTAATATAGGTAACAACTCTTTGAAAGTAAAGTTTGCACATAATATGAAATACAAAGAGAATTACTGTAGTCTCGAAGGAGAGAACCCTTGATGGGGAGTGGTAGTCAAAAAGGTGTATGAGCAAGTCATCTGTTGCAAGGTGATGGGAGGAGATTTTTATGCAGGCATTCAATATCAGAGTCAGAGGTTTTAATGATTTTTGTTTTTTATCTTGAGAGTTGGAGACTAGAAGATCTAAAATAGGAAATTTCTGGCATATCCATAGATAGAATGGAAACTCTTGGCCAAAAATAACGTGCTCCAAGTCATGAAAAATAGCACACATGCACAATTAACTACAGAGTTACACAAGATGGTGTCTTTTCATTCGATTTTATTTGAACTCTTATTCTTCTCTTTTATGCTCTGTATCCTTGTTAACTCTTCCATTTTTTCCTCATCCTATGAGGTACTTTAAACATTTTATTCAATAACTCTTAAGGCAATTTTTACAATTCTATTCATATATAAAACTGTCATAAGCATGTTTTGTGAGTGAAAAATTCTAATTTGTAATGCATATCAAGTGAAAAGCCTCAGTTCAGCACTCGTCATATCCAAAAACTGTGTTATATGATAATGTAAAAGAAATATTTTCACACATGTAGCTCAAATGAGATTCTTAGTTACATGTTTCTTTTTTTTCTTTTCTTTTCTTTTCTTTTTTTTTTTTTTGAGACGTAGTCTCGCTCTGTTGCCTAGGCTGGAGTGCAGTGGCGCAATCTCGGCTTACTGCAAGCTCTGCCTCCCGGGTTCATGCCATTCTCCTGCCTCAGCCTCCCAAGTAGCTGGGATTACAGGTGCCCGCCACCACGCCCGGCTAATTTTTTGTATTTTTAGTAGAGACGGGGTTTCACAGTGTTAGCCAGGATGGTCTCTATCTCCTGACCTCGTGATCCGCTCGTCTGGGCCTCCCAAAGTGCCAGGATTACAGGCGTGAGCCACCACGCCCGGCCTACATTTTTCAAAATTTAACTCAATCTTTTATGTTTAAAAATGTGCATATACTGCCTGTTCAAGTACTTAATCTTTGTATTTATTATTTGAAATTGGAAGTCCATCTTTTTAGATTGTTAGGAGGTCTTCACATATTTGAATGAGTTATTAAGTTGATACAACTATTTTGGAAAAATAATTATCATTATCTACTAAATTTAAACACATAATTTATGACCAGCAGTTTCAACAGAGACACCTGGATGTTCATCAGGATAGAATGGATTGGAAAGCTCCATATTCATTCAACAGGGTGCTACACAAAACAAAAAGGAATGAAACACTGGTCCATAACATAAATAGATTTCACAAATGCAATTTTGAGTGAAATAAGCCAGAAAAAAATAAATACCGTATGCTTCCATTTATATGAAGACAAAGATAGGCAATATTAATCTATGGTAACATGTGAGACTGACTGACTTTTCTCAGCATCAGCTAAGAGCCTGAAAAATATTTTTCTGGGGTGCTAAAAAAGTGCCAGATCTTAAAATATTTGTACAAAAGATAATATTTGTTTTTTTATATAAATAGGTACAAAATACAAATATGGGCAAAAATGTATTTATAAATATGTTAAACAAGATTATTTATAGTTTATACTTCAATATAATTTTTTTCACTTTTGTTGACATTAGTAAACCATCACACTTAATAAACAGCCATTTGGAATGGTTCTTGATTTAGGTATTTCCTTGATCAAGTACCAAGTAGGAACATACCTTGATTCTAAAATATAAAGAATATGATTCCATGAAAGTTTCCATGAAAACTATCTTGCATTCTAAAATATTTTTAAAAGTACTTATTTTCAAAGTTCATTTTCCTATTTTAAACAAAAGTTGAACTAAATTACATATAATCTAGTCCCCAAAGTATTCAGTAAATATCAAATGAAGGTGTGAAAGTTAAAGATTTCAATTTTTTACTAGTTAATTTGCAGTGCTCTATTATTTTGCTTAATAAGCAATTTTATGCTAGAAATAAGCAGATTTCTCTATTCACATCATCTTTACCAAGAGCACTTAAATAAATACCATTGATTACTTGCAAAATGCAGATTGTAGATTCAGAGCTCAAAACTAAAGCTCTGAGGATGTAATTCAATTAAAACAACCCATAGTTGTGAATTCACCTCACCAGTGTCCCTAAGACAAGAAGCTCTTTCTCACATCAAAGTGAATTATTTTAATTCACTTTGGATGTTAGGAATATCCTAACTCCTTTGTAATTAAAAACAAAAACAAAACTTCTGATGCTTCTTTATACCTTAACAATTATGAGGTCTATAACAATATGAACACAGAAGTTTGGGTCAGTTCAATGACTGAACTAAAACATTGTTTCCCAACATGTCCATGTTTTACAAGATGATGGGGTTGTTATCTGTGATGCCATTGCAAAGATCTTGATGGTTCCAAAACACTCTAAGCATCACATAAGCCATGTTATACCTGTCGCCCCAAATTTACCAAACCATTTGGATTAAAACTCTCAGTAAGGACCTCTGAGGCACAAAGATCTATGAATAACTCCTTAACCCCTTTGCTCTTACTCTTCAGGTACAATTTCAAATTTTCACTTTTCCCTTTCTGCACTGACCTTGGGAAAGTCACTTTATCTCTGTGATCTAATTTTCCACATCAATAATGTATCTATACTTGGCATAGAGAGTTATGAGAATAAAATAATAACATATATGGGAGATTTCTGTGAATACCAATTGTACAGGTGGATTTTTAAATAATAGATTTAGGGCCAGGCGCAGTAGCTCACAGAAGTAATACCATCACTTTAGGAGGCCGAAGCGGGTGGATCACCTGAGGTCAGGAGTTCAGACCAGCCTGACCAACAAGGTGAAATACTGTCTCTACTAAAAATACGAAAATGAGCCAGGTGTGGTGGCGGGCACCTGTAGTCCCAGCTACTCAGGTGGGTGAGACAGGAGAATTGCTTGAACCCACAAGGCGGAGGGTGCAGTAAGCCGAGATCGCGCCACTGCACTCCAGCCTCGGTGATGAAGCGAGACACCATGTAAAAAACAAACAAACAAACAAATAAAATATATTTAGGAAAATTATTAATAAGAAAAAAATTGAAAGCATTAAGAACTCTATTATGGACTGAACAAAAAAAGGAGAATTGGTACCATACCTTGGTAAGTTTATTTTGATAAGCACAATTTCTATTAGTTCCTCAGTGTTTCTTCTTGCTCCCTGAATGTATGTTCCTTGCCTCTATCTTATCCCATTTTTTCTATTGTTAATGCATAGAGAGTTGTCACAAGTTCTATTCTCAATGCCTATTGCATCAGGCAATAGAAGATGACTCTGGTTCCCAACTCAGAAAAACCTCATTTTTAAGAAATGTTTGAGCTTTGACTTTGATCTCATTCAGAATATTCTGGTTCAAAAGTTTTTTGTTTTTTTTGTTTTTTTTGAGACGGAGTCTCGCTTTGTCGCCCAGGTTGGAGTGCAATGGCGCGATCTCGGCTCACTGCAAGCTCCGCCTCCCGGGTTCACGCCATTCTCCTGCATCAGCCTCCCTAGTAGCTGGGACTACAGGCCCCTGCCACCACGCCTGGCTAATTTTTTTTTTTTTGTATTTTTAGTAGAGACGGGGTTTCACCGTGTTAGCTAGGATGGTCTCAATCTCCTGATCTCGTGATCCGCCCGTCTCGGCCTCCCACAGTGCTGGGATTACAGGCGTGAGCCACCACGCCCGGCACAAAAGTCTTATGTTTGTGTAAATAAGAAAAGCACCTTTGAAAACTACACCTACAAATGGGAATATGGAATAAAAAGGACAAGCCAAAGGTTATGGAACAAAATAAAACATGAAGAAAGAGAAATAGAAACACAATATTACTATATACAATATAGTAATGTATTTTAAAATATGAAAAACGCTAGCAAAACAGCAATATGTGAACAAAAGAATTGGAGTAAAATAATAGAATTTGAAACAGCACAATCTGCTGAAAATACACAAAAGACAAACTAGGATATTTCTGAGCTCACTGTTTATGATATTAGAACATGTATATAAAAAGGAAAAGTGACTTTAAAATGTCTGGGGGCCAAGCAATATATAGCTTGTTACATTTTATTTACAAACAGTTTCTTTGACTAGGGAATCAATTTAAATTTTCTGTTTTGGAAATAATATAAATATATCTTTATTTTAGACTTTTTGCTGAAAAGTTTCTTAAATATTTACAACTTTAGGATAATCAGTGTACATTTCAATATATAATGTCCTAAAAATCAAACAGCTACCAAACATTGAATTGAAGTTCTGACTTATATAAATCATTTGCATAAAAACTGATCATTAAAAACAGTATCTAATGAACATTTTGGCCCCAATATTAATTAAAACTGAAATGATAGCATTACAAGCTAAAGATTAATTTCAATGACATGTCGTTCAACCATTTTGACATAATCGACTTATAATAAGCTAAAATTGACTATTTTTATGACATATTTGACCTAAATGAAGAGAAAAAAGCTTTGACTAATTCTTAATTACTCTTTCTGACCAATTGATGGCCAATAACTGAATTTAATTTCAAACCATTTTCTGTTATTTTAATCTTTTAAACATGTTTTACTTTCAGTGATTCATTTTCTAACATTCATAGCCAAAGCCCAGGCTCTGCCCATCTTTGTCTACCTTAATGACTTTGTCAATTGTTGGTATACACTGGGCCTTAAAAACTTGTGTTTCTTCCGAATTAATTAATGAAGTAGAATTGCTCTTATAGGGTTTCATATACCATTACCTCCAAAAGAGTACATTAGAAGTATTAGAAAATACTGATATTTATAAACAGATATTTATCTTATGATACAAAGAGCTAGAGCTGTTTTATTTTCTGTAAAACTAAGAATAACTTCTTGATAACATAGCTTCACAAAAAGAAAACCCAACACATTTGCATAAATAATTCTCTGAAATAACTATGTGTTTGTAACTTTTTATATACATGAGGATATACATATACTTATACATCTATACATATATATGTAACATAAAGGATATTAACATTAGGACTGTTTAATGTCTATTTGTCTTGGAAAGAAAAATATACTTAAAAATATTTCTCAATTGGGATTTGTAATCGTACCGACTTAATTGATAAACTTGGCGACTGCTTTTATGCTCTGTCTCCTTCCATAAATTTTTTAAAATACTAATTCAACAAAGAAAAAGCTCTAATGTTCATTGGAAATAATTTATAGACTTTTTTAGAGCAGAGAAAAATTAAGAAAAACTTTGAAATGGTCTCAAAAAATTACTATTTTCAGTGGAAAACTAAATGTTAGTTTAACTGATTGTATGGGGTTTCTGAACCTTTCACTTTTTGTTTGTTTTACCTATTTCACAACTGTGTAAATTGCAAATAATTCCTGTCCATGAAAATACAAATTATCCAGTGTAGATATATTTGACTGTCACCCTATAGATATTGGCTAATTTTGCCTTTATTAAGCAAATTCATTTCAGCATGAATGTCTGCCTGTATATTCTCTGCTCTTTGTATTCTCCTTTGAACCAGTCAGAACATCCTGTGGTACTCTTATTTATTAATCAGTTAAATAAAATCATGAACATATATTCATTTTACATTTGTATGAGAACCATTAATTTTCTTTTCTTTAAAAAAATTAATTATCCTTTGACATTGGGTTGACATTTTCTTAAGACTTGCCATAAACAGAGGATATCAAGTTTCTCAAGGTCAGTTCTAGAGGAAAAAAAAATTCTTTATAAAAATTTAGCCTCATGTGTAACAGTTTCCATTCCCATAGCAATGACATTTGATATACATTGTATATATTAATCTGGGAATGATGTAAGATTCCAAGTATAATTTTATCAGTGAACTCAACTACTTGATTACTTTCACTTATTTAAATATCTAGTTCAATGTTGTCCAGTGGCATTGTGGATTTAGGTAATTTTACCAGGCAGCCGTTCAATTTCTGCACTTTCTGTTTGCCCATGCAGAACACAACACATTTTATAAGTCAAAGTATAGGCATCTGGTGGCATAATTTTAATTTGTTATCAAATAAAAGCCTCATCAAATTAGTCTAGAAAATAACTCATTATTTACTTTATTTTAGGACTGTATCACTATGTAATGAGATACAAATACATGTAAGCGTTAAGTGCCTAAGAGGCATCCAGAGAGCCTAAGATGTATGCAGTATGCCTAAGAGGAATGCAGAGAGCCTAAGATGTATGCAGTATGCCTAAGAGGAATGCAGAGAGCTTCATTTTCATTGTCAGCTGCTCAGTTGTTTCTCAGGAAATAAATGTGGCCAACTGACACCATTTAAGAGATATAAAGCAACAAGTTTAGAAAATTCTCATAAATGGGAGTGGCTAATGCATAGACAATAGCATTGACCTTTGATCCATGTATATATATATATTTAGATACATACCTCAAAAACATTTGGGTCAATTTAATTGTGAGTACTATAAACTACAAATGAAAGTAAAAAAGCAAATCTGTTGGTATTTTAGAAGAATGAAAGATTATTAACTCATGGCCTGTATGTATTTGGAATGAGAAGGACATACATAGCTTTCTTTGGATGGGGTGGAATTGAAATTGTGATTTACAGTGACTAAAACCTGACTGCTTTCACATTTTTTTTTCACTGTTGGGGGTGAAATTCTTGATTGATTCATGCATTGGGAACTTTTTTTTTTTTTTTTTGAGACGGAGTCTCGCTCTGTAGCCCAGGCTGGAGTGCAGTGTCAGGATCTCGGCTCACTGCAAACTCCACCTTCTGGGTTCACACCATCCTCCTGCCTCAGCCTCCCAAGTAGCTGGGACTACAGGCGGGCACCACCACGCCTGGCAAATTTTTTGTATTTTTAGTAGAGACGGGGTTTCACTGTGTTAGCCAGGATGGGCAGGATGGTCTCGACCTCCTGACCCTGTGATTCACCTGCCTTGGCCTTCCAAAGTGCTGGGATTGCAGGTGTGCACCCGCCTGAGCCACTGCGCCTGGCCGGGAGCTTTTGAATTAACTAAGGAAATTGACAAAATAGAGAATGACTCCTTATGTGACCTGCAGAAAATATTTTGTGTCATTCGTGGTACATTTATCATATTTTCTATAGGTTTGTACTATGTTACTTCACTTCTAAGAATTCGAAGTAGTTCAAAGCCAGCAGGGACTGGTATATTATAGCATATTTAACCTAAGCAACTCTAAAAGCTAACGAAACCAAGTATCTACAAACTTTAGCCATAGCTACCATCAACATGAAGAATGTAATAGGCAAAATGTTTTACATGCTGAATAAGCACTACTGAATTCTCTATATATTTTTTGCAGTTTTAATTTAAAAGTATACTAGTTAGATATTTCATCTATACCCTGGTATAGTAATAAAAATTCAGATATTGCTCAACGAGGAAGCATATTTTCAAAGCAACAGACCTGAAAACTAGTATTTTATTTGATATTTTAAGTGCTTATTTCATTTTCTGGTTAAAGATGTTTGTGGAGGTAAAATTTAAAATAGATACTCTGTGTTCTTCTATTATATAACATTGAAATTAAATTTTTTATTAGTAAATGTAGAAAAGGTAAGTCTGAAGCATTGACTGAGAAAGATTTAGTAAATGGAGAATTTTGACTGTTAAACATCCTATTTTAACAAAAATATGCATAAAATATTCTTAGGATGATTTAATTAACCTTTTAATAAATACGAAAGACATTATGAAAAAAAGAATACATCACATTGCAGAATCAAAAGTAATAAAAATCACTCAAATTCTACTGCTCAGAAATGAAAATAATTGCTAAACATTAGGTGGCAGTATTTCAGACATTCCTATATAAATATACTTGAATGAGGCCCAGAGCAGTGGCTCACGCCTGTAATCCCAGCACTTTTGGAGGCCAGATAATGGCATGAACCCCGGAAGCGGAGCCTGCAGTGAGCGGAGATCACGCCACTGCACTCCATCCTGGGCGAAAGAGCAAGACTCCGTCTCAAAATAAAAATAAAAATAAATAAATAAATAAATAAATACACGCATTCTTCATTTATAAAATACATTTAATATTTTTAAATAAATAAGTCAAAACAAAACGTTGATAAAATGACTATAGTTATTTGTGTGAATATATGCATGTGTGTTTGTACAGATGCATTAAGAAATCTTAATCCTCAAAATGATGAACATTTTAGAAGAAATATTAAGTATAATAGAGTTTGGGATCTGTATCTTTCTTTCTTTCTTTTTCTTTTTTTTTGAGACGGAGTCTCGCTCTGTCGCCCAGGCTGGAGTGCAGTGGCACGATGTCAGCTCAACTGCACGCTTCGCCTCTCAGGTTCATGCCATTCTCCTGCCTCAGCCTGCCGGGTAGCTGGGACTACAGGCGCCCGCCACCACGCCCTGCTGATTTTTCGTATTTTTAGTAGACACGGGGTTTCACCGTGTTAGCCAGGATGGTCTTGATCTCCTGACCTCGTGTTCCGCCCGCCTCGGCCTCCCAGAGTGCTGGGATTACAGGCTGAGCCACTGCGCCCTGCCCTGGGATCTGTATTTTTCTAAGTAGGTGATTCTGTATCTAATGAAAAATTATCACTTAAAATTTCAAAATGTTTTAGTTTGTTGTTATTATTATTATTTGTATTACTTTTAAAGCTGGGGTCTTCTTATGGTGCCCAGGCTAATCTTGTTAATATTTTTATATTATCATTGTATCTTAGGCCGCTCAAGCTGCCATAACAGAATACCAGAGACTGGTGTCTTCAACACACATTTGTTTCTCACAGTTTTGGAGGCTGGGAAATCCTCCACAAGGTTCGGGCAGATTCAGTCCCTGGTGAAAGCCCCCTTCCTAGACTACAGGCTCCTGCCTTCTGACAATGTCTTCACATGGCACAAAATAGAGAAAGACAGAGAGCTATGGTCTCACTTTCTCTTCCTATAAGAACACTAATCCCATCATGGAGATGCACATGATCTTAACCAGACAAATTTCTTTTGGATATTTTGAACTGATCAAATAACTCACATTGATTCAAAATATCACAGTTATTAAAACTCAGGCACAAAATCAAGTTAGTTCATCACTAATTGAGGCAGATAATTTTAAATCAAAATATAGCTACACAAAACATCATTTCCTAATTATCTTAGACTTTAAAAGTAGTTAGAGGAAGAGAAAGCTCATCTCTCTATTACAGTATTAATGGGTTTCCCATCCTAGGTGTCTTAATCTATTTAAACAGCTATAACAAAATACCATAAATTGGTGGATTATAGGCAATAGAAATTTGTTGTTCACAGTTCTAGAGGGCAGGAAGTCCTAGATCAAAGTGCCGTAAGAGTTGGTGAGGACCTGCTTCTTGATTCATGAATTGCCATCTCTTCCCTGCATCCTCACTTGGTGAAAGGGGCAAGAGTCTCTCCGGGGACTCTTTTATAAGTGCACTAATCCCATTCATGAGGGCTCTACCGTCATGATCTAATCCCCTCCCTCTAAGGTCCCACCTGCAAATATCATCATATGGGTGTTACATTTCAACAGCTGAATTTTGGGGGGCACTATCATTCAGTCTACAGCACTGTGAAATCCCTAATATCGAGTTTTCTTTTTAATTTTTGTTTTGTTTTGTTTTGAGACAGAGTCTCGCTTTCTCGCCCAGGCTGGAGTGCAGTGGTACGATGTCCGCTCACTGCAAGCTCTGCCTCCCGGGTTCACGCCATTCTCCTGCCTCAGCCTCCCGGGTAGCTGGGACTACTGGCGCCCGCCACTACGCCCGGCTAAAATTTTTTGTATTTTTAGTAGAGATCACCGCACCTGGCCCTTAGATGAATATTTGAATAAAAGTTGTATGTATGATGATAAAACAACAAGAAACTGAATTTTTGCAGAAAGTAAAAATAAAACTTGTCACTCTTTATATAGGCAAATCAGAGACTAGAGGTTTTAGAAAAGACATCAGTATGTTCCATATAAAGTATGTACTGGGACCCCGTCCGTCTTTTTCACCATATAATAACAGTGCTTTTAATAGTACCTGGGATGGCTGGGTGCAGTGGCTTACGCCGTAATCCTAGCACTTTGGAAGGCCGAGGAGGGAGGATCATGAGGTCAGGAGATCGAAAACATCCTGGCTAATACGGTGAAACTCCGTCTCTACTAAAAATAACAAAAAAATTAGCCGGGCGTTGTGGCGGGCGCCTGTAGTCCCAGCTACTCTGGAGGCTGAGGCCGGAGAAAGGCGTGAACCCGGGAGGCGGAGCTTGCAGTGAGCGGACATCGTGCCACTGCACTCCAGCCAGGGCGACAGAGTGAGACTCCATCTCAAAAAAAAAAAAAAAAAAAGTACCTGGGACATGATATGAACTCAATGACTATTTATTGAATGAATTAATTGAACAAGTTTATGCAAGAAATTGACATAAAATTAAACATTGTCTTCTTATATCATATAGTGTCTACAAAAACTAAGTTGATACAGAACCTGTATTCTAACATGATTAAATTTGAGCCAAGTACATTTCTCTCTTAAGAATTTAGAAGTTTATAAAGAAATCAGGGCCTGGGAACTGAATCATTAATGGAAGATCTCAAAGGCAATATTCTTTTCATTGTAATTAATATTAAGTTGTTAAAGTAATAATAAATAACTAACATTTAGGTTCCTGAAAAAAATGATTAAATTGAACATCAAATAGTTTGCATTTATATCACACTGTACAATTTATATTTTTTATGCTGCTTTACTGTAAGATTTCATTGAACAAATGCATCTTATGATTTCAAGGTAAGGTATTGAAATATGCCTTTTAAAAATGTAATGCTGTATTAGTGATTTTAAAATATGTAAAAAAAATGTGTGGGAAATACTAGAAACGTTATTTGAAATTAGCCAGTTCTGGATTTGCTTATTTTTTTAATTTTATTTGCCAAACTGAGAACAATAGCCTTTACACATTTTCTATTTTTCTGGACTTGATTCTTAGGAACTTTAATTTTGCACTTTTGCATTCCTCTATAAATGTTAATGTTTTGGCCAATGACATTTCTCTAGATAAATTCAAAAGCTTAACCTAAGTAATGTAATGGTGGCATTTATGAAATTGACTCCTGGTTCTCTCTTTAAATTCTTTTTTATTGTTTATTTCTATGGCACCATTACACTATGCTATCACATTGTTCTTGTTTTATTCCCCATGTTTAAAAAGCTGTATATTCTTTGCTGAATCTTAAAGGTCACTTTGAAACCTGAAGACCATGACTGAAATACAGTGAAGATTAAAGATAAAAAGGAGAAAAAAGGTTAAATTATAAAACCTCTAATATCATTACTCATATATATGATACACACAGAGATGCATCACCTAGGTCCTCCCTGAGAGCTGTGTCAGTAGACAGGACTCAGCTGTGAGCCCCTTCAGACGTCACCTCAGCTGCAGAGCTTCCCCCTGCCTAAGGTCCTGAGGTTCCCAGTTGTGGTGCATATGCAACGACTGATTGAGGTGAGGCAAGGAGGCAGGTGAAAGAGGTGGGGAGGGGACTTGGGGCCTATAAAGACTCAGTCATGTCATTGCAATGTGAAAGGATGCCAGTGGGCCATTTTATCTTCAAAGTCCCCTGTGAGATGAGCCAAAGCTGTGGTCCAGGACTTCTTTTCAGCCCAGCTTTTTCCCTTTCCCTCAATCCAGCTTCCTTCTTCTCCTTTTCACAGGTAGTAATCCAAGGGCACTCCCTAGTATATATCTCCATGTCCAAATCTGCTTACTAGAGAACATTGTATCATGAATGATACCATTCTTCAAAAATATGGGGTACTTTGAGTGAAAGGAGTGAACGGTATGGAAGAACAGCTTTGGTAGAGTAATTAGAATAGAAGCTACTCTACATTGGGTTGATGCATGAATGGGATATTAGGAAGTAAAGTAGCAAATTGAAAACTCCTTTCAAAAGAAGAGAATTAGAAAAGGGTCAGCAAGATAGTAGTTGGGGCCTGGCTGTGATGGATCACGCCTGTAATCCCAGCACTTGGGGAGGCTAAGATGGGAGGATCACTTGAGGTCAGGATTTCAAGACCAGCCTGGTCAATGTAGCGAGACCCCACCTCTTTAAAAAAAAATGTAGTTGGAAGCTAGAGAATAGCATAACAAAAAAGAGGGTGATTTTAGAAGATAAAAGGGCCCACTGGAGCTCTCTCACATTGGAATGAAATTCTGAAATTACCCTCTTTTTGGTTATGTCATTCTACCTCAATCATTTTGCCTCAATCATGTTTACAGGCAAAATAAGAGATAGAGAAGTGGGAAGGGCTGAAGGCAGAGATATGAGACACAATAACAAATGGGGAAAGATACAAGATATAATGGAAGGCATGAGCTAGATCAATTCTACAAGTGAAAAATTACATTAATTAAGAGGAAGGATCACTCATCACCCAATTATAGGTAAGTTTATAGGAGGGTGGGACTGGCTACATAATGGTAGGTGATACTTTATGTCCTTATTTTCATTAAAGAGAATATGTCATTTCCTGAAAATGAAAGATGTGGGTTTGAATAGAGAGTTGGCAAAATTTGGTATTTATTTGAAATTGGCATTTATTTGGGAAGATAATGTAGGGTAACCAATCCACTTAGATGATAGTTATTAACTATAAACTATGTACCAGGTACTTTGCTATAATATAAAGGCAATGGAAAAACCAAGATTCAATCTTGATTTGACATCCTTAACATTTACAGTGTCGTGGTGGAAACTATGTAAAGAATCCAGTGTGATAGAAGGTGGTAGATGTGGAAACAGGAGGTTTAGAAAAAGCTCCAGGACACACTGCTGATACATCTAACTCAGGATCAGGGCATTAAAGAAAGCATCACACTCTCCCTCAATCTCTCTATTCTGTCTCTTGATTGAATCATTTTAACAAAGTATCAAGATGGCCCTCAGCACTAAGGAGGAAGTGTTATTTGAAAGCATGTGTTTGAATAGTTGCATTTATCTAAACAGAATTTTTCACTCCTGTGTAGATTTGGCTTGGAATTGGTGTATTCTGGCATTCCATGTTGTAAAGCACTTGAGGTGCTTAAGAGATATTTGGTTGGCGGGGTGCAGTGGCTCACACCTGTAATACCAGCACTTTAGAAGGCCGAGGTGGTTGGATCACCTGAGGTCAGGAGTTCGAGACCAGCCTGGCCAACATGGTGAAACCCCGTCTCTACTAAAAATACACAACTTAGCTGGGCGTGTTGGCAGGTGCCTGTAATCCCAGCTACTCGGGAGGCTGAGGCGGGATAATTGCTTGAACCTGGGAGGCAGAGGTTGCAGTGAGCCAAGATTGCACCACTGCATTCCAGCCTAGGGAACAGAACAAGACTCTATCTCAAAAGAAAAAAATAAAAAAAGAAGGAGAGATATTTGGTAAATAACTGAGGCAAAGGTGGAAGAAAATAGTGTTCTGCAGGAGATCAAATAATGTGTGAAGAGAAAATAAAAATTTTAAAGAACTAAAAGAATCAGGTATTGAAGTCAAAGGTGAGAGGGCCACTGGAATTCAAAAATACAATGTGAATAACTACAGAAGATATCATCATTCCTGATGAGGCAATGAATGTGGGTGCCTAAATTAGAGTAGAAATACATGTTATTGAAGATAAGGAGATCAAAAGGTGTAAGGCCAGGGTGTTGAATGTATTTTGCACAAATGCGCTAACGTTACCCAGAGTGTTGGCAAGGGGAAAATCATCTGATGGCCTGTAGCCAGAGTTTTCCTTAAAAATGCAGATGTGTCCTCCTGGAAGATAGACATCTTTGAAAAAATGAAGGAAATTAGGGTCTCACGGCATGAATCTCATGGAGGTGATGAAGGACTGATTTGAGAGCAGCCATGCAGAGTTAGGACAATGCCAGCAACATCTGACCCATGTACATGAAGCTCCAGATAACTTAGGTGATTGCTTTAATGCAAAAGGCCACACAGTGTGAATTCCTGAGAGACTATTTATCTTTTATATTCCAGAGGTTGGAATGGAATAATTCACTCTTTTAAAAGGCTTGCTGGATATCCTCTATTTCAGGGCTCTCCAAACCCATACTAGTCCATAGCTGTTAGGAACTGGGCTCCACAGCAGGAGGTGAGTGGCGGCTGAGTGAGCGAAGCTTCATCTGTATTTACAGCTGCTCCTCATGGCTCGTGTTACCCCCTGAGCTCCTCCTCCTGTCAGATCAGCAGCAGCATTAGATTCTCATAGGAGCATGAACCCTATTGTGAACTAAGCATGCAAGGGATCTAGGCTGTGTGCTCCTTATGAGAATCTAATGACCGATGATCTGTCACTGTCTCCCATTGCCCCCAGGTGGGAACATCTAGTTGCAGGAAAACAAGCTCAGGGCTCCCAGGGATTCTACATTATGGTCAGTCGTATAACTATTTCATTATATGTTACAAAGTAATAATAATAGAAATAAAGTGCACAATAAATGTAATGGGCTTGAATCATTCTGAAACCATCCCCACCACCACCATGTCTGTGAAAAAAATTGTCTTCCACAAAACCAGTCCTTGATGCCAAAAAGGTTGGGGACCACTGCTCTATTTCTCTTCACTACTTAGAGAATCTGTTCTTCCACTCATGATCTACAAGGATTAAATGTTTCAAACAGTTCAAGTCTTCAAAATATGTATTTTGTAAACTTGAATTTTTAGAAATCATTCACAGTATCCATATTATATTTTATTTGCTGCAATGCCCTATACATTTTCCATATAATGCTCTTGAATATACTTTTACAACTTCAGTAACTTTACCCTTTACTGAATCTCAATCTGTCTCTCCATTTCTCTCTCTCAGCAAATCTAAACAAAAGAGAAACATGTCGACTTGTGCTATGGTCTAAATGTTTGTGTCTCTAAAATTCATGTGTTGAAACTTAATCTCCAATGCAATAGTATTAAGAGATGAAGGCTTTAGAATGTGACTGGCAGAGCCCTCATGAATGGGATTGGTGCCTTTATAAAAGAGGCCTCCAAAATCTCCCTAGCCCCTTCCACCAAGTAAGGAAGCACAGAAGTCACCATCTATGAAGTAGAGAGCAAGCTCTCGCCAGACACCAAATCTGCTGACACTTCAGTCTTAAACTCCCACCCTCCAGAACTGTGAGCAATAAATTTCTGTTTTATAGTTGTCTAAATTATCCTGTCTAAGGTGTTTTTTTATAGTAATGTGAATGGACTAAGACAACTTGAAAATGCAAGGTACCACACCAATAACAAGGAAAATACTCATGTTTTGTAACATTTATTTTATACCAAAGATACGCCAATTACTGTATACAAATATATGCCAAATGTTGGGTAAAATACTTTACATAAATTATATTAATCCTGACAACAACCTGAAGGTAGATACTGTTGTCTGCATTTAAAGATGAGGACGTGGGGCTTGAATTAAGTAACTTAACTCACATCTCATCATGCTAAATGGCAAAGCTGGGATTCAAACCCTGCTCAGTCGGACTCCCATCAGGCTGCTCTTAGCCTGGTTATATTTTGAAGAAAAGAAGTTCAGAAACTTATCCATAGACATGGCCAGGTAGGGCCAGAGTCCAGACTCAACTGACTGTCAGCCAAGGCCAGCCTCAACTCTTCCATTTTACCTCCAGCCTGAACAGCTTAAACATTTTTTCTCTTGCCATCTTATTAGAGTACATAATGCCTATAATGATGGGATCCACATGATATAGCATGACAACACTCTGTTTTAAAAAAGGTGAAATGTAATTTTTTTTAAAAAAATTTTAAGTTCTGGGATACATGTGCAGGACGTGCAGGTTTGTTACATAGGTAAACGTGTGTCATGGTGGTTTGCTACCCCTATCAACCTATCACCTAGGTTTTAAGGCCCCCATGCACTAGCTATTTATCCTGATGCTCTCCTTCCCCCCAACCCCCCAGTAGGTCCCAGTGTGTTTTGTTCCCCTCCCTGTGTGCTTGTGTTCTCATTATTCAGCTTCCACTTAGAAGTGAGAACATGCGGTGTTTGGTTTTCTGTTCCTGTGTTAGTTTGCTAAGGACAGTGGCTTCCAGCTCCATCTATGTCCCTGCAAAGGACATGATCTTGTTCCTTTCTATGACCGCATAGTATTCCATGGTGTATAGGTACCACATTTTCTTTTTCTAGTCTATCATTGATGGGCATTTGGGTTGATTCCATGTCTGTGCTATTGTGAATAGTGAAGCAAAAAACAGACGCGATAGGAATGCTTTTACACTGTTGGTGGGAATGTAAATTAGTTCAACCATTGTGGAAGACAGTGTGGCAATTCCTAAAAGACCTAGAACCAGAATTGCCATTTCACCCAGCAATCTCATTCCTGGGTATATACTCATAGGAATATAAATCATTCTATTATAATGAAACATAATGTAAAAATACCTCGAGTGTATTTGTATTTTGGTAATATCTGAATAAGACATAAAATATAACGCACACATCTTTATATCGTTTTATCCATATCTCTCTTTCTTTAAATCCTTCTGGTTAAAATTTGTCATTGCCTCCTGACTATGTATTTATTTTTTCTTTTCTGGAAGAAAGCTCACCTAGGCCTTACTCAAATGCATGTTCTCAATCTTTACCTACCACCCCTCCTGCCTTTTTGTTCCAGTTTCCTCTTATCATTGTACTGATGTGGAGATAACGAAAGAGAATATCACTGTCAGCCACCAGCAGTGCCTTTTCAGAGAAGAGCAATGGGGAAGAAATTGAGCAGACAAAGCCAGAATCCCCATTAGCAAACAGAAAGAGGGAGCTCAGGATAACCACATACGTTAATAATTCTTGCCCCCCAAAGGGAAGCTCTGTAAAATAAGTTGTATTACATCCGTACATAGCAGTACTTTAAATATAACTCTAGCTTAAGTATTTTAAGCATCTCCATGATATGAACCTAAGGGAATAAACTCAATAAATCAATATTTATAAGCTCTGTTCACTTATTTCTTGTGGTTTCAGCCACTGATTTCAGAATATGCATGAAAAATATATTTCTTCTGAATATTTGATTTCATGATCCCAAGTAGACACATCTCTGTATTGGGTTTCAACAAGTCCACAGAAGTTAAATACCCACTTTTAGCCAGCTTTGATTTTCAGAAGTTTAATTCTGACATTTAGTGATATACAATATGTAAAACAACCTGGCACTATATCTGTCATATCATAAGTACTTGGCAAATATTTCAGTTTACTCTTTCTCATAATTGAATAATGGCTCAATAGTAAAACTCTGTAGGGAAAAATTTAACCTTTTATTTATCAGTTACAAATAGTTTAAGACAGATAATACCCCTTTCCTTGTTAGCTTTAATGATGAGTCATTAAAATTGTGAGCAATGTATTTATTTTGAGGAAACTATTTTTTACTAAGGATTTTTTTTTTTTTAGAATTTTATGAGTCTTCAAAATAACTAGAAAATCTTAAAGTGTTACCAAACAGAAGTGGACATTTAATAAACACCTCAACTTTAATACTTACAGAAAATCATTTGAAGGCTGTCACTCCTCTGGGTATTATAAATTTTAGCCTCGGTCAAATCAGATCACCAGGAGGCTACAAAGTTGAACTATATTGCCTTAGTTTCCAACAGAGTTTCTTTCCTTGAATTAAGTTTTGGGGCCATGACCTACTCCTTTTAATAAAAGAACAATACAACAAATAGTCATATGAAATCCATTTTGTTGCCTAATACAAAAATATTGTTGAAGAGTATCATAATTCAATGGCCCATATATATAAAATGTCTCAGCAAAGGCACTTATGTCATAATTCAGTACTAGGAAATGATTTCCTTCAGGCAAGCTCCCCCTTAATTTTTTTTTTTTTTTTTTGAGACAGAGTCTTGCTCTGTTGCCCAGGCTGGAGTGCAGTGGCACCACCCTGGCTCACTGCAAGCTCCACCACCTGGGTTCACGCCTTTGTCCTGCCTCAGTCTCCTGAGTAGCTGGGACTACAGGCTCCTGCCACCACGCCCGGCTAATTTTTTGTATTTTTAGTAGAGACAGGGTTTCACCGTGTAAGCCAGGATGGTCTCGATCTCCTGACCTCGTGATCCGCCCGCCTTGGCCTCCCAGAGTGCTGGGATTACAGGCATGAGTCACCGCACCCGGCCCCTCCCCATTAATTAAGGTGAGAAATACATAAATGATGATGGTAGTCATTGACGCACCAGTTACGAAAGAGTGAGGCTGGGTAACTGGATGACACCTGCACAGGGCTCTGAGGTCTCAAGGAAAATGACAGGTGTTTGTGTATTTCAAAAATGTGGACATGATGGCATGAGGCCCAGTGAAGAAGGGGTAGATTATGAATGGTGTTATCCTGAACATAAGGAGACTGAGATAGTGTAGTTTTAAAAATGGCAGCATGAAAAAAGGTGAATGCTAACCCCACCCCACCTTACGGTAAGTGTCTGAAAAATAATCTTTCCAGGTACTACTAGTAGGTATTCTTAAAGGACAGAGGCAGCTTTCTGTTTGAGTAGGAAGGTATTGGAAGCAGTATATGAAGGAATAAAAATATAAAAGAGAGAAATATTGGAGCAAGAGTGGGAAGTATGGTTAAAGATAAAGAAATGGCAGAGCACTTTAGGGAAATATGGTGTGAGACAGAAAAGAGGCATTTTTGAGTGATGAAAATACTAATCATGGCTAACACTTACATAGCATTTATCGTATGTCAAGCATTTACGTGTATTAACTGTTATGATGCTCACATTAACCCCAGGAGGTCAGGCCTATCACTTTACAGGAAGTTTAAGCAACTTCTGAAATATTAACAATTCTTCTGAATTGCTTCTCTGGTGACAGGAATAAGAGTCGCAGTAGCATCAACTTGCTAAAAAGTTTAAAATGGTGCTCAGAATAAAGGTATTTTACTGCTTTTTGAGACTCATTGTAAAATGGCTTGAAATGTCTTTGCCCTGAATCTCTGCCAGTGGGAAATTGGATGAGTTGCTAAAGAATGTGGAATTAATTATCCAAAAACACTTTAGATATTTCTCTTTGTATAGGGTATTGTAAATGGTCTTTAGCTAATTATAATTTAATATCTCACTTGTCTCTCTCATACATAGGTATATATGTTATATACACATGTGTATGTGTACAATTCAATACATCTATGTGTCTATGTAGCTACCTATGTATGCATGTATGTATGTATGTATCTGCCTATCTATTAATCTATCTCTGTGTATCTACCTACCTATCTATATCTGTGTCTATCAACTTCAGGAATGCTTGGCATTCTTCTAACATCTGCGGGGTATTTAGGGATTAGGCTATGATGATAGATTTCCAGCTTCATTTCTTTTTAAAATCTTTTATTCTTCTTGCTCATTTTCCTTTTCCTGTCCCTAAAGGACAGTTTCTCCTCAGTTTAGGACTTCTTCCTTTTGCTCTCTTATCATTTGCAGACTTTCCGTTCTCAGCCAGAACCTCCCTTTTGTGCACTGTACAACCTGTTGACACTGTCACAGTTGCCACTTGATCATTGCAGATAAAGGAGGAAGTAGCAATTCTGGAATGGGTGGCTTATCTCTTGGCTTTATAACTGGATATCTTCATCTGCTATTCAGTCACTCTTTTTTATTATGGAGACATGTTTTCTGGGAAAATGCTACCATGAAGCAGGACCAATCTCCAGTTCAAGGTACCTCTTGATTTGTTCATTCCAAAGCATCCCCTGTTAGGAATTAGGGCTCAGATCATGGGGTCATCTATTCTGTAAGTAAAAGGCTGACAAAAAGTCTGTTACTTCACTGCTCTTTACATTAGGGTAATATTAACAATGGAAATCCAGTTCATTCAATAAAACAAGTGTCGATGAAGAGTCAAACTCGGTAAAATATTTTAAGAGACTTATTCTGAGCCAAATATGAGTGACCATGGCACATGACACAGCCCTAAGGAGATCCTGAGAACACGTGCCCAAGGTGGTCAGGGTGCAGGTCAGTTTTATACATTTTAGGGAGACATGAGACATCAATCAAATACATTTAAGAAACACATTGGTTTGGTTCAGAAAGGCGGGACAATTCAAAGCAGGGGTGGGGGGGTGCTTTCAGGCTATAGGTAAATTTAAACATTTTCCAATTGATAATTGGTTGAGTTTGTCTAAAAACCTGGGATCAAAGGAAAGGATATGTCCAGGTTAAGCTAAAAGATTGTGGATACCAAGGTTCTTCTGAAGTCTTATAGTGGCTGCCCTTAGAGATAATAGATGACAAATATTTCCTATTCAGACCTTAAAAGGTGCTAGACTTCTACTAATTTCTTCAGGATTGGGAGGGCTTGGAAGAAAAAGATCTAGTTATGTCAATAGAGATTCTTTACAGATGCATATGTCCCCCAACAAAGGGCAGCTTTGCAGGACCATTTCAAAATATGACAAAGAAACTTGCTTTTGGGGTAAAATTTTTTTTACTTTCTTCTTTGTCACATAATGTTATGCCAGAGTCAGATTGCAAAGTAAGCCATGATATATAGGGTTAAATAAAATCCATCTGATGAGAATTTATGGTTAGTAGGGGGATGACTCCCCAGACCCCTTAGATAAGAATTTGGGCAAAATAAAAAAATCAGAGCTTAGTCTTCACAAGTTATTGAAAAACAATGAGCTACCAATTTTATTTATTTATATTCTTTCAGTGGTCTTCAACAGGTGGCTCATGAATTCAGATATTTGACAATTTTAATGTGAAATAAATTTAAGATATTTCAACAACAATCATATAGGAAAATATAGATAAATAAGAAACTATAAAAATTATACTTTCAAACCTTTCCCTCTCTAAGACACATGGTTTACCTGATCTCACACAGATATTGAACATACAATTTAATTTTTAAAATTAATTTTTCTCACTTTAGAAAACTGGCATCTTGAGGCCGGGCACAGTGGCTCATGCCTGTAATCCCAGCACTCTGGGAGGCCGAGGCAGGCGGATCACGAGATCAGGAGATCAAGACCATTCCTGGCTAACACGTTGAAACCCCGTCTCTACTAAAAATACAAAAAATGAGCCAGGCGTGGCGGTGGGTGCCTGTAGTCCCAGCTACTAGGGAGGCTGAGGCAGGAGAATGGCGTGAACCCAGGAGGCGGAGCTTGCAGTGAGCGGAGATCGTGCTACTGCACTTCAGCCTGGGCAACAGAGCGAGATTCTGTCTCAAAAAAAAAAAAAAAAGAGGAAAAGAAAATTGGCATCTTGAAACAAAAGAAAGTGTCTGCTTTCCCCTTAAAGAATCATAAAGAAATATAATCAATTAGACTCAGCCTAGAATTTAAAGCTTAATCAATTTTATTGATTGGCTTCAAGAATTTTATTGAAATGTCATATATTTATAAATTAAGACTAAGATGATACATATACTATCTACTGATTTTAAAATACAACAAATCATTTAACTAAATAAAATTAAAGATTGTAGTCTTTTAAACTTACCAACCAGAAATAATAATAAGCCAGTGAAATAAAAGATGTTCCAATAGAGAAATCCTTTGTCATTATATGACATACATTTTAATATGTTACACAGATAATCTGTGTATTTAAAATTTAATGATAAAAATTATTTGCAACATTTAACTGAAAAATTTTTATTCAGAATTTATCTTGAGACTTGCCATGTATTAATATAATTAATGTACCTTATAAGTAAATATTGATTATATTAAATTTTTAGAATTGGGTCGAATGTGTATCTCCTCTCCTCTGATAACTTAGTTCATTCTATGAAATGGTGCTAGAGACTAAGAAATACAGAGGTTCTGTTATCAAGTGTCATGAACATCAAGTGCCTTTTTCTCCACTAATGTTAGAATGCCTCTCCAATTATCCTCTTTAGTAAACTGTGAGCTGAAAATAGTGAAGTCTGATATTGCAAACAATGTCTCCAGTATAAAGCTTTCTTGAGATGAGAATCTTTTCTAAGAACATTTTTCTTGTCACATAAAGTATGTCACACGGTGGCATATTCCAACTTAAAGTTAACGTGTACTAATATAAAGGCCTCAGCGGAATGTATTAAGTGGATTTCTTTTGGCATTGGGTAAAGGAATCTTTCAAGGATTCTGTGGATATACAAACAAGAAACAAATTTCAAAAGAAGCATATGCACAAAATTTTTATAACCGGTTAGAATCATGATCTGGACTAAACACAAACAAGTGAACCAAAGTACAATACAATACAAAGCAAAAATTAAAAATAAACAGGAAATTTAATTCTATACGATGCAGAAACTATGTGCCAATACTCAGTGTAAACATACACTATTAGGAGGAAGTTGCTGCCACACAAGCAGATGACAAAGTTTAAGCAAAGCTGAAGAAGTTAGGTAGTGGCGTGCGGAGGGATCACTTTGATTATTGGCGTAGTTCCTACCCTCCTATTATTCTGGTTACCATACATTAGTGAGGTGTCTCCAATGGGTTTCGAGGGTTACAAATACCTTCCTGCATATTAGTCTACCTTCCTTAGAACTTCTTAAGATGGGCCATTGTCTCATGATACTCAATAATTCAGGAAAATCAATAATTGGGATTAAAATAAACCAATTAATTACATACTTCTTTATCTCAGTGTGACATAAACATACATTTTCAGACAAGTTTTCATTACTGGGCAACTATGGTATCTACCCAATGTTGTGGCCAAAGTTGGAATATTCACAGTTCCCCCATACTTATGCCCTCCGTGTTTTGGTTTTCCAGATACATGCTGTTGCTTGTACTTCAAATACACTTTCCCTATATCTCTGTCAATTCACGTCTTTCTCAAAAAGAACAGAGAAGTCAAATGGCTCCTCTACTAAACCTCTAAACATATATGATTTCTCCTGTCTTGACATTTTTACCAATTCCTATTCTCATTATAAGCTATGGTATCCAACTTGCACTTCTCTTCCTCTAACACCCCTGGCTTTCTTACCCCATTGTCTACATAGCTCAACTTCTTGCAAGTTGTCCATTCTTGCTCTCTCCTCTGTCTACAGCGATTTGCCTTCTGCTCCCACTGTTCACAAAACTTCTGTCCTCCATGTATTCATTTACAATGTTTTAGCCTTGGGCTGACCATACACCAGCTGTTCACAAAATTTATGTTGAACTGAATGACACTCGAATCAATAAATAAAGGAAAAAAGGGGAACAGAAGGGGAAGCAAACAACATCCTTCTTCACATGATGGCAGAAGGAGAAATACAGAGCAAAGAGAGAAAAGACCCATATAAAACCATCAGATCTCACGAGAACTCACTATCACGAGAGCAGCAGCATGGGGGTAACAGCCCCCATGATTCAGTTACCTCCCACTGGGTCCCTCCCACGACACATGGGGATTATGGTAACTACAATTCAAGATGCGATTAGGGTGGGGACACAGCCAAACTAGATCAGTGCTACAACTGACTTCACTGTAAATGAGTTTACAATGGGTAACTCCGTATTATCTGAACCAAACAGCATAGAGAGACCTCAAGAAGAGTAAAGAAATCTTTGTCTCATGTACATGGTATACCATCAATAATGAAACTGAGGAAGATTCACGGAGGGAAGTCATCACGCTGCAGCAGGCAATTATATCTAAACCAGTGAGATATGAACAGTGCAAAGAAGAACTAGAACAAAAATACTGTCTGGCATAGAAAGTCCAGTATTAAAGACACAGAAGGCCCTACATTTGTCCAGTAAAGCCATGCTTGATTAATGCCTTGGAAACCCTGGAGACTGGATCAGAAATCTGTATATAAAATGGTTCTTCCTGGATAAAGTTGAGAGAAAAAGAAAGCTTATTGTGTTCAAGTAGAAACTGGGATAAGCTGTGGGCCATCTGGCTTTTCTGTTGCAAAAACCAGGGCTTAAATCTACATCTTTCTATAGTCATGAATGAGCAAACTGATTTTGAACAATCATCTAACAACGAAATATTTAGGATTCAAAAAGAATGTACTTATGAAAAGAATGTAACACAAGAAACTGAAAATTAGAAAATTTCCCCTTTTTACACTAAAAAAGACAGAAGAGCCATGACTTTTTAAAAAACTGGAGCAGTAAGCTTGTAGTGGGAAAAGTGATGGTGAGAAGTGCAGGCATAGAAAGGAAGCAGGTTTAAGTAAGATGAGAAAACACAAGGAAATCCAAAATCCCAAATAAAATAATTTTGCCTTAAATTTTATTATGTTTAATAGTAGACTGCTGTTTTCTTTTGTCAATTGCTGTCAGATAAGTTTTGCTCTTTTGATTTATTTTAAAAGAAACATTAACTCTTGGTTGGGCATGGTGGTTCATGCCTGTAATCCCAGCACTTTGGGAGGCCGAGGTGGGCAGATCGCTTGAGGCCAGGAATTCAAGACCAGCCTGGCCAACATAGAGAAACCCTGTCTACTGCAAAATAAAAAAAATTAGTCGGCTGTGGTGGCACATGCCTGTAATCCCAACTACTCGGGAGGCTGAGGCACAAGAATCACTTGAGCGTGGGAGGTGGGGGTTGCAATGACATCACCACAGTCTGGGCAACAGGGGGAGACTCTGTCTCAAAAAAAAAAAAAAAAAATTAGTGGCCGGGCATGGTGGCTCACGCCTGTAATCTCAGCACTTTGGGAGGCTGAAATGGGTGGATCACAAGGTCAGGAGTTCAAGACCAGCCTGGCCAATATGGTGAAACCCCCTCACTACTAAAAATACAAAAATTAGCTGGGCATGGTGGCAAATGCCTGTAGTCCCAGCTACTTGGGAAACTGAGGCAGAAGACTCGCTCGAACCCAGGAGACAGAGGTTGCAGTGAGCCGAGATCGCACCACTGCACTCTAGCCTGGGCACAGAGAGAGAGCCCGTCTCAAAAATAATAATAATAATAAAAATAAAATTAGCAAAAAATTAGCCAAAAATTCATTAAAAATAAATATAAATATATTTATATATACATTTTATTCATTAATAAAATCATTTTATTCAATAAAATGAATTCATTATATATAATGAATGAATAAAATGTATTTTTCCATTAGGGATTTAAAAGGAGCATTGGATAAATTAAAAAATTTTTTGTCTTTTCTTTTGAAAAAATAAATTTAATGATGTATTTTTGGACTTTGATTAAAAATAATTCAATTTTATCTGTAAGCATAAATATTAGAAATACTCAGAGAAATTTAGCAGAAGGATAAGCATCATTTTGTAATGACAATAATTAAGTAGGGCTGCATAAGTGGAAGAATGGACATATAAATGCCTTTTTTTTTTTTTTTTGAAACGGAGTCTTCGCTCTGTCGCCCAGGCTGGAGTGCAGAGGTGCTATCTATGCTCACTGTAAGCTCCGCCTCCCGGGTTCACCTCATTCTTCTGCCTCAGCCTCCGGACTGGCTGGTACTACAGGTGCCCACCGGCTGATTTTTTGTATTTTTTTAGTAGAGATGGGATTTCACAGTGTTACCCAGGATGGTCTCAATCTCCTGACCTCGTGATCCGCCCGCGTCGGCCTCCAAAATTGCTGGGATTACAGGCGTGAGCCACCGCGCCTAGCCAGATTTTTTTTTTTTCCAGAGGCTCCCTCTGTAGCCCAAGCTGGAGTGTAGTGGCGCGATCTCGGCTCACTGCAGCCTCCGCCTCCCGGGTTCAAGCAATTCTCCTGCCTCAGCCTCCTAAGTAGCTGGGACTACAGGCACGCACCACTACGCCCGTCTAATTTTTGTATTTTTAATAGAGACAGGGTTTCACCATGTTGGCCTAGGATGGTCTTGATCTGACTTCGTCATCTGCCCGCCTCTGCCTCTCAAAGTGCTGGGATTACAGGCACGAGCCACCGCAGCCGGCCGACAGATTTTATTTCATCTGTAAAGTTCTATAATGTCATTCACAATAAAATAAAAAGATATTATGCAAACCAAACAAAATTTTGCCAGATATGTGATACACTATACATAGAAAATAATTGCATATCAGTAAGAAAATAACTATAAATAGATAAAATCCATGAATAGTAACAAAAGTATAGGATATTAGAGAAAAAGTATTTGACAGAATGAAAGAAAAAAATGGTTGTTTTAGGATAAGTGGTCTGAGATGCATTCATGTGTTACTTCATTAGCTTGTATGTATTTAATATATTCTATATGTGTTCAACAATTGATGCAGATTCAAAAACAAAAAAATGTTCGTTTAGTAAGGAGATACACAACAACAAAAATTTCCTATAAAAGTGGATTACAATAATGAAAGTATCTAGAAATCTAATTTTAAAAAGTGGTACTCATTATCTGGGATCATCTGGGAAGAACTCATTTAATAGACCATTTGAGTAGACACTTGAGGATGAAGATAAATTTTCAGGCAGATTAATAACAATGGGGAGAGTTTTCAAGGCAGAGGAGATGACTTTTATAAAACGAGGAAAGCATGAAGTTTATGTAGCTTGAAAAGTGTGTTGTATTCAGGTAGTAATGCACTGACTCCATCACTCTTGCATTTTGTTTGTTTGTTTTGAGGCGGAGTCTTGCCCTGTCGCCCAGGCTGGAGGGCAGTGGCGCGATCTCGGCTCACTGCAAGCTCCGCCTTCCGGGTTCACGCCATTCTCCTGCCTCAGCCTCCGGAGTAGCTGGGACTACGGGCGCCCGCCACCATGCCTGGCTAATTTTTTCGTATTTTTCTTAGTAGAGACGGGGTTTCACCGTGTTAGCCAGGATGGTCTTGATCTCCTGACTTCGTGATCTGCCCGCCTCGGCCTTCCAAAGTGCTGGGATTACAGGCGTGAGCCCCCGCGCCCAGCCACACTCTTGCATTTTTTATTGGAGGCTCTGAGGAAAGGTCTGCTTCCACGTTTGTTCAGATTGTTAGCCACACTTAGTTCCTTGAGTAGGTATTATTGCAGTCCCCATTTCCTTGCTGGCCGTCAGCTGGGACCAGCCTTTCCTCCTAGACTGTCCCTGTTCCTTATGCTTTTTTCATGGGCCTTTCCAGCAGCACGAACATTTCAAATATCTCTGCCTTTCCCTCCTGCCCCGTCTCTCAGAAATCAACTACACATGGTCTCAGCTTTTAAGGGCTCATAGTGATTAGATTGGACTCATATACGGTCCTCATTTTAATATTCATAATTCTAACTGCAAAGTCTCTTTTGTCAGGTAATACAGCATATTCAGGTCTCAAGGATTAAAGTGTGAGCATCTTTGGGGGTTTTTATTCTGCTTACAACATTTACCTAGAGTATAAATTCAAGACATAAGGCAGAATCTTATGAGAAAAAGAAAGTACTATTTTGAACATACCTGTGGCAATCCTAAATGGGAATTAGATTCAGATTTGGCAGTTCTGGATAAAAGTGAAGGCTGAAGAAATAATTTGGTAGTCATCATGTTATACATTTTGTAAATGAAGCCATTATTACATATGAGAGGGTTAGCATTCACCCAGGGAGACTTCAAGTCAGTTTACAAAGTTAATATTCTATGGCATGTTCAATAGTAGCACCACCTTTTATTCAATTGGATAGTAGCCTGGGGTGAAGATTAAAAAGAAAGAAATATAACTATCTCTATATGGAGATGCCATGAGGTATAAAGAATTTGTATATAGATATATATGGAGAAATATTTATGCATACAGGAAATCCTAAGGAATCCACACACGCACGCACACGTGCACACATTAAGATGATAAAGCTGTGATTTTTTAGGCATAACTTTGTAGTAAGATGTTACATCAGGAACAGGAAACTACTATAGCAAAGCACCCAGAACAGTCTAAATAGTCTTGAAACAGAAAATTTTCTACCAAACTATATTAATTCGGTGTTGCATTAGCATAAAGATAGACATATAAATTTAATGAAATAATATTGAGCATTAATCAATAAACCTTATATTTATGAGCAATTGATTTTTAAAAGGATGCCAAGAAAATTCAAAGGGGAAATAGTAGTCTTGTCAACAAATAGTGTTGGGACAACTGTACATATGCATGCAAACAAACGAAGTTGGATTCTGACCTTACCTTACACACAAAGTTGATCAAAACCTAAATGTAAGACCTAGAAGTAAAAAACTCATAGAAGAAAACATAAGCAAAATCTTCATGACCTTAGATTAAACAATAGTTTCTTAGATATAGCACCAAATTACAAGCAACAAAAGAAAAAAAAGGGGGCTATATTATGCTTAATTAAAACTAAATTTTTTCTTTAAAAGAAAAAGCCAAGGAAGGGAAAAGACAACCTACAGAATGGGAGAACAATTTTGCAAATCATACATCTTCTAAAAGACTTGTATTCAGAATATGTATCTTACAACTCAATAATAAAAAAACATATAACCTATTTTTAAAATGGAGAAATGATTTGAGTAGAAAATTCTCCAAAAAAGATACACAATAGGCAAGAAGCACATGAAAAGATACTCAACATTATTGGTCATTTGAGAAATGCAAATCAAAACCACCAGGAGATACCATTTCATACTATGATCAAAAAGAAAATAACAAGTATGTTTGAGAATGTGGAAACAATCCCACATAAATCGCTGGTGGGAACGCAAAACGATGCAGCCATGGTAGGAACAATTTTGCAGTTGCACTTTGGGAGGCCAAGGCGGGAGGATCACCTGAGGTCAGGAGTTTGAGTCCAGCCTGGCCAACACAGTGAAAACCCATCTCTACTAAAAATACAAAAATTACCCGGGCGTGGTGGCAGGCACCTGTAATTCCAGCTACTTATGAGGCTGAGGCAGGAGAATTGCTCGAACCTAGGAGGCGGAGGTTGCAGTGAGCTGAGACCACGCCACTGCACTCCAGCCTGGGCGACAGAGTGAGACTCTGTCTCAGAAAAAAAAAGAAAAAGAAAGAAAGAAAAGAAAAAAAAGTTAAACAGTGTTATCAAATGACTGGACAATTCTACTCCTTAGGAATATCTCCCAAAGAATGAAAAACATGTCTACAAAGAACCTGGACACAAATGTTTATAGCAACATTATTTGTAATGGCCATAAAGACAGTGCAAATGTCCATCAATTGATGAATGGATAATCAAAAAGTGGTATATCCATACAATGGAATATAATTTAGCCATAAAAGGAATGAACTACTGATACATGATACATGTATGAATCATGAAAACATTAAGTGAAAAATGCCAGACACAAAATGTCACATATTCTATAATTCTACTTATATGAAATGCCCAGAAAAAGCAAATCTATAGAGACAGAAGGTAGATCAGTGATTGCCAGGGGCTAGAGAGAAGAGCAAACAAGGACTGGCTAATAAGAGACACAGGATTTTTTTGTTGTTGTTCAGTGATGAAATTATTCTGGAATTTGCAGTGATTATACCATAACCTTCTGAATATACTAATCACTGAGTTGCATCCTTGTTAAGGACAAATATTATGGTGTATGAATTATATCTTAATTTTAAAAAGTACAGTAAATTAAAAACAAATTGTGTTTCAATAATAAAATATTATTTTAATATCACAAAATCAATTATTGTAATTCACTATATTAACAATATGGAAGAAAATCTCATCTCAACAGATGCAGAATATATTTTTTAATATGCAAACAACAATGAAATGTATTTAATCTGGTGAAAGATAATCATAAAATCTTACAAAAATATTATAATTAATAAGGAAATATGGAAAGCTTTCCTTATGGGATCAGAAACAAAATTCCCTAGTCAGTTCAATAAGAAAAAAAAAGTAAGAATTAGCAAGAAAGAAATACACAGGTCATTATTTGCTAAGGACATTATTGTATATGTAGAATATCTAAAATAAAATATTAGAACGAATAACTAAATATAGCTATCAGGATCACTGGTTACAATATGAGCACATAAAAGTCTATTTTATTTCCTTACACTACCAATAACCAATTACAGAATAAAATTTTATAAATATACCATTTAGAATCAATATTTTGTTAACTTCATAAATTAACTGGAAAGTTTTTCTTTTGAAATATATTTTCAAAAATTGAAGAATTCTTCAAGTCAGTTAAATGGTTTTAAATATTTCTGGCCTACAACAACAAGGTTAAATCTGCATGTGATAATGGATCTCCCTACTGATACTAGAACTATCCCATTACTGAAAACCATTTTTAGATATAAATGGCAGGCACTTAAGAATTACTTCATTTCCTGTGGTGTTCCTTTAAAACAATTTTCCAAAACAGGCAAATCTTGCTCTCTCTCTCTTTCTCTTTAAAAAGTAACACAGGCTTATTTTTAAAGTTGCAATCAAAACAGACAGGTAAAAAGTAGAAAATTAAAATGACCCATCAGGCTTGTCTTAAAATTAACTAGTGATAATATTTTGGTATATGTCCTCATATGTTTTAACGTATTTTTTCAGGTTTGTTCTATCAAAACCTAATTTAACAAAATCTGAGCAAATCATCCACTTCCTTTTCTAATATCCTTTTATACTGTGTGTTTATACATGTGGTTATGAATATATGTTCACAAGTGAGGGTATATATACACATACACACATACATGTGTGAGATAGAGACATAGGCAGAGGCAGACAGAAAGGCAGAGAATAGCTAGGAAAGTTGAGCTCAATTTAATATTGTAATTATAATATGCATGCTATTTTAAAATTGCTTTCATTTCTGAATTTAGACAGCATATAGAACTTGATAAATACAGTAATTAGAAATCCGAGAGTTATTTGCATACTTACACATCTGAAGTATCTTCCTATGTACAGATAAACATTAACCACAATTATCTACACATGTTGCTTGAATTTTTTCCTCCAGCTGTCATGTTAAAGCCATGATTGACACTTGTTTGCATACGATTTGAGAATTTAATATTTGGTTGAAATTCTCTGATCCTAAAACATACTGCTTGGAAATACACATTTTGTTTTCATACACATGGGATGTTGCACGCATACCGAAATTAAAGAATTACAATTAGTTGGTACCCAGCTTGCATCCTTAAGCAATCTTTGTAAATACTATTTTTCTTATTAATGCTGCTTTCTGTTCTCATTAAGTTTCAACAGAGTACTCTCAGTAATTTAAAACATATTGTTCCTTCAGTTAAATAGGCAATTTCCCTCTCAACAAATGCCTGGACCTTAAAGTAAGGTGTGGAAATGGACAAAATAGTCCCAAATATTTTAACCAGCAATATAAACTTTTGCAATGCTTTTATAGGATGTTTAAAATAACAAGAAAGACTTGGTTCTCGTGATTTTCACCAACGGTGGTTACAAACAGTCTTCTTCTTTACTATGTTTGAAAGGCATATTTCACTTCACATATCCTTTACTTGCTGCCAGAGCCTTAATATTGCTAGGGGGAAAAGCTTACCTAGCTCCGTGTTTGTAAATGTCAGCTAGCCAAAAGATATTTGGAAACCTATAAATGTTCGCCTTTCTAACATTTGCTTAAAGCTATCTGGAATTAACGTTCTCCTCTTTCCTCTTCTCTCACCTCAAGAAAAAAAAATCTGTATACAGAAGTTGACACAAAATATATTAAATAAAGCTGGTATTCAGCCCTCTTGCATTCAAGCAAGAATTACCCATGTATGTAAAACAGAAGAAAATGTCTTGATAGTATTCTGTACCCGTGCTGTCAAACTACCCTTTGATATGTCTGCAATTTTCTCAGTAAAACACATTTTGTTTATTTTGGATTAAGAGCAAGCTCTTGCATGTCTACCAGGATTTATTAGCCTGGTAAAGAGCAGCACTACACAGAAACAACGAATATAATGTGCTCTTTGCTATGGTTTTAAGTTCCCCTTCAAACTCATGTGAAATGTAATTGCCATTGAAACAGTATTAAGAGGTGGGGGCTTTAAGAAGTCATGCAGGCTGTTGTCGTTTTTTTTTTTTTTTCCAGGTTTTTTCTATCAAAACCTAATTTAACAACATCTGAGCAAATCATCCACTTCCTTTCCTAATATCCTCATTTTCACTACTCTCTCCTTCAGCCGCAATGATCCATTCCATCATCTAACATTAATTTAGTAAAGATTTACTAAATCCCTTCTCTGTACAAATCATTTTATAGGATCTGAGTAAAGATACAGTGATTAGCATATGGCAGCCCTTGTCCTTTGACATGGCAAGAACAACTTTTCCTATTTTCAAGAGCTTGAGTATTCTGTCACTAATAGATCTAAAACTATCCAAGTTTACCTGGCCAACTTTTTCCCTTAAACTTCTGCCTCCCTTTTACAAAACTTCAAAAAAAAGAATTCCAAATTTAATCATGCTGTTAAAACAGATTTTCACATCATCCCGTAGTTACATAAAGGGCAGTCTCCTTAGCTCATACTTAAAATCATATCTTTTCAACCCTTGAGTATTGTTACCATTACCTCAAACGATCATACAGCTACTGTCTTTCAGGTTATTCACAATACAATAATTTGAATATGCAAAAACACCACAGAATTTAAATGAAAAGTAACTAACGCACCCTACTCCCCTCAAAAATCAATTAATAAAATTTGTAATTTCAACAAATATTTTTGAATATTTACAAATCAGAAACAAAAATGGCTAACTGGAAACACAAAACAGATAAAAGATTTGGTAAATTAACCCAACATGCAATTTTGAAAAATGTAAATTTAATTTTTACTTAATAAGTGATTTCTCAAAAAGTAACATTAATAAAGGGCATTGTCAGAAATTTTGAGTCTTTTAGGAGTGAAAACATCTGTTTGAACTAAAACTAGGAGACACAGAATGATGAGAACATATGAAGTTTTAGCTAAATATCCATGAATTACAAGGTTATTCTCTGTTGGTTTGGAGTACTCATTTACACACTAATACTCAGCTTTAGGAATTTAGGGCTCATTAACTTTGCTAAACATGGAATTTAGCGTTTTTATAAAAACTACTTATTTCTTCACTATTTTTATATCCAAGTATACTCTTCTCATTACTCACAAAGGACAAATCTTCACCAAGCCCCTGCCCCTACAGTCAGGATAGTAATTTCATTCAAGCATCCCTTGAAAGCAATTATTTATGCTCGCTGCAGAAATTAGGGTAAATTTGTTGTGGTCCCATTTATTTTCTGGAGATTGGCGATTACATGTAAAATAATTTGAACGCTTGATAGATAGACTCATAAATATTTGGTTAATACAAGTAAAGCAGGGGGAGGCCAGGCGTGGTGGCTCACGCCTGTAATCCCAGCACTTTGGGAGGCCAAAGTGGGTGGATCACAAGGTCAGGAGACCGAGACCATCTTGGCTTACACGGTGAAACCCCGTTTCTACTAAAAATACAAAAAATATTAGCAGGGCGTGGTGGCGGGTGCCTGTAGTCCCAGCAACTTGGGAGGCTGAGGCAGGAGAATGGCTTGAACCAGGGAGGCGGAGCTTGCAGTGAGCTGAGATTGTGCCACTGCACTCCAGCCTGGGGAACAGAGCGGGACTCCGTCTCAAAAAAAAAAAAAAAAAAAAATGGAGCGGGGGGGCCGGGCGCGGTGGCTCAAGCCTGTAATCCCAGCACTTTGGGAGGCCGAAGCAGGCAGATCACGAAGTCAGGAAATCGAGACCATCCTGGCTAACATGGTGAAACCCCGTCTCTACTAAAAATACAAAAAATTAGCTGGGTGTGGTGGCGGGCGCCTGTAGTCCCAGTTACTGCGGGAGGCTGAGGCAGGAGAATGGCGTGAACCCAGGAGGCAGAGATTGCAGTGAGCTGAGATAGCCCCGCTGCACTCCAGCCTGGGCAACAAAGGGAGACTCTGTCTAAAAAAAAAAAAAAAAAGTAGTTACTTTCTTCTTCATCCCTTTCAGTGTGGCCACTATTTATAATGCAGTTTGGTTCATTAGTGTTTGTATTCCAAAAACACCCTCAGCCTTCCTATCCTAGTTTTAATGAATTATTAGGGTGAAACATAATAAGAGACGGAGAGTCGGAGCTATACAGAAAGGTCTACTCAGAGGTGCTTTGTTCCCTCCTGTTCTGTTCCCACCACTCCTACTTTCCACTACTTTTTCCACTGACCCTGTGAGCATCATATTTATTGTTAATGGCAGTTACATTTTTACCAAGTGCTTACTATCTGTAGGCACTTGGTGTGTATTGCTTCTTCTGGTGTTCACAGCAACCTCTTGAGGTAGGCACTATTATTATCCACCACCCCCCGCCCCGTTTTTTGAGACAGAGTCTCACTCTGTTGCCCAGGCTGGAGTGCAGTGGTGCGATCTCAGCTCACTGCAACCTCTGCCTCCCAGGTTCAAGCAATTCTCCTGCCTCCGCTTCCCAAGTAGCTGCAAGTACAGGTGCGAGCCACCACACCCATCTAATTTTTGTATTTTTAGCAGGCATGGGGTTTTGCCATGTTGGCCAGGCTGGTCTCAAACTCCTGACCTCAGGTGATCCCCATTTTTTAGATGAGAAAGCAGAGTCCCAGAGAGCATAAGGAGCTTGTCCAGAGTGGCATCTCTGATGCATAACCAGTACTCAAACCAGTATTTTTCTGACACCAAGGCCTGTGTGTAAACTGTAAAAGGGCTGTTTGGTACCTGCTTTCCTAAAGTTGTCTGATCCCTTCTCAGTCCAGGTCTTCCTGAAGCTTGGCACTTCTGAAGTCACCTTTCTGAAAACATTCTGGTAACTGTTAGATCCCTTGTTGTAGCTATTCATATGTTCTGTGTGGTTAAACAAGGTTCACAGTGGGCCACCTGGCCTTTGGAACTTGGCTGAAGAGGCTGCCTTCAGTTCATCCTCCCCACCCCCGTTTTCAAAACATGGGTTTCCATGTGTTCGTTGTAAATTAGGAAACATAACCATGTTTTGAGACTTCATAGAAAACAAACGTCTGGGGTCACACAGGTTAAAGGAGGAACCAAATTCAGCACTATCACTGTTCTATTCGGCAGGCAATTCTGGGGCCTTCCTGTGTCTCAGGTTCTGTACTAGTTGTTTCAGGACTTTGGGATAAACACAAACTATCCCTGCCCTCAGGGGGATTAAGGTCAGGTGTACAAATGACTCTAATGCGAGGCAAGGCTGGATTCAGTGCTGGAAGAGGAGGGCATACCTAACACTACGGGAATTCAAAGAGGAAATGATCAGAATGAGGAGGGAGAGATGGGTCATTCCGGGAGAAGCTTCAGGGAAAGGCAACATTTGAAATGAGACTTTGGAGAGTGAGGGAGGTTTGGGCAGATGGATAGAGAGGATGCAAGGCCAGGGGAAAGGTTTGAGCCAGAAAGTCAGCTTGGGCAAGTGCATGGGTAAAAAAAGAAGATCCACTTTGGGAGGCCGAGGCAGGTGGATCGCCGGAAGTCAGGAGTTGGAGACTAGCCTGGCCCACATGGTGAAACCCTGTCTCTCCTAAAAATACAGAAATTAGCTGGGCATGATGCTGGGCACCTGTAATTCCAGCTACTTGGGAGGCTGAGGCAGGAGAATCACTTGAACCCAGGAGGCAGAGATTGCAGTGAGCTGAGATCACACCACTGCACTCCAGCCTGGGCAACAAGAATAAAACTTCATCAAAAAAAAAAAAAAAAGAAAGAAAATCACAAGGCAGTGTGGAGAATGGTGAGTAATCTAATTTGGTTATTGCAGAGAGGATGTAGAAGGAAGTGACAAGAGAGAAAGCCAGACAGGTGGCTTGGGGTCATCTTAAGGGCCTTTGTGCCAGTTAGGATGTTCCAGACTTCAGTCAGGCTGCCCAGCTCAGACTGGCTCAGACAATGAGGGGGTTTATTGGCCGTGTAATTGGGAAGTCCAGAGGCTCTAGGACTACAGAAAATTATTATTTAGTATTAGTTTGACAGCAACACCTTCTGTTTTCTGGGAGCAGGAGATGCTTGTCAAGCTGTAGGTCACTGAGTTGAATATTATCCTGCTTTATTAAATTGCCAAGGGCACGGTAATTGTTGAGAGGGGAGAAGTACACATGAAAGAAAACATGACCAGCTTAGAAACGTCAAATGATTATGACGTTGTTATAAAGTATTATAATTCTTTGAGCGTCTACTATAAGTAGAGAAACTTGAGTTCCAGGTTGTCGGCTTGGTTCTGCCAACAATCAGGAACGTGGTTTTGCATGAAGCCCTTCTTTCTCCTATAATCTTCAGTGTCCTCACCTGCAAAATGAGGCCTTTATATATATATATATATATATATATATATATATATATATATATATATATATTTTTTTTTTTTTTTTTTTTTTTTTTTTTTTGAGACGGAGTCTCGTTCTGTCGCCCAGGCTGAAGTTCAGTGGTACAATCTCTGTTCACTGCAAACTCCCCCTCCTGGGTTCACAGCATTGTCCTGCCTCAGCCTCCCGAGTAGCTGGGACCACAGGCACCTGCCACCACGCCCAGCTAATTTTTTGTGTTTTTAGTAGAGATGGGGTTTCACCGTGTTAGCCAGGATGGTCTCCATCTCCTGATCTCGTGATCTGCCCGCCTCAGCCTCCCAACGTGCTAGGATTACAGGTGTGAGCCACCACGCCCGGCCAAGGCCTTTATTATACTATGGTTCCTACTGTTTTTTAAAATACTTTTATTAAGTCCAACATTTTTATTAAGAACATTGCTTTTATACATGCCTATTTATGAAAGGGGTTTTCGAGTGTTTACCACTTTTTATTAGAAATAGAGACAGTAAGAATGTTTGACTTAATTGACACAGGCATAATTGAATGGGTATAAATGGCATGCCATAGAAAGAGAAAATTAAGTTGAGCTACTCTGTTGGTTTCACTGATGAGGGGATACATCATTCAAACAGCCAGGAATTAAATCCGTCCAGCTCACAAATGGGGAAACCAGCTGTGTCTGTACCCATGGCCAGCCAGATTGAACACAAATCAGGAAAGTCAATAACTTTTCCTCAGTTCTGAGGGACTTCAGTGGCTGCGGTTCATTTTCCTTTTGCTTCTGAAACAGTGCAAGTTGATGCTCGCCTGGACAGAGCGGCAGTGAGTGGTGGCGTCTGAAGGCCAGGTCTCTGTTGAGATGACTACACGTCGTCTCCCAGTGCCCAATGCATAGAAAAGATACACTACTAAGTGTGAGATGCTCAGTGAAAAATAAAATCTGGGGTTGAATCATCATGGGGGATACTGCATACTCTGTTTCCCCCCTGCAGATTTCCAATGCTCATTAGTTTATAGAGACTCTGAGAATTCCTACAGCAAAGGCACCTGCCAAGGTACTTACAAACTAGTTTAGCTAAACCAGACTTTCAACAATTGGTTACTAAAGACCACTCAAAGTCTGTCAACACTCTGTCATCTCTATGTAATGACAGAAACATAGAAATTCAGGGTAAATGTTTAGAAATTTCTATAGAAACTTGACATTCTCCCAGCATCTGTATGTGACATCAGGGGACTTGTCTCAATGAGCAGTTACAGACCAACTCAGGTTTTGTCAGACTCGATGGAAAGATGCAGAGGCTGTGAGCTGCAAACGAGTCACATACACAAGGACCACATTGCAAGCTGTGTTCTTTAAGGTTAGTTTGTCAACTATAGTATAATCTCACACATCTGAAAAATGGGAACATCTATTCTATAAAGTCTTATTTTTGCAATAATTTTAATTTTAAATCAAGCCAATGTTAGCATTATTAGTGAAAACAAAAGAAAGTTGTGTTATTTATTATTAAACCTAATTTGAGAGTGAAATAAATTGTATTAATTTTTTTAACCAATAAAAGATGCACCTTGTAAACCAAGAGATGATTATGAAAGTGATTCTGAGGACATGAAGACCAAAGGAGTTTGTCCTCGTTTTACTCAGAAGTACTATTTCTAATGGACAGATGATCCCTGACATACAATGGTTTGACTTATAATTTTTTGACTTTATGATGGTGTGAAAGTGATACGCATTCAGCAGAAACCATACTTCAGTATTCAATAAATTACATGAGATATTCAACACTTTAAAGTGGGTTTGTGAGAGATAATTTTTGCCCAATGGAAGGTGAATGTAAATTTTCTGAGAATGTTTAAGGTAAGCTAGGCTAAGCTATGATGTTAGCTTAGGTGTATTAAATGCATTTTAATTTAATTTAATTTAATTTTATGTTTTGAGACAGTGTGTTTTGTTCTTGTCACCCAGGCTGGAGTGCAATGGCATGATCTCGGCTCACTGCGACCTCTGCCTCTTGGGTTCAAGCGATTTTCTTGCCTCAGCCTTCCCAGTAGCTGGGATTACAGGTGCGCACCAACATGCCTGGCTAATTTTTGTATTTTTAGTAGAGACAGGGTTTCCCCATGTTGGCCAGGCTGGTCTCTAACTCCCGACCTCAGGTGATCCACCCGCCTCAGCCTCCCAAAGAGTTGGGATTACAGGCTGAGCCACTGCACCCGGCCTTAAATGCATTTTCGGCTTATATTTTCAACTGATGATGAGCTATAACTCCTTTGTGAGTTGAGGATCATCTGTCTTGAATTTGGTTTTACAGGCATAACTGAAGGTGAAAGGACAGAATCACCATGTGTTACTGGCACAGATGCATCGGCTAGTGAAGAAAGAAGACATTCAAACTGTAAGTTGCATTCACGTGGGAAGCACAAAGAATTAAATTCAAAACAATGAAACATTAGAGAAAAGCATGGAGTTAAAACACAACAGAATCAGATGTTTACTATTTCTCATTTTAACACTAGTGCTTTGCGGGCTTCTAATAAAGTTGTACTCCAGGAGGCTAAGACTGAAAAGTGACACTAGTGAAAAGTAGCATTGAAATAGTTCCTTAGAAAAGTTGGGTGAATGTGGGGCAAAGATGCCACTAAACTTTAATTTTCCATCGACACACAAATTCAAAGTTTTCCAGAACTGGCAAGTAAAATGGAAGATCCACTCACAGGACACATGCAGTGTGTGAGGGGAATGCTTTTCAGCACTTCTTGATGGATGCACAAATAATGCCAATGTGGTAAATGTCTTTGGTAAATGTGCAATGGAATGTAGTGGTTGTGTGAAGGAAGAATTTTGTTTTCAGCTTCATTTTTGATAAACACAAGCAGCTCTGGACTGTGTGAAACCATGGAGCACCGCACAGTTAACAGAGGTGGTTTGGAGTTTTTTAGCTTTGCATAAGAGGATGTTCTGATGCAGAATCTACAGTGACAGGAAACCATTCTGGACAAGTTACAGAATTAAGGGGCTTGTGCCGGGATGGAAATAAATCAATGACTTCTGTCTTTGAGAAGGTTTTTCTCTGCTCCTCTGTGATGGTTAATTTTTTTTTTTTTTTTTTTTTTTGAGATGGAGTCTCGCTCTGTCCCCCAGGATGGAGTGCAGTGGCGCCATCTCGGCTCACTGCAAGCTCTGCCTCCCGGGTTCATGCCATTCTCCTGCCTCAGCCTCCCAAGTAGCTGGGAGTACAGGTGCCTGCGGCTAATTTTGTGTATTTTTAGTAGAGCCAGGTTTCACCATGTTGGCCAGGATGGTCTCGATCTCCTGACCTTGTGATCCACCCGCCTTGGCCTCCCAAAGTGCTGGGATTACAGGCATGAGCCACCATGCCCCACCTTTTTTTTCTTTTCTTTTTTTTTTTCTTTCTTTCTTTCTTTTTTTTTTTTTTTTTGTTAGTCCTTCCCTCCAGTGTCGTGGAGATAATTGGAAAATATTTTAGAGCAAAAAAGTTTATTTCTCCTTCTTGTTGTTAGCAAAGAAATTTATTTTTCCTTCTTGTTATTTATTGGCCTTGGAGACATACACCAAATAGCTCATTCTACTTCTGAAATTTTGTTTTGATTTCCCTGGCCCTCCCCACGAAGTATTTCAGATTAGCAGGGAGTCAAGCATTGTCTGTCTGTCTGTGAATAAAATATTTCAGGCTGCTTTTGCATAATATACATGCTCTTGCCTTTACGAGTCACACTCACATCTTCTGGTTTTGTAAGACACCAGGTAGAGAAGAAAACAATGTTTCTGAATTCTGCTTTATCAGCCCAGTAGAGAACTCCTCCCTTCCCTGAACTGAGGGCCACATCTAAGGGGTTGAAACAGGGCCAGTTACATTCTATGTTCCCAACATAATTGTCCATGCACGGATCCGATCAAGTTAAATGAGAAATAGGATATTTATTCTAAAAACAAGTTATTGCTACAATAATAATAATACTATAGTAATATTATTATTCTAATAATGATATTAGAATAAAAACTGGTTATTAAAGTACTAAACAGTTGAAAATCTAAATGTCTCACAAGGTCAACTATAGCAAGTATATAAGATTTCGTATTAGTCGCACGTCAAAAATTATATCCATAAAAGTAATGACATATGAAAACAGTTTATTGATACAGATATAACAAATATAACTAAACTGTGCTGAAATGTATTTTAAAATAAAATATGCCAAAATATTATTGATGATGACTTTGGATGATGGTATTACCACTAAGGTTTCAAATTTAATTTGCCTCTTACTTCTGAGTACTTTTATAAATTTTTAAATAATAAAATTAGTGTGTTAAAAAATATCAAGTGATATCTAGAAATCAGAAAAAGGCATATTGCCAGAGGAGGACCGAGTTAGTAGATTTGAGGCTCCATTAAGTTTTGTTTATGATCAAAAAACAAACAAAAACCAGGCAACAGTGGCAAAAAATATCTCACTTCCTTCCTGGAAAAGTAAATGAGACTACAAAGAATTTCCAAACTTAAAAACTATACATTTCAAGTCTGTTCATAACTAGTGAAGTCACAGTTTCTGAAAACAATGATAAAATTTTAATTGATATTTAATTCATATTTTTTGTTTAAAAAACTATCAGTATTGGAAGATAAATTTCATGGGAAAAGCATTGAATCATTAAGTTTTGCAGTCACAAAGGTAAATATAATTTGCTTAATGCTGCCCTCAGTTTACAATGAGTCTTTAGTATTTTCTAAGCTATGAGTTCACCAAAATATAGGATTGTTTTGCTGCATATAATTTGCTCAGTGATCAAACACTAAGGAGTTACCTATGTTAAGATGTGAATAATAAATTTATGCAAAATTTATGAAAGTGTACATTGTAAAGACAATAAAACTTTCCATTAAATTGGTGGGAAAGGAGCTCAAAACCTAGCTGGGTGATTCATTATTTTAATGACTTCCTGCTTTACTGCAAAACCTCTCTCTTCATTCGGTGTTGGTAGTTTGAACCCCTGTTAAGGATATAGGCTCACAATGAAGCTTCTATAAATTTCTGGACCTCTGTCATGCTGGCATGTATGTCATTCTCCTTTAGGAATGATGAAGAGACTGGAAAGCGGTTGCTCCAAGGGAAGGGATAATTTTGCAAACCTGAGCTGTCTAAGCTCAGCATGAATTGGAGTGGGCTGCTGACTCAGGCTAGCAGAGGCAGCCAGGAAACATGCAAATCTGCAATCCGTTCTGCCAGGTCTGTCGCAGCAGGTGTCACTAAAGGCACCCCTGTGTGCTTGTCACTGTGGCAGCCTTGACAAGGAAGGTGGAAAGGAAAAAGAGACCCAGTGCTGAACTCCAAGCAGAGATGGGGCTTTTCTCTATGCATATTTTCCCTCCCCTCCCAGCCTGCATTTCCAATAACATATTGATTTATATTTGTATTATGAAACAAAAGTGGTTGTAATCAGATGTTCTTTCCTTTTACACACAATGTTAGCTCCTATTTACATTCCTAACTGAACAATGTCTAAAGAGGTATTTAAACTGATGTAAAACGCAGATAATCTCATGACCAAATGCTTAGCGCAAGAAAAAACTTCAATTTGCAAGAGAAGTCCCTCCAAATACAGAAAAGACCAGTATTGTAAGAGGTACCTTAACTAAAATGTAGCAATGTAAGGCGCAGAGCAGGAAGAACTTTTAAGTCTGAAACTTACAACAAGTCAATTTCATAGTCAGTTTCCCTGGGCCTTCCACAACAGCCTCCGGCACCTGTTTTCTCTACAATGGAGGTAACAATAGTAGCTATTTCAGAGCAGGAAAAGGCTTAGAGCAGTGCTAGAAGAGGGTCGTGGCTATATAAAGTTTAGCTATTTGTATATTGTAAGAAACCAACGATGTGTTCTTTTATCGGTAGTCAGTAATGGATTTCTTGTGGGAAAGTAGCAGCCTCCTATGGGGGGAACACCCGCAGGTCCCACTAAGTGAACACTGGTGTCTGCTAACCTTTGCCTCTATTTGTCGCAATAATATACTGTCAAGCTGTTCCTTGAGTTAGCAATTTTATTTACATTCTTTTTTTTTTCCTTTCCCTTTTCCTGCCACAGAGTCCCGCTCTGTCGCCCAGTCTGGAGTGCAGCAGCGCCATCATAGCTCACTGCCACCTAGAAGCCGGGGTGAAGCAATCCTCCTCCATCAGCCTTCAGAGTAGCTGGGACTACCTGCGCGGCCCACCACACCCGGCTAATCTTTGTGGTTTTTGTTTTGTTTTCCGTTCTGGGTTTCCGTCGGGCGCAGTGGCTCAGGCCTGCAATCCCAGCACTTTGGAAGGCAGAGGTGGGCGGATCACCCGAGGTCGGAGACCAGCCTGACCAACATGAAGAAATCCCGTCTCTACTAAAAAAAAGAAAAAAACTACAAAATTAGCCGGATATGGTGGCTCATGCCTGTAATCCCAGCTACTAGGGAGGCCCAGGCAGGAGAATCACCTAAATCCGGGAGGCCGAGGTTGCGGTGGGCAAAGATCACACCATTGCACTCCAGCCTGGACAACAAGGGTGAAACTCCATCTCAAAACAGAGACCGGGTTTCACCATGTTGCCCAGGCGGTCTGGAACTCCTAGGCTCAAGCGATCTGCCACACTCGGCCTTCCAAAGTCCTGGGATCACAAGGGGGAGGCACCACGCCAGGCCGATCTATTCCTTTCTGGTTACTAAATTGGACCGGGGGCGCGGTGGCTCACGCCTGCAATCCCAGCACCCAGGGAGGCGGAGGCGGGCGTATCACTCGAGGTCAGGAGCTCGAGATCAGCCCGACCAACACGGAGAAACCCCGTCTGTACCAAAAAAATAAAACCAAAATTAGCTGGCATGGTGGCTCATGCCTGCAATCCCAGACACTCAGGAGGCTGAGGCAGGAGAACCACCTAAACCCGGGAGGTGGAGGCCGCGGTGAGTCGAGACCACGCCACTGCACTCCAGCCTGCAAAACGAGCGAAACTCCACTCAAAAAAAAAAAAAAAAAGACAGTGTTTCACCACGTTGCCCAGGCCGGTCTGGAAGTCCTAGGCTCAATCGATCGCCGCGCTCGGCCGTCCACAGTACTGGGATCACAAGCATGAGCTACCACGCCAGGCCGATCTATTCCTTTCTGGTTACTAAATTGGACCGGGGGCGCGGTGGCTCACGCCTGCAATCCCAGCACCCAGGGAGGCGGAGGCGGGCGGATCACCCGAGGTCAGGAGCTTGAGATCAGCCCGGCCAACACGGAGAAACCCCGTCTGTACAAAAAAAAAACCACCAAAATTAGCTGGCATGGTGGCTCATGCCTGCAATCCCAGCCACTCAGGAGGCTTAGGCAGGAGAACCACCTAACCGGGAGGTGGAGGCCGCGGTGAGTCGAGACCGGAAAACACTCTAGCCTGGAAAACAAGAGCGAAACTCCGCTCAAAAAAAAAAAAAAAAAAAAAAAAAAGACCGTGTTTCACCATGTCGTCCAGGCTGGTCTGGAACTCCTAGAACCTGTAGATGTTACCTCATTTGGAAAAAGCATATTTTCAGGTATGATTAAGTTAAGGATCTTGAGGAGAGATTATCCTGGATTGTCTCCGTGGGCATTAAATCCTGGCACATATATCCTTATAAGAGGGAGATAAAGGAGATTTAACTTCAGACAGAAGAGAAGGAGGCCCTGTGACCAAGAAGGCAGAGCCTGGAGTGGTGGAGCTGCAAGCCAATGAATGCCAGCAGCCATCAGAAGCTGCGCAAGTCAAAGGATGGATTTTCCCCTCAGCCTCTGAGAGCACTGGCTCTGCTGAGACCTAGATTTCAGCCCAGTGATACTGATTTTGGACTTCTGATATCCAAAACTGTGAGAAAATAAATTTCTGTTGTTTTAAGTCACCACATTTTTGGTAATTTGCTCTAACAGCCACAGGAAAGTAACATACATGCCTACCTGGGTCCAGTTGTGTCCTGTGACTCCTGCTTTCCTGGGACAGGCAGGCTGCTCCGTGCCTCCTGGCCATCCTACTGGGTGCTGGACGCTGTAGGCTGCTCCATGCCTGTTGGCCATTCCCTTTGGTGCTGGACAGCACTCACATTGTGAAATCCACTGGCCCTGTGAAAAACACCTGGAAATGTTACCAGGAGAGGGGTTAGTTCTCTTTTTGGCAACCCATGTTATTGCTTATGGCTTAATATCTGTGCCTCCAAGATCCCTTCTCTCTGCCTTCATCGATGCCAGGAAAGCAGTCACCTTTTGCCTTTCTTTGCTTCTCAGCAAGTGGCATGTCTCCATGTCACTTTAAGCATCAAGCACACGGAGCCCAATAAGATGCTGAAAAGTGTCTGCCTACAAGGTTACAAGGCGGTGGAGACATTCTGAGCCGGTAACTGCAGGGCTCAGTAAAACCGCTACAGGAAATCTCAAGTTCAAAATGCTGAAGTGAAAAATGGGTGATCACAACGAAGGGAAACACAAACCCCTTCTTTTAAAAACATTATGGTGATAAGGCACAACATAAAATTTACCATATTAGCCACTTGTAAGTATACAGTGCAGTAGTGTTAAAAATATACGTTGAGTAACGAGTTTCTAGAACTTGCTTCTCTTGGAGAACTGAAACTATAGCCACTATACAACAACTCCCCATTTCTCTATCCCCTGGCTTATGGAAACAACCGCTCTATTTTCTGTTTCTATGAGTTTGACTAATTTCGAACCTAATGTAAGAGAAATTGTACAGCATTTGTCTTTGTGTGATGGGCTGATTTCAATTAGTGTAATGTTTTCAAGGTTCATCTATATTGCAGCATGTGACAGGGCTTCTTTCTTTTTTAAGGCTGATAATTTTATAGTATTCCGTTGCATGGATAGACCACATTTATTTATTCATTTATTTATTTATTTATTTACTTATTTATTTATTGAGACAATCTCACTCTGTTGCCCAGGCTGGAGTGCGGTGGCATGATCATGGCTCACTGCAGTCTGAATCTCACATTCTCAAGCGATCCTGCCGCCTCAGCCTCCTGAGTAGCTGGGACTACAGGCACATGACACCATGCCTGGATATTCGTCTTTCTGTGTAACTGGTTGAGAAACAGGGGAGTAACAGTGAAGAAACGGTCTTAGAATAAATCTGGTGACAGCAGAAGAGAATATGAGACAGATTGTGCTCACAGAGCCTTGAAGAGTGTGACAGTATTTGAGGGCCACGCTGTTGTCTTAGAGTGAAGTGAGGAGAACCTGCACTGGTTTGGTAGTCATGGGAATGGAAGGAGGAAAGAAATGTGAAAGCTCATCGGTGGCAGAGTCAAAATGGCTTGGTCTTTGTAGTCAACGATTAAGTGAGAAGGAGGAATTACTGGCTGACTTAGAAGAAGTAAAAAACGTGAAATACCGATAAAACACAAATCTCGTGATTTTAGTCAGCGTAAAGACTAAGCATTGTGTGATTCTAGATATATTATTAAGCAGTTTTGTTCCAGTATTTTATATCCCATATCTTCTAGCTATGACCCTATTTCTTTGTTTCTTGACATAGACAAACATTTTTTAAACTAAGAGCTTTATTGTGATACAGTTTTTGTATGATAAGCCTCACCCTTCAAGTGTACAGTTCAGTGGTTTTTAGTATATTCAGAGTTATGCAGCCATTACCACTCCCTAATTTCAGAACATTTTCATCTCCCCAAAAAGAACCCCGTACCCACTAGCAGTCACTCCCTGTAGCTCTCTCCCCCACCATTGATCCTGGCAACCTCTGATCTAACTTCTATCTCTGTAGATTTGCCTATCCTGGGCATTTCATATAAATAGAATCATACAACAGTGGCATTTTGTGACTGATTTTTCTTTACAGTGATTATAAATCAAATGCCTGAAGACACTAAGCTTAGGATAGTGTTTGCTGTACAACTTTGATAACTGAACTTTTGTAAAGCTGAAAATGTGACTGTGTCTGTATATGTGGCATATTATCCTTAGATGATCCTTACTTCGATTATTAAGAATTTTTTCCCCTAGTAATCTTCAACTGTCTCAATATTCAGCAGGAACCCCTTGGAGACAAAGATCAGTACGAATTTGGAACACCTATTGACAAAATGAATGTAATTTAATTTAGTACAGTAGTAAAGTCAACCACTTTTAGGTGTTGATGCTGCTGAAAGTGTATATTAAGGAAAAGCTTACTTACCTTACTTTTTGTGGAGGTGCTAGAACTACTTCTGTCTTGTGTTTAGATTTCAAGAAACCTTTGCATGGGCATTATGTGGTTGCACAAATGTACTTCGTTTTGACCTGAAAATGCAAAAACTTCCTTTCTTCCCACTTTCTGAGACTCTGCAACCTTAAAGGAAGAGTGGGGTTCTTTAAAGGAAAGGTGGTGGTGGTTGGGTCATGGGTAACAATGTCTACTGTGTACTTCCTTTCCCAAAACAAGTCCCTGTCTACCGTCAGCATTTCCAAAATTTGAAGGTCAAGTGTGGTGTTAACTCATGAACTAATGACTAGACTTTGAGCGGTTGTGGAAGCAAAATCTCAGTGAGTGCCTGGATGTTCTAATTCTGTTAAGTCAGTGAGTGCATATTCTGTACAATACTCTCTTAGCCCAGTGGCAGGTTTAAGGAGTGGGAGAGAGATTTCTATGTTTCGGAAATCAGATACACAAAGAATAAAAATTTTTAATCCCATGAATCTTTGCCCGAGTTTAATTTCTTGGAGAGTTTTTCTTTTAGATTTTCTTTCCCTTCCATTAAACTTTTACTTAGAAAGGTCCCAGGGTTTGGGCAAAGCAAGTGGGAAAGACACTTGCTTGGGTTCTCCAGGATAAGGGATTGAAGAGGACTTCTTTCCCTCATTTTATTATTGAATAATGTCACAATAACAATTATTAAGGTGAATAGTCTACAGTGGAAGTGTTTAGATGCCTTGTCTGCAAAATAATTTGGTTTAGTCAACCCAAGGATGCCTTTGGTTAGCTGGAATGGGAGATGTGCAGGTTAGAGTGGTCTTGGCAAGTCTTCCAGGGGGAAATACAGCATTTGGAAGGGTAGGAAGCAGAAGGAATCTCAGGCAAGGGAAAGGCGTGGGCAGAGCCCCGGAGGACAGAACAGGTTGTGGTGGACTTGGTGTCCACATAGACCTAATTAGTGGTCTTAGCTTTTGTGTTTTCAAAATTACCACAGTTTGTGTTCTAAAACTGTCATTCTCTTGATTTTATTTTAGATATACTATCTGTGTATTTTGAAATTTAAAATAACAGTAAAGGAGAAACGAATTTATTTTGTTTGAGAAAGAGTTAAAAGGTTAAAACATCTTGATCTTAATAATTTTCTAATGGGAGATTTGGTACACCCCCAGAAGTTGTCTTTGGTTCAGAGAATAGTCTTCAGATCTAGAAAGGACTTGAGAAGTCCCAGAGAGGTGCTGCATGGTCTGAACCATTTGATTCTCACGACAGAATGGATAAAAACAATTTGAACCAGGAAACCATGCAGATGTTCATATTTTGGATAGGGTAAGGTCAGTGCCGTCGTCAGAGGAAAAACTCTCGGCCATCACAGGATGGGAGAGAAAGTTTGAGTTGTGAAGAATACTCAAATGCCGTTTAAGGAAATGGGTTCTTCTGCACCTATTCTTTGGAATATTTAGGGCTAAGTTCTTAGTTTTTGACATCATAAAAATGTCAAAGTATTCTGTTCTAAGAGCCATTTCAAACAACTGACTAGAATTTCAGAGCAATTACATGAGAGTAATACCATTAAAATGTTTAAATTACCCATAGTCCTATATCCCTAACAAGTATGTTCACGCTTGCATGTTCTCTTCTCATCTTTACTGTGTGCATACTTTCTTAGTAATGGCACGTAGACATTGTTTAAGCAGGAATAATTCTCGAGATAATTTTGTATGTTTCCTTTTTTCTTTTTAAGGTAGGTATTGGGTGGAGGAGCATTATATTTGCAACTTCTCGCAAAACACGTGATTATTTTCTTATAATATTCAATTTTCACCCTCAATAGAGTGTTTTGATTATGTAAGTTAGACAGAAAGTAGAAGGTTCTCTTAGAGAAATTTTAGTGTTTTTTTTTCATAGCTCCTACTTTCAAGAATGAAAAAGGTAAACCAGTAAAATGACACTGTACTTGGTGCTGCATCTATGCTGGGATAGGCATTAAGAGTGACCTTTATTTAAGGTTCTAATTTGCTCATGTTGGGCACTTAGAACGTCAGTTTGTTGCTTTTTGTGAGATTTTGGAAATGGTCCAATTTTACTTTTTCCCCTTGACTCCAGACTTTTTAACACTGATCTGCTGCTGTTGAGGCATATGCCGTTTTGTTAGGCCTCCTCAAGTGGGAGTCAGGAATGCTGCTGTGTTCCAGAGAGGTTTTGTTCTTCCTGTAGGGCTGAAGCAGTGCCTACTCAATAAAACCAGTCATCGTGCAAAGAAATGCCACCTGACCCAAAGGCAAAGCCAGAGTGCAGCTTGGAGCAAAGAAGGTATTTTATTAAGAATTTTACATAAACCATAAGATATATTTTATATTACTTTGCGAGCCTTCTTCCTGTCTTGACTTAATTCTTTTTGAGAGAATTCATTTCATTTTCATTTGGTTGGTTTTCTTCTTGTTACAAAGATGATCTATAGAAAATATAGAAGTATAAGAAAATTAAAGATACTAACTGATAATTGCTTAATGATTTAGTATCTGCTTGTTTAGTCTTTGTTATATTTACAGTAGGCAAACATGTCTACCGTTGTGAATTTATTACTGGTATGTATACCCTAGTAAGTTAAAAGTTGTACGTACTTTGAAGTTTTGCAAAATTGAGTTCATATTATAGAATTAATTCCTGATGAAATTTTATGTGCTAGGCACTGGTCTTTTTATTTAATTATTTATTTTTACTTTTTTTTCCTCTGTGCCTATGCTTACCAAGTCTTTTTATTTTTTACTTTTTATTAACTCTTTTAATCCTCTGGATAAATTAAAAAGAGGGTATTATTAATATCTGCATTTTGTAGATGAGGTAACTGAAGGTAGGTAACTTGTCCAAGGTCACAGGTGGCAGAGCAAGGATTAAAACTAGACAGTCTGGCTGCCCAAGGCCCAAAGAAGAGGAGCTGAGAGCAAGCCACTGGGCAGAAGGATGTTGGTCAGGCTGGTTTCCTGTTCAGTTAACAGGAAACGCAGGCTTAACCTTAATTCTAGGACGTTACCGAGAAAGCCTTCCAAAGCCATAGGTTTTTTACCATGACCATGACTTCTTTTTTTTTTTTTTGAGACAGAGTCTCACTGTGTAGCCCAGGCTGGAGTGCAGTGGCGCGATCTCGGTTCACTGCAGCCTACCTCTCTTGACAGTCCTCTGGTTAAAGTGATTCTCCTGCCTCAGCCTCCCGAGTAGCTGAAATTACAGGCGCCGGCCACCACGCCTGGCTAGCTTTTGTGTTTTTAGTAGAGACAGGGTTTCACCGTGTTGGCCAGGCTGGTCTTGAACTCATGACCTCAAATGACCCACCTCTGCCTCCCAAAGTGCTGGGATTCCAGGCGTGAGCCACCGTGCCAGGACCCAAGGCCCTTAAGTTTTAACTTCTCATTCTTCAGTCAGGTTTTCCTTGTTCCTGCGTGTTCAGCCATTTGTTTTTAAGTTTGTGTTGAAGGAGAAACTAACAATGAAAATGGACTTGTTGACGGAAGAAAAGTAGGAATGCAGCCTCTGGTGCTGTTTGAGTGATCCCTCTGCCCCAGGCCTGGCTGCGCGCTGCTGTGTTCTGGAAAGGCGCATTGTGCCCTCGCTGTGGCAGGTAAGAGTCCTGTACAGGTGCTCTGCCCACTTTACCTTTCAGGCTTCTGTATCAGCTGTTTTTCCCTTGTAGAATGTGCCCCTGACCTGTGCCCCTGACTTCCACCCCTTAACCCTGCCCAATACATCTTTACATGTCTGACCATCAAGACTCTTCTGGGTCATATTCAGTTCATGCTGATATTTTCCCTTCCTCCCCTCTTTAGTCCTTACTATTTTTGCTTTGGTCATGTTATGCTATATTCTGTAAGCCTTTAAAAATTTTGTTGTATCATGGCAGGGGAGAATATTTTATAATTATGCTTTGTGCGTTTTATCTTCCACTCAATGAATGCTTGGTAAATATTTGTTTTATTGAGTATATGACCCTTTTCTAGCTATACCGTGAACAAAAATGTTAACTGCCTTGTACGTTAACTGCTAAGAATTTGTCAAAAGTGCAGAGATGACATCCAGAACTTGTCAGAATATTACAAAAAGGTCTCTAAGGGCATGATGGAGGTCTGTAAATTGACTTCATGTGAAAGAGTGTAAGAAGTGAAAATGTGAAGCATGACTGGAGAGCCGGAGTGATAAAGCAAGGGTCCCTTTCTCCAGATCCTTTGTAACAGTGTCATGTGACCTCTTCTAGATCATTCTGAAAGACAATGCCAGCTCGGAACCTAGGAAAGCATCCAGTGGGTTTCTGCATGTTAGGTGGTTCAAATCCTCATTAGCACCTTTGTTTTCTCTGCCTCAGTTTGCTTACAGTGATGTTCTCAGTAGCTGTAATTGCTGTCTGTCTTTGAATATTTAAGCATTTTTTTTTTTAGATCACAGGGTATATGTGCATTTTTATTTTACCAAGTGTTAGAATTTTTACTCTGCCTTTGTGGGCTCTGGGTTAGCTACTTGGCTGTTTCATCGTAAAATGATTAGCAGGAAAAACTGTGTGTGTGTGTGTGTGTGTGTGTGTGTGTGCGCGTGTGTATTTTAAGTTTCTTAATTGGGTTGGTACATGTAAACCATTTAGAACAGTGCCTGCTGCATATCACATCCCCATCAGTATTCACGTCTCTCATATTCTACCCTCACACTTGATTGATAGTTTGCTTGATTACGTATTTCTAGGTTGAGGATAATTTTACCTTAGAATTTCAAAGTCTGTGCTGTTGTCTTCTAACCAGTCGTGGTGGCGAAGCCTCATGCCATCCTGAGTTTCACTTGTTTATGCATGACTTTCTCCCTGGAAGCTTTTAGGAGTTTGTCTTTTCCTTGGTGAGCTGAAATAGCACAACAGTGTACTTAGTGTGGGTCTTTTTTCATTCATTATGCTGGGTACACCAAATGAACAGGCCTATGGATAGGCTCTTTCAAAGTTGGAGTCTTGAATCTTGTCATATTTTTGTTGTTAACTTTCTCTTTTCCATTTTATTTGTTCATTTGGAAGTGTCTGTTAATTGGATTTTAGACCTCTTGTCTTGAGTCTTATATCTCACGTTATTTCTAAATGTTTTTTAAATTTTCAGTTCTGGAATATTTTCTTATCTTTCGACTTTCAGGAAATTTTATTTGGACTGTCATAACTTTAAGTTTTGTTTTGGTTATTTATTGTTGCTTAACCAATTATCCCAAAACCTAATGGCCTAAAACTACACATCTGTCTATCTGTCACGGCTGTATGGATTACCTGGGGCTAGCTGGACAGTTTTTCTGCTGGTCTCATTTGGCAGCTCTCACTGTGTGGTTAAACAGTGTCAGGGACTGGTCATCTGGATGCTCAGCTGCAGTGGAATGTCTGAGACGGCTTCTTTACCCACAGGTCTGCTGCCTTGGTGATTCTTGATGTGGCCTTTCTCTCTGCATAGCATCTCATCCTCTCGGATCTCTTCATGTGGCTTTTCTTTCTCCAAGAAGGTAGCCAATTCTTATTTTTGGCTTCCAGAAGCACAGAAATGGAGCTGCCAGGAGTTCTTAAGGCTTAGACCTGGAACAGGTCCAGTGTCATTTCTACCACATGCTATAGGTTAAAGTGAGTGTTGGGGCCAACCCAGATTGACTATGGGATGGGCCTGTCTGAGGACATGATGACAGGAGGTATGGCTCATTGGAGACCAACTCCCAAGATGGAGCATGAGTTCTAAGAACTTTTTCTTCTCTGATTATTTCTTATTCATATTGTTTTGTTTTATACATGTAATATATTCACAAGTGTCTTTATGAAGTGATTTTGATACTCTTTGTCTTCTCCCTGGCATCTCCTTGTTCTTTAATAATTTTTTTCTTAGTTTATTTTGGTCTTATTTTTCTTTTTAAAGCCTTTCCTTAAATATCTATTCTATGTTGCTTATCATTTGTAGTCTTTTTTTTTTTTTTTTTTTTTGAGACCCAGTTTCGCTCTTGTTGCCTAGGCTGGAGTACAATGATGTGATCTTGGCTCACCACAACCTCTGCCTCCAAGGTTCAAGCAGTTCTCCTGCCTCAGCCTCCCAAGTAGCTGGGATTACAGGCATGTGCTACCACGCCCAGCTAATTTGTGTATTTTTAGTAGAGATGGGATTTCTCCATGTTGGTCAGTCTGGTCTGGAACTCCCAACCTCAGGTGATCCACCCACCTCGGCCTCCCAAAGTGCGGGATTACAGACATGAGCCACCGTGCCTGACCTGTAGTCTTTTTTCCATTCCTTTATTTGTTCATTCATATTTGAGAGAGGTACTAAAAGACTGGGAGCCGAGGTGTGGTGGCTCACACCTATAATCTCAGTGCTTTGGGAGACCGAAGTGGGAGGATCACTTGAGCCCAGGAGCTCAAGACTAGTTTGGGCAACATAGTGAGACCCCATCTTTACAAAAAAAAAAAATAGCTAGGTGTGGTGACACCCATCTGCAGTCCCAGCTACTTGGGAGGCTGAGGCAGGAGGATTGCTTGAGCCCAGGAGGTTGAGGCTGCAGTGAGCTCTGATCATGCCACTGCATTCCTGCATTCCAACCTGGGCGAAAGAGCAAGACCCTGTCTCAAAATAAATAAATAAATAAATAAAAATAAAAATAAATAAAAATTGATTGGGAGTTCTTTGTGGCCAAGACTTGTCAACTGATAGCTTTAAGGGGAATGTATGCTGATTCCTAATTGTTATCCTCCATCCCTCTATCTTATCTCCTGTTGCAATCATAAATGATGGCTGGATGACTACTCCATTCCTCTGGATGTAAAATCTACATTCTCTTGCCTGAGGTGGATACGTTTGCTTGGGTTCTGTTTAAGGAGATGGGGCCAGCAGTGTGTTTCAGGGCCTGTGAAATGTGTTCTCTATCCGGGCTTTTGCTTAATCTCTGTTTTCAGTCTTGCCTATCAGTCCCACTGTCGGGGGTACCTCGTGTCTGAGTCTAGAACCTTTCCAGGTTGCTGTGGGACAGATTAGCCTCCTTGTTCTCAGTATCCCCCTGACCTCCACCTTTGTTGCTTTGCTCCATGAATTAACCATTTTCCATGTACTGTCATTGTCTAATGAAGATGAATTCTCTTCTGTTGGTAACCCCATTCCTTTTTTGTAATGGTGTGCTTATACAATGTTTATTCTTCACTGTATTTCTATTGGAGCCTCAGGACAAAGAGCAGATGGTGAGAATCTGTGTTCAGTGTTAAGTTTTCCTTCTGTAAGACATGTGCAACTTGTGTTTTTCACTGAATAGATCATGGACTTAATGCATATAGAGCTACTTTGTTTTTCATGATTGTGCCTTCAATTATATGTAGAAATATAATTTGTGAATTGCCTGATGAAATTTTCCTAATTTTGAATTATCTTTGCATTCCTATAATAAACACTGTTAGAATGGCTATGGTAATATTTTATTTTTGCATTTTTACTTCTGTATTAAATAAGATTATAGTTTTGTTTGTTTCCTTTAAGGCTGTTATTTCAGTATCAAGGGTATGCAGGGCTGAGTTGGGAAGCTTTACATCTTTTTTCTAAGATCTAGGATGTAGATCTGGTTTACACAGTAATTTTCAACTGCAGGAGTATTTTGCCTCCTATGGGACGTTTGGAAATATCTGGAGACATTTTTGTGGTCACAACTGGTCATGGTCGGGAGGTCTCATTGGCATTCTGTGGGTAGAGGGAATGTTACTAAATGCCCGACAACACACCAAGAGAACCCTCCACAAAGAATTATCTGGCCCAATATATCAATATTGCTGAGGATGACAAATTCTGGTTTAAATATCCAATTTGGAGGATGAGTCTTTGTCTTTTTCCTTCTTCTGCATATTGGTCTCCAGATTTCCCACTTCTTCAGTTACTTTTCGTAACTGTAGGTTCTTAAAAAAAAATGAACACTTTGGATGGGTGCGATGGCTCATGTCTGTAATCCCAGCACTTTGGGAGGCCGAGGCAGGTGGATCACGAGGTCAGGAGATAGAGACCATCCTGGCTAACATGGTGAAACCCTGTCTCTACTAAGCCAAAATACAAAAAATTAGCCAGGCGTGGTGGCGGGCGCTTGTAGTCCCAGCTACTCAGGAGGTTGAGGCAGGAGAATGTTGTGAACCCGGGAGGCGGAGCTTGCAGTGAGCCAAGATCACGCCACTGCACTCCAGCGTGGGTGACAGAGCGAGACTCCGTCTCAAAAAAAAAAAAAAAAAATGAACATGTCATCCATACTTCTAAGGTGTTGTAAAGATGTGTAAAGTTTTCACTTTTTGCATCATATTCACATGTGGCTATATGCCCTTTTCTCTTCAAAGTTTTCTTTATCTTGATTACTTATCAGAGGCTTGACTGTTTTATTATCTCAGTCTTTTGAAAGAATCCTCCTTTAGTTTTATTTTTTAAATCTAGTGGTTTTTCTTTTTCCTTAGGTCTTAATTATTTCCCCCTTTTTGTTTGTTTTGCTTTTCCTAGTTTAGTGGATCAATGTAATTTAAATTGCTTTTTAAACAAACGTGTAAGGGTATACATTTTCGTTGGCTGCTGTTTGACTTCGTTGCACAAGTTTTAAAATCTATTTTTTAATAGTTTGTATTTTCTAAATTATTTTATTGCATCTTTTGTTCACATTGCTCTTACTATTAATTTTTTATTTTAATTAATTAATTAATTAATTAATTAATTGAGATGGAGTCTTGCTCTGTAGCCCAGGCTGGAGTGCAGTGGCATGATCTTGGCTCACTGCAAGCTCCACCTCGGGGGTTCATGTCATTCTCCTGCCTCAGCCTCCCAAGTAGCTGAGACTACAGCTGCCTGCCACCACATCCGGCCTTTTTTGTATTTTTAGTAGAGATGGGGTTTCACCGTGTTAGCCAGGATGGTCTCGATCTCCTGACCTCATGATCCACCCACCTTGGGCTCTCAAAGTCCTGGAATTACAGGCATGAGCCACTGCACCCAGCCCAAAAGCTTTGTGCTTTTACAGATATTAGACATGTTTCTTGTTTAAGAAAAAAAATCTTAACGAAAACGTAGGAGAATAAGAGAAACATTTTTCCAAAAAAGAGAAATCATTGTGATTATTTTATCTTATTAGAATGTTGGATAATATAGTCTGCTTCATTAATCATCAAGCATGCTATGCATTTTCCATTTTTATAGGATCTGTATCTCAGTTAAGGTAATACTGGTAATTTTTGTACTGTAATCAAAGATGAAAAATATAGGCCAAAATCATAGACCTTGCATAGAAGCTGGATAATGAAGACAGCTATGGAGAAAAACATAGATACACACACATGGACACACATATATATAAAGTATACACACATATATTTTTTAAAGTTTTAAAGCTTTTAAAGCAAAAGCCAGCCCCTCTTCTCTTCCAGAGTGGGAGGCCTCTCCCCTCTCTTAGAGTGGGTGGGGAGAGCGGTTGCCATGGGCAGCTTTCCTTGTGAGCCACAGGGCCCTCTGGACACGCTGCTGTCTGGCCACGCCCCCTTTCCCTTTCATCTTTCTCATTGACCAATGGGCTTGGAGCATTAAGGCCACGCCCCTATTCCGCATTCTACTGGGTCCCTGGTTACGCCTCCTCTGGCTCAGTCACACAGCTGCCTGGTAGGTGACTGGAGGCCTTGATCGGTTCTTATTGGGATTTTGCTGCTGTGGCCCCAACCCTTCCTCCCTCCCCACCCTGCAATGGCAGAAGAAACTCAACACAACAAATTGGCTGCAGCCAAGAAAAAGGTAAAAACGCACTAGGTCATAGCCCCTCAACCCAGCCACAGATCCCCTCTGATGACAAGACCCCTGCCAGAGTCTATATGACTCCTGAGGCACACTGGACTGGTCCCCCCAACCCCGGTGCCTTGGGCTACCCCCACCAAAGTTTTGTCAGTCAGCCCCACCCCTTCAGCAAGCAGCCCAGTCCTTGCCCTCGCCAATCACCCCAGGGTGACTTTGGGTGGGTGACTCCTGGGGCTTCCCGCTCCATTACTGGGCCCTCATCTCCTGCCGCCCCAAGCTTGATCTCCGTGGGCTCTTTGGGCTCTCATCTCCAAGGAGCCAGGCCCCACCCTCGCCAGTCATCCTTGGGTGACTTTGGGCTGGTGACTCCTGGGACTCCCTGCTGCAGACTGTGCCCTCCCCTCCTGCTGCCTCAAGGTCGACCTCCCTGGGTTCTTTGTGCTGGCGTCTCCAAGGAGCTGGGTCCCAACCCTGTGCTTCCCTCCCCCATCGTGGAGCAGCGACTTGGACATGGTGCTGACATGGTCCCTCCCCCCGACCAGGAGGAGTGGAATGTTGTGATGTCACAGTCCACCTAGTAACTGCCGTTACTGCAAGACTGGCCTTTGACCTTACGACCCAGTCCCCTAAGCGTTCTCACCCCGTTTCTGGTTCCTCTGGTCACAGCACAAATTTCCAGCTGGAAGGGGAATGGAGACTATGGGACCTAGGAGCAAGAGGTTCCAGGCTGCCTCACTCCCTTACAGATGTTGACGGTGGGAAAAGCCTACACTTCCCCCATGAACTCAAAACATTGACAGTATCTCTGGGTGGCAATGAGAGAATGGGTTTGATTTGGTTTTCTCCCAGGCTTCTACTTTCCAGAGAGATTTTAACAATTTTTTCTGAGTTCTCCACCTCATATTCTAATTCTCCATGGTTCTGGGACCAGACTCTCCTTCAGTCAGTGGTCTCTGAAGTGAGATTTGCTCATCTTCTGTGGAATAGATCTTGGGAAACTGAACTTGACACCTTGAATCTTCCTCATATTATCTCAACCTTGGGTACTTTGAGTGCCACAGGATAAATGTGGGACATCTTTCTGAAGCATCAGTTTCCCTTGATTCTCTTGAGATCAAGAGAAAAAACATGAATGTACTTAGGGAGGACAGTCACATAGGTTTCTAAGAGTATACCAGACCTCTCTCTGAAATGAGGCTTGGGTTGTCCTCTTTCTGATAAATTCTGATTTAAGAGAAAGGCTGCCTTCTGCCATGAGGACACATTGATATAAAAGTTTGAGAGGTACTGGTGCACTTCTTCACACTAACAGACGTGTGAGGATGTATGACTAAACCACATGGCATACATTTCCTGCCTACTTAATGTTTACTTTTCTACCTCTGCCTCTGGTTTTGGTCCCTGGCAGCTGCTGATTCTTGGCAAAACCTCAGAGCTTGGAGTCAGAAGACTGAGTCTCAAAGTTCCAGTATTGCCTTTTTCTTTTTTTTTTCTAGCCATGATATCAATCCTTCTCAGTCACTAAATGAGTGTGACAACACCTTGTACAGTTGTTGGTGTCATTAAATCAGATGGTGTGTAAGTGTATTTTGTAAAAACTGTAAAGGAGGTTGTGGCTGTAGGGGCTGACGGTTCTCATGAATATTACTGCTCTTCTTTCCAACAGTTAAAAGAATATTGGCAGAAAAACAGACCTAGAGTTCCAGCAGGAGTGAACAGGAACAGGAAAACAAATGGCAGTATCCCTGAGACAGCCACTTCCGGTGGTTGCCAGCCACCTGGGGATGTGAGTCTTGGCTGACCAGGCTTCTGGGGACAGGGGGCCCAAGGGGCAATAGAGGGTAATTCTTAAGATTGTGGATGGACTGCTGGGTACTGGTTAAGAATTCTGGCTTTAGCCGGGTGTGGTGGCCCACGCCTGTAATCCTAGCACATTGGGAGGCCAAGACAGGCGGATCATGAGGTCAGGAGATCGAGACCATCCTGGTTAACACGGTGAAACCCTGTCTCTACTAAAAATACAAAAACATTAGCCACGCGTGGTGGCGTGTGCCTGTAGTCCCAGCTACTCAGAAGGCTGAGGCAAGAGAATGGTGTGAACCTGGGAGGTGGAGCTTGCAGTGGCCAAGATTATGCCACCGCACTCCAGCCTGGTGACAGAGCAAGACTCTGTCTCAAAAAAAAAAAAAGGAATTCTGGGTTTGAATCCTGCCTCTCCATCTGCTCTGCTAGGGATATGATTTAGGGCAAGTTGCTAGACCTCATTGGGCCTCTCTTTTCACATCTGTATAATAGAGGTGTTATTGTTTCACTTCCATTTGTGAAGTTTAAATGAGATTTGTTATTGTTGTTTTTATGTTAATCCCTAGTACATGGCCTGCTGTAAACACTCAGGACACCCAGGATATGGTTTGATTTTCCTCATCCCCAGTCTCAAGGGGAAACCAGGACAAAGAGAACAGCCACTTGCCATCAGGAGTCACTGAAGGGGCCCCAGGATGGGATGGTGGGGAGATAAGAACCATGAGAGAAGTTGGCACAAAGGAGTTATGGGACAAAAGGTCCAAGATAGGCAGAAAAGAAAATGTTGCAGTTGATGGGGAAGAAAGGAAGTCAGAGGGCTCAGACACTGTGGGGGACAGAACATCTCCATGTGCACTCTCATCTCTTGTAGTCAGCAACAGGTTTCCACAGGGAAGGCCCTACATCATCTGCTACCCTGAAAGATCTGGAGGTAAGAGGCTCTGGGTGGAGGTGCAGTGACCCTTCGGGTCAACCCTCCAACCTCCTCCTCCAGGTGGGACTGGGTGCCCCTCTGCCAGCTGAGACAGCCCACACACCCCAGCCCTAACGATCGTTCTCTCTACCTCTCTCCCCACTCCTGCTCCACCTCCTCCTCTCTGCATGCACCTCAGAGCCCGTGCCAAGAACGAGCAGTAGTCCTGGATTCAACGTCCGTAAAAATCAGTCGACTGAAGAACACCATCAAATCTTTGGTAAGAGTCCGGTGGGGTCCCCTGATTCCACGCTGCCAATCCTGGGCTCCAGTTTCCCCTTGGGGCCCTGAAGAAAGGGGCTGGGGGTCCCTGGTGCCCGGGACAAATAGGGAGCTTGGGTGCCCAGGCCTCACCTGGAGGGACCCCAGAGCATGCAGCATGGCTCTTCTTTTGCTGCCCTCTTTGCCGACTCTCTCCTCTCCAGACACCCCTGCTCGAGTCCTTGCTACACACGCCCTGGGGTTGTTGCCTCTTGGGGAAGTGCTAGCCTGACTGGTTGTCAAGGGCCCCGTATTTCTGCCATGACTCAGTCCCTAATTTGCTCTTTGATTCTGGACAAGCCACCTCTCCTTTTTGGGCTCGTGTTTCCAGAGGAGGTAGTGAGTATCAAAGGTCTCTGTTAGCTCTCGAGTCTGAGATTTAAAGGCCCCCGGGAATGGAAACCTCAGGGCTAAGGGCTCCTGTCTGTCCTTTTCCATCCTATATCTGCTGTGAAGAACCGTACCTGGCCCATACGTGCTCAGTAAGTGTTTATTGAATGAACCCACTTTTCTAAATCACAAGCTGCCAGAAGGAGGGGCCTTTCTGAAACTCCATCTCTAGAGGTTTATGTTGCTGTCCTCTCAAGAGATTCCAGATTCAGACTGAGTTCTGTGGCTGTGGGCAAAAGCCAACAAAGACCCAAATCCTCTGTCCTTGGGAGCTTGAGGAGAGTTTACCGGTTCGTGTTCCCATTATGTCTGAGAACTTTGCCTTTAAAATCCATTCCTGGCCCCTGCCTACCGCTTCCTGATCTGGGGAATAGAGTTGAGGGGGCCACCCTCCATCACCTTATTTGACTCTCCCCACAGAAACAACAGAAGAAACAAGTGGAACATCAGCTGGAAGAAGTAACGTGATTTCGTTTCCTCGCGACATGACTGCTGGGTTTGGGGGGCACTCAGACATAGAGGCCCCAGTCTCGTCTCACCCACTCCCAGCCTGGGGAAGAAGGCTCACCCCTCAGATTCCACCCCATCCCCACAGGGCCCCTGATAACCTGGTCCCATGGGTGGGCCTGTCCTGGGGCATTGGTGGCATTCTGGGGGCATGTCTCTTGCTGTGCCATCTCTGCCTCCCCCTGGTAAGAGCTCTGTCTTCCTCTTCCTACAGGAAAAGAAAGCAAACAACGAGAGACAGAAAGCCGAAAGGGTGCTAGAGGTGAGTGGAGGGTGTGCAGTTTCCTCCTGTCCTCCGGAGAATGTTTCTTTCCTTCTCTTTCAGCACTTGCTTGGCTTTTCTCCCAAAGGTTCAAATCCAGACATTGATCATACAGAAAGAGGAACTAAATACGGACCTGTACCACATGGAACGTTCTCTCAGATACTTTGAAGGTGGGAATCTGGGCACCCTGTCATCCTTCAACCTGGCACTTTGACAGGTCTTCAGGGGGAGTCCTTTGGGCCCCATCTCAACTCTCTCATTACAGAAGAGTCCAAGGACCTGGCTGTCCGCCTGCAACATTCATTGCAGTGTAAAGGAGAGTTAGAGAGGGCTCTGTCTGCTGTCATCGCCACAGAGAAGAAGAAGGCAAACCAGGTGAGTCCAGCCACCTGCCCCATCCCCTGGGAGCCTGGTTTTGCAGATGGAAGAGTGAGCCTAAAGGTCCCTTCTGCAGGATGGCGTGTCCTGCCCAGAAGGCAGCATGGCCATTTCTTGCTACTTTTTTGTATGGTTTTTAGTGGCAGCCTGGGGCCGAGTCAGCTGCTGTGGGTGAGTTGGGGGGTACTGTGGGGAGTGAGCACTGGAGGCAGAGCTTGGAGGCCAAGTGCCTGCCCCGCCCTTACCTGGCTGTGGTCTTGGGCAAGTCCTAGGTGGGGTATTGGGTACTTGTACTGTGAAGGTACAGAAGAGTACCTTTAGTATGTTACCATTTCTGTAGAAAGAGGAAACGCGTGCATGTGTGTGTGTGTGTGTGTGTGTGTGTGTGTACATACTGTGATAATATACATAAAACATGTCTGCAAGGGTTCATAAAAAATTCAGGAGAGAGAACAAGATGGCTGGGAGATACTTCCCTTCTGTACCTTCTGAGTTTTGGACTATGTGAATGTATCATCCTGTCAAAAAGTGAACAAAAGATTAATTTTCCCCTTCCTATCTGTGCCCCCATCCCCAGCAAGAAAAACGGGCTTAGAGAATTGGATAGACCTGGGTGTTTATATCCCAGCTCTGCCTAAGTGAACTTAGGCAAGCACTTAACCTCAAATACTCCATGTTTTTTCATCTCCACAATAGAGGGAATCATAGTAACTGTCTCCTATGGTGGTTGCGAGGATTAAATGGGATTGTTAGCACGGTACCTGGTGAAGCATTCCACAAAGGTTCAAACAGTGGTAATAATGACAATAATAACAATAGCAATATTATCTGATCTCTCTGGGCCTCTGTTAGCCAGCTATAAACTCAGTCTCATTCCCTGTCCGTTCCAACTTTACTGTGTTCTTTTAAAAACCAGACCACGGGCTGGGAAATGCCTTGATCTTTACTGACCGAGTTGTATATTGGGCCTAGCCCTAGCCCTGTTAAGGGGCACTGTGTGGAAATGCCCAGGCTCTCCAGATTGAAACTTCTCACTCTTCACCATCCAGTTGTCCAGCTGCAGCAAAGCACATACAGAGTGGGAGTTAGAGCAGTCCCTACAGGACCAGGCACTGCTGAAAGCGCAGCTGACACAGGTGAGGTTTTCCGAGGGAGGGATGTGGAAGGACGATGACCCCAGGTGGCCAGGAGCAGGTGAGGACCAGTGACAGCCCTTCCTAACTTCTGTGCCCATTCTTGCAGTTGAAGGAGTCATTTCAACAACTCCAATTAGAAAGAGATGAGTGTGCTGAACATATAGAAGGAGAGAGGGCCCGGTGGCATCAGAGGATGAGTAAAATGTCGCAGGAGGTGAGATCTGACCCTTCAGCCCCCCCACATTAGATAGGTCACTGGATCTTTCTGGGCATCTGTAAAATGGGAATAGTAGAGCCAGAGGTGGTCATGGGTCTGGGCTTTGTGGGGGTGGGGGCAGAGAAGGAGAGGGCAGCCTGTCCAGCCACCAGCCCCTCTCTCCAGGGCCCTTTCCCCCTGTGCTTTGGGCAGATTTGCACATTAAAGAAAGAGAAGCAGGATATGCGTTGGGTAGAGCAGCTGGAGTGGAGCTTGTCCAAACTCAAAAACCAGACGGGTAAGATGGGGCTGGCATGACCTGGGAGCAGGACTGGCATCAGAGGGCTGTGAGGGTGGCTTAGAGTGCCCCAGGGAGGTGGGTGGATGGAAGGGCTTTGAGGCAGAGGGAAAGAGATCTGTGCCAGGAGACCGCAAGTCTTGTCATCTCAGTGAGTCTCAGTGTCTCAGTGTCCCCATCAGCAAAGAGGGCCCGTTGTCAGCCACCCGCAGTGCTCTTTCTCTGAAAGTGCTTTGGAAGACTGGCTACCATCTGGGTGCGAGGAATCATTAGCAGTGAGGCCAAGTTTGAGGAGCCTGAGAGGAGCTGTGCGCCAAGAGGAGGGTTTTTCTTTTCCGAGAATCCAGAGGCCCTTATTATCTGCTTCCTTTCTCAGCTGAACCCTTGCCCCCGGAGCCCCCAGCAGTGCCCTCTGAGGTGGAGCTGCAGCACCTGAGGAAGGAACTAGAGAGAGTGGCAGGAGAGCTCCAGTCCCAGGTCAAAAACAATCAGCACATAAGTCTCCTGAACCGGCGACAAGAAGAGAGGATTCGGGAACAGGAAGAGAGGCTTCGGAAGCAGGAGGAGAGGCTTCAGGAGCAGCACGAGAAGCTTCGGCAGCTGGCCAAGCCACAGAGCGTCTTCGAGGAGCTGGTGCGTTGCCCCAACTGGGGAGCCTGCCCTCCTCCCTAGCCCTCCGGGCCTTTGTTTCCCCACCTCTAAAATGGGGCAGTGTAGCCCTCGCGTGAAAGGTTACTTCTAAAGGCACCTGTGAGCCAGGTGGCTGTGGGAGAGAGGGGGTGATTTTTCTAACCTGCCTCCAGCCTTCCCAGTGCCATGGGAGGCAGACACCAAGTTCTGGGGTCTCCAGCTGCAGTGGGTGGCTGCTGATTGCTTCTCTCTGTCCAGAACAATGAGAACAAGAGCACACTGCAGTTGGAGCAGCAAGTAAAGGAGCTACAGGAGAAGCTTGGCGAGGTGAAGGAGACGGAAACCTCCACCCCATCCAAGAAGGGCTGGGAGGCGGGCAGCAGCCTCTTGGGAGGGGAGGTGCCAGGTCAGAGGCAGCTTCCAGCCTGGGGGCTGGTGACCACAGCACCCCGCAGGGCAGTCCTGCGACTGTTTCTCACTTCCTGCCTCTGACTTTTAAAGGTGGGTAGCCCTGGGCTCCTCTCAGGTCTGGACATCATCATCCCAGCTAGAGGCATGGAGCCCCCAATCACAGGGGAAGAGACAGTGCTATAACAGGCTCCTTATACCAGGTGCAGTGGCTCATGCCTATAATCCCAGCACTTTGGGAGGCTGAGGCAGAAGAATCACTTGAGGTCGGGAGTTTGAGATCAACCTGGCCAATGTGGTAAAACCTCATCTCTACTAAAATTAAAAAAAAAAAAAATTAGCAGGGCATTGTGGCGCATGCCTGTAATTCCACCTACTCGGGAGGCTGAGGCACGAGAATTGCTTCAACCCAGGAGGTGGAGGTTGCAGTGAGCTGAGATTGCACCACTGCACTCCAGCCTGGGCCACAGAGTGACACTCTTGTCTGAAAACAAAACAAAAAGACTCCTTAGATTGAAACTGGATTCCAGCCTCGGTTCCACTGGTCACCATTCAAGTACTTTGCATCTCTAAGTCTCTGTTTCTTTAACTTCAAAGGGAAGTTAGCATTTTCCTTACAGAGGTGCTGAGGATTAAATGAGAAGAGGGTATGAGATTTGAGGCTGGGGAAGGAGGCATGGGGTTCTAGGAAAGGGAGGCAGTCACTTAGGCCTGGAGTAAGGGGACAGGGGCCTGGGTAGCTGACAGAGCCCCACAGTGCCCTCGCTACCCTATTAATGGGCCCAGAATCTGGAAACCAGCCACCACGTGCCCTCACACCCAGGGTCTTCCTGCAGGTGGAGCTGAAGAGCCAAGAGGTTCAGAGTCTGCAGCAGCAGCCAGACCATTACCTGGGTCACCTGCAGCAGTACGTGGCCACCTATCAGCAGCAGGTGGCCGCCTATCAGCAGCTGACCTGTGAGAAGGAGGCGCTGTACAGGCAGTGACTGCAACAGACCCAGCTAATGAACCAGCTGCAGCAGTAGGAAGCTTGGGGCAAAGCAGTGGCCGAGATGGCCTGCCAAAAGTTGCAGGAGACCCAGGGGAGGGAGCTGCCGAGGATGGGGCTGTGAGGGGGACGACCTGGCAAACTCCATCCCTTCTCACTCTTTCCTGGCCCCTTAGGAGCACCTGGAAGTGGCCAGCCAGCAGAACCAGCAGCTAACGGCCCAGCTGAGCCTCATGGCTCTCCCTGGGGAAGGTACGGGAGACCGCTCAGAGGAAGAGGAGAGAGCCCCAGGAGGAAGGGGGGACTGCTAGCAGCATAGGATTGAGGAGTTGGAAGAGACCTTTAGAGCAGCTGGTCATTATGCCGACCGGGTGCCTGCACTAAGTTCGGCATCAGTGTGGTGACCTCCTGTGAGCGGGCGGTCACCAAGTTGCCTAAGGGTGGCTGAACTGGCCAAGGTCAGAAAGGGAGCAGGTCAGAACTCCCACATCGACCAGTAGTGGGAGTGTGCCTGGGCGGAATAGCAAGATCTTGATTCTTAAAAGTAAAAATAAAGAACAACAGCTCATTCCTCTCTGGGGAGGGGCTGGCTCAGGGTTACACAGTGAGGGTGGAGGTAGAGGTGGGCCCACAGTACCTCCCTTGTTGGGTTGTCTGAAGACCCCTCTGGCCACCCCCCACAGGACACGGAGGAGAACATCTGGACAGTGAGGGGGAGGAGGCACCTCAGCCCATGCCGAGTGTCCCAGAGGACCCGGAGAGCAGGGAGGCCATGGTGAGCCTGACTCCCCCTGCACCCATTTTGCCACCTTTCTCTGTGGTCCCTCCAAGACCCCTTTATGCTCTTCGTTTCCCTGCCTTCTGATTTCTCTGGACCCTCACCCCTTCCGAGAGCCAGTGGTCAGACACCATTTCACCTGTGGCCAACAGGTGCACTCTCTGAGGCCCCAAGGGAAGGGGCTGTGCTCCACCTCTCTGCCCCATTTCTTCTGTGTATGCCCCTAGAAGAATGCTCACATCTTGCCCTCAGGTGGCATTTTTCAAGTCCGCTGGAGCTAGTGCCCAGGAGAAGCAGGCACAGTTACAAGAGCAGGTGAAAGAGCAGAGGGTGTGCTGCCAGCGCCTGGCTCACCCGGTGGCCTCGGCCCAGAAGGAGCCAGAGGCAGCCAGAGGCCCTGGAGCCCCAGGGCCTGGGGGCGAGTCTGTGAGTGGGGAGACCCACCGGGCCCTGCAGGAAGTCACGGAGAAGCTGGCCCATGCCAGGACTCACCTCCGCCTTCTCCATGACTTGAAAATGCCACCTGAGGGCAGGTCGCTGCCGAGATGTGACTGCAATATTTTGGCTCCAGAGCAGCTTTATGGACCACCTGAAGGAGAAGGCAGACCTGAGTGAGCTGCTGAAAAAACAAGAACTTCGCTTCATTCAATACTGGCAAGAGAGATGCCATCAGTGAGTGGGAGGCCAGGGCACGGCAGGGGGAGCTACAGGGCCATCAGAGGGGCCCCAGCGTCTGAGCCCTGTCCTCCCGCAGGAAAATCCATCACCTTTTATCAGAACCAGGGGGCCGTGCCAAAGATGCAGCACTGGGAGGAGGACACCATCAGGCTGGAGCTCAGGGAGGAGATGAAGGTAGGGTGTGCAACATCTCTGTGGGGGTGGGGGTGGGGGTGGGTGTGAGGGTGGGCGCAGGCAGCGGCATGGCAGCTGAGCACCCCTCCCTCCAGGTGAAGCTGCTGGAGCTGCAGCAGATGGTATTGCGGCTTACAGCAACTACAACAATGGGCACAGAAAATTCCTGGCCGCTGCCCACAACTCTGCTGATGAGCCCGGTCCAGGAGCCCCAGCCCCCCAGGAGCTTGGGGCTGCAGACAAGCATGGTGGTGAGTAGAGCCCTCAGGTGGGGTGGGTAGGCAGGAAGAGGGGGGCTCCCACTGTGCTCAGATCCCCGCCTCCCTCTCTCCAAAGATCTTCGTGAGGTGACCCTCACCTCCTCTGCCCAAGGAGAGGCCAGGGAGGATCCTCTCCTTGACAAGCCTACTGCACAGCCGATCGTGCAGGACCACCAGGAGCACCCAGGCTTGGGCAGCAACTGCTGTGTGCCATTATTTTGTTGGGCTTGGCTGCCAAGAAGAAGGAGATAAACATCACCATCATCAAACAGCTGCTCAAGAAATTTTTAAATAAGAAACCAAGTTATGGGGTTAATCTCCTACACAATTCATTTACTTCCTTTGAATGTTAGACTCACTCATGATTATTTGTGTTTCTAATTTATAGTTTAAGTTTATTTGTAAAAAGTTAAAAGAGAGTGGGTGTCTGTGGCTCTCACTGATGTTCACTCTGGCATCCTTTAGCATTTTTCTTTTTTAATTTCATAATTGTAGGTCATTAGCGTGCATATCGAGTTTGCCCTTACGTGGTGGGAGTTCAAACACACAAAGACCCACTCTTTGCCCAAAACTGTTCTCTTTGGTTTGGAATAGGCTGCCATGCTTTTTTAATGTTATTGCAGCATGTATATTCACTACAGCATTCAGACAAAATTTGCCTATGTTCTGCTGTTGTTTGATGTAATCTTAATCACAGTGAGCTCTTCCTTAGCTCAATATGTAGTTTGCCCCCAAGTGTGCACTGTTTATTACTTTGTAATACGCCACTATGAGTACTGACATTTAGAGTTGTTTAAAGGCCAAGAATTGGAAACAGCCTTTCCTCCATTTTCTGTGTATTGGTGATGGGAGTGATAACCTTTTGGGGGAGCTTTTTAAATCTCACAGAAGAGGAAAGTGGCCTCCTCTGGCAGGTACGTGCAGGATAGAGTGTGTTTCATCTGTTCCGGTGCCAGGAATTAGCAGTGTATTATGGTGGTTCCCTTAGGATTTGTATGTGCTCTGGGCTCATGAAGATACTGCATCATGAGCTGCAGCAGTTGCACTCTTTTTCGATGACCTAAAAAGGGCTTATTTCTGAGGAATGAAAGGTTCCCATCGTTGACTGTGGATGTGGAAAACCTTTCCTAGCTTAGAGCATTTGTATCTACAATACATTTTAAAGTCAGAGTTCATGTTACCTGTTTTAATCACATGACTACATGCCCCAGTACACAAAAGGGCACTGGTTGGCATTCTTCTTAATGTATTTAGTGAAGATCATAAGAAATCCTTTACGAGTTCAAATGTCCCTGGAACAGGCATACAGGCTCTAGTCAAGAATGAATTAGAGTGAAGGAAAGCTGTGTGACTCCTGGCATTCCTCTCTGTTCACGGAGATTCTTTGAGGCTTGAAGATTGATTTTACCATCTAGACCTCTTTGGCTAATACCTATTCTTCAACCACCTTGGTTACTCTGACATAGGAATTTACTTCTTTTTCTTTGAATGGAAAACACTTTAAAAAAATAGAAACATTCTTATAAACTAATATATGTGAGATAGTTGAAACAAAAAGGAGTTTTAGTAGATGGTATTATACTATCTTTGAAAATCAAGGAGAAGTTTATGAAACTTAAAATGTGTACAAACTGCAGTGCAATCTACTGTTGTTCGTGAATGTCAATGTATTATCAGGAAACGTGTCTATACAACCACAGAGTTATATTTTCTCACAAACTTCTTTACAAAGTGAAATATGTTTTTGTACCTCTGGGTTTCTGTTCGGGACATATTTTGTGCAATATTTATGTGATTGTGCCTATGCATGATGAATGAATGCATTTCAGTTATGTATTGCCTAAATCGTAACTTGATGATGCTTGGGAAAGACTCAACAGTTAAAACTTCATGAAGTTCTAATGTCTGTGTTCCAAAACACATCACATTGTTAGGATGCAGGGAGATAGGTGTGTGTGCTCCCTGCGGTGGGGATTTCTAGTTACTAGATCATCTCCATTTTTAGCATTTGGCATCCTCATGATACTTCTATAAATATGACATTAACAGGAGAGCAACAATACGATTTTACCGATGGAATAACAGATTTGCTGGCATTCACTGAAAGAGTGCAAATATTCGGTCCTTGTGACTTCCACTGACTCTTCCAAATTTTATGAATGTATCAATGTATTAGATAAACCCAGTTTCAGAATGATAAAGAAAAAATCTTAGACCAAATAATGCGGCTAATTAACAGTGGTACGATTTGTAGCCCGTGGGTTTAAAATGCACTTAAAGTCCTGTTCTCGCCTTTTATTTTCTGAACTTGCCGCTTTTGCATTCTTTGAGTTCAGTTTAAAGACAGTTACTTTAAGAGCATTTTAAACCCTCGGGCTAGAAATCGGACCACTGTTAATCAGCCACATTATTTGGTCTAACGTTTTTTCTTTTATCATTCTGAAACTGGGTTTATCTAATACATTGATAAATTATTGCAAAGGTACTTTTATCGTTGAAATCACTTCACTTTTACCCTGATAAATATCAGTGACTAGGAATGACCTTCGGATAGCGTTTAGCATCTGTAACCAATCTGACAATAATGTGTTCATGAGGTGCCTATGGATTAAATCACACACTGGCATATTTAAGCTGAAGGTCAGTCTGGAAAATAAATTTACTATATTGACTGAAATACCACTCTTTGTGTAGGTATTTGTCATATATTTAAGAAAAAGCTAAAAAGAATGGAAATTGTATGACAATAACTCAAGTCTTTCTCCAAAGTGCATGCAGTCTTTTGTGATACCTCATTCAGCCGAGTATTTGTGCTCTTCCTCATTCAGTATAAGGCAGCTTTCAGTTTGCTTAGAAGGCAACATTGGAATGTTAGAGTTCATCAGAAACATAGAATTTTAAACTGTGAGTTCCACTGAATACATTTTGATTTCTGTAGGAAGAATCAAAATACCTATTTAAAGATGGCAATGTATAATAATCATTTTAAAAGTATTTGATTAAACCTGATAATTTTCCAGAAATGAAAAAAAAAATCAGCTCTAAAACCAAAGCTGATTTTAGAAAATTTGAAAATGTAAATCAGCCCTATCCATAATATAGTTTCTCTAAAACTTTATTTTAAAGAGTCATTTTAAAATAACTATTAAAAAATGTAACTGCTATCTTAATGTTCTGAAATAATTTAAAACATTTTAAAATATGAATACTGTAGTATAAAAGAAAGAAATGGTGGGAACGAAAAGCAGAGAAAGAAATGCCAATTCCAGTCCAAAGTTTTATTTGCCAAGTTTTCTTAGAATGAATTTTACCAGTTTATGAATTATTGTAAAGAGAATGTGTCGTGGAAATACTGAAAGATTTTTCCCTAGAGTGGCCTTATTGACTGCTGGTGTGATGCCACTGTAATGTAATAAATTATTAAGTTGTTTCAATGTGTTGTTTTTGTCTTAAAATTTTATTTTGCGTTTCTTGAAAACTATAGTATTAAAGGTATTGATACTGTGCAAATGCTGGGCATGCTTGGCATGAGATAATGTGTTTCATTTTTACAAAGTTGTGATATAACTATGCAAGTGTTTCTTAAAAGAACACAAGATTTTAAAAGTTATGGGATTAAAAAAGTTATGGGGTGAAAAAGTTATGGGATAAAAAATGTAAAAACGTTGTGGCAAAAAAACTTGTGGGAACAAAGTAGAAAACAGTATTATGAAAAGTTACCAAAAAAGTTATGAAAAAGAAGTTACGGGATTCTTTTTTAAAAAGTCATGGAATAAAAATAAAAATTAAAAGCAGGCCCCTGTCAGCAAAGCCTGGAGAAGTGGGGCCGGAGTCTCCACCGCCACCATGTCCCTACCACCCCTTCCCAGGCACCCCTTTACAATTAGGGTAGCAGGACAAGACCTCTGTCTAATGGGGAAAGACAAACAGACCCTTTGCCACCCTGACCAGGGCTGAGTCCCTAAATTTCTGGATGATGATGATTGTTATTTAAGAGCCAGAGGCTGGTGGAGTTGGTTTGTTTGGAGGAGGCCTGATGTCCCCCTTACTCTCACCATAGCAACTTTTCCCTCAGGGGGGCTCCCTTCTTATTCAGAGAGGCAGGACAGTGGGGCTAACTGTGGACCAGGCGAGGGCACGGGCTGCTGGGGTGGCCCCCGTTCCCCGGTGTACACATTGTGTCTGTGTAAGGTTTTGTATATTCCAGAGGGTAGGGCCACCCCTGTGTCATACCTAGCTGAGGTTGGAGCCGGCACATGGGGAGGAGGTTGTAATAATTATTTGTGGCTGGGAAACTTATTTATTGCTAGCATAGGACAGAGGAAGGAGGCGGGGATGGGGTCGTGGCTCCCTGGTGATGCGACTCCTGTTTATTTTGCTTTTTATTTTGGAATAAATGGATTTAGCCATACTGCTCGGCCTGGTGTGTTTCCGTTTCCCTCACTGGGTCCTGGAGTTTGTGCCACCAAACAAGGAGTCCCAGAGTGTCTTGAGCATGTCCAGCTAGGCTGTTGGGGACCTTCCAGGCGTGTTACCTGTATGCTGCCTGGTGGCGCCTGGGGGATTCCAAGGGGACTGCCATGTAGTCTATGGGGCGCAGTCTGGCCCTGACAGCCAACAGGCTCAGAAGCCTGATCTAGCGGTGGCCGGGAAGACAGGTACCAGCACCTAAGGGCACTGACTTCCACCCAGCCCCGGCATCTTCCGTTCTATCCCCTTGTCTCCCTCTCCTGTCTGCACCTGGTGGCCTGTTCTGTCTGTGCCTCCAGAGTGCCGGCTGCCCTGCAGGCTCCCTCTGGGCTGAGTTCATGGCCCTGCCCCCTGGTGGCCAGAGCCGGCTTCACAGGATAAGAGCCAGCTAAGCTCCAGGGGCTTTCCAGGAAAAGTGTCCCTTGGAAAGGGCATGGCCTTTTCACTGCTCCCAACAGCACCCTAGAAATGGCTTGGCCTTTCCCCTCCCCTGAGCTCCACAGAGAACACAGCCAGCAGAGGACACACTTCCCCGCCATCCAGAAGCGGGTTTGATTCTCAGCCAAGGGACAGCAGGACTGGTAGAGACTGTCAGGCCACACAGCTGCCTGCACAGCACTCCCATGCTTGGTGGGGGGGGGGGGGGCGGGAGGGATGGCGGGGTGTGTCTCTCCATAGGCTGGGCGTGACAGGGAGGCTCACTGAAGGTAGCGCACTTTGGAGGGGCAATGTCAGGGGTTAGCTTTCTCTTGTTTGGCCACAAGACTCCAAAAGGACAGCACGGTGACTGATTCCCAGCGCTAGAGGCGAGGCGGTTGGCCACATGTAGGTGTGTGTGTGTGTGTGTGTGTGTGTGTGTGTGTGTGTATATGTATATGGGTATTTGTAGATATTTCTAGAACAGGGCAGGGGCATACCACAGAGGGGGGCACAAGTTTTCAGCAACGGTCACACCTGGATGTGTCAGCTCACCGCAACAATAGACGAAGTCACAGATGAAGGGGGCTGCCTTTGGGGCTGGGGGAGCCACTGCCAAGTCACAGAACAGCCGCCCAGGCAGGCTTGGAAAGGGAAGTCTCTGAGAAGAGGAGGAATCTGTTTAGAGGTCAAAGGGGGGCCTGGGGCTCTCAGGATGGGATGGACTTGCCTGAGCCGATTGGCTGGCAGTTGGAGAGAAAGCAGAGAGAAGACAGGAGAGAGAAAAGCGAGCATATCATCTCACACCAGTTAGAATGGCAATCATTAAAAAGTCAGGAAACAACAGGTGCTGGAGAGGATGTGGAGAAATCGGAACACTTTTACACTGTTGGTGGGACTGTAAACTAGTTCAACCATTGTGGAAGTCAGTGTGGCGATTCCTCAGGGATCTAGAACTAGAAATACCATTTGACCCAGCCATCCCATTACTGGGTATGTACCCAAAGGACTATAAATCATGCTGCTATAAAGACACATGCACACGTATGTTTATTGCGGCATTATTCACAATAGCAAAGACTTGGAACCAACCCAAATGTCCAACAATGATAGACTGGATTAAGAAAATGTGGCACATATACACCATGGAATACTATGCAGCCATAAAAAATGATGAGTTCATGTCCTTTGCAGGGACATGGATGAAATTGGAAATCATCATTCTCAGTTAACTATCGCAAGAACAAAAAACCAAACACCGCATATTCTCACTCATAGGTGGGAATTGAACAATGAGAACACATGGACACAGGAAGGGGAACATCACACTCTGGGGACTGTTGTGGGGTGGGGGGAGGGGGGAGGGATAGCATTGGGAGATATACCCAATGCTAGATGACGAGTTAGTGGGTGCAGCGCACCAGCATGGCACATGTATACATATGTAACTAACCTGCGCATTGTCACATGTACCCTAAAACTTAAAGTATAATAATAATAATAAAAAAAAAAAGCGAGCAGAGAGCTGGTGAGGCAAGTGCAGAGCACAGGTGTGCCACAGCAGCTGTGGGAGGGCCAAGGAGTAAAGGGTGCACGTGCGGGTGTGGCAAGGTTCCTGGAAAAGAGGGGCTGGAAGGGAAAGGGGAGGAAGACAGAGGGAGGAGCCGGAGTTTCACAGGTAGTGCCTGGGGGCTGTGGCAGCCCTCCCCACCCCACACGTGCTGGCCTCTTCCACGGCACCCAGTGCACCCACTGTTAAGACTGATGCTCAGCCCCTTTGGGCTTCCCTCTTCTCTGGTCACCGTGTCTTCCAACCCACTTGTCCAGGGCCACCTCTCGCCTTGGGGAGCCCAAAACAACAGCCACCAGGCCTGATAGAGAAGAAACACTGCTTGAACCAGGATGATGAAGCTAAAAGGGATGGATGGGTGGAGTGATCGCCGGAGCCCCCTCTGGGGGGTCAGAAAGCCCAGGAACCCTTGAAGGGTCCCTGGGGGAGGAAAGGAGGGCATGCAGCTGGATGCCACTGGCTATAGACTTATAAGTCTAAGAGGGGAGCCTCAGCTTGTTGGGGGTTGCAGGTCGGATAGGTGAGGCTGGGCCCTTCCTGCTGGGAAAAGCAGAAGAGGGAGAGTCTATGGCAGGGGAGGTGGGTGGGCTTGTGGGGCGGAGGTCAGCTGGGCCAGCAGGCACTGTGGTCCCCTTGGCTGAATAGCAGAGGTGACCTCTAGGAGCAACACTCCAAGGTGCGTGAGCCTGCTGGCCAGCAATAGTGCTTCAGCGGGGGCCAGGGACCCTGCCTTCAGTCACACGCTAGCAGCTATGATGGTACCTGGGAGGGAGGGAAGGGGCCTGTGTTTCCTGCCTGGCCTGTGAGGTGTGTTGTGGGTTGACCGTGTGTATGCGACTCTCAAGGTTTTATCCTATCTCACCACTGCATTGCCGACAGATAGAGGAGGTGGGACTCTGACTATCACCCCTGCTCTGCAGTGGATTTGGCTCTCAGCACTCCCAGGCTGGGAGCTGGATGCCCTGCCCTGGCAGCATGACTCAGACTGCCCAACAGGTGCGGTGTGCACAGGAGGACTATCCTAGGACTCTGGCCGCCTCAGAGTACAGCCCCACACACCACCCCCTCTAAGCTCTCAGCCCTTACACCATAAACCATGAGCTCTGTGACGGCTCCAGGGAGCACCCATGTCTACCAGCGTGGGCACGGAGCCTGTTCCAAGAGTCCCCAGGCTCAGCCATGGGGGCTGGGGGGCTTTGGGGCCGTGGGAGCCAGCCTTGGTACCTGCATCCGGCAAGGACGCTCTGCACCTGCAGGCAGGAGTTGTCCACGGGCCCCCATGTGCGTGCTGATGGTGGTCGTGTTGATGTCGCCGATGATGCCGAGTGCCTCCTTCAGCACGTGGTACATGCGCAGCATCTCGTCGCGCCACTGTGCCTGCTCTGCCGACTCTTCCATCAGCGTTTTCTGGTCCCCACGTGAGTACAGGTTGGACAGCAGCTCCGAGAAGATGAACTCCTTGGTCTGAGAGCGGGCAAAGAGGGAAGGAGGTTGGGACCTGATGCCTTTGCTGCCCTGGCCTCCTGCCGGGCCCTGCTGGGACTGTGTGCTGGACTTGGAGCCCTGAGTATGGCTTTTCAGACGCGGCTTCTACACCGCTTAGACTCAAAGATCTGCCTCCCCACCGCCCTTTTCTCACTCAGATAGGGACACTGAGGTCCAAAGGAAAAGTCACCTGTCCAAGGTCACACATCTGGGAGGGGACCCAGGACCTATCATGCCACCAGGACACCGGTCTACTCAGTTTCTTAAAAATGTTTTTTGGAGATAGGATCTTGCTCTGTCGCTAGGCTGGAGGACAGTGGGCGAGATCACCACTCACTGTAGCCTCAACTTCTTGGGCTCAAAGTGATCCTCCAATGTCAGCCTGTCGAGTAGCTAGGACTATAGGTACGTGCCACCACCAAGCCCAGCTATTTTTAAAATTTTAGTGTAGAGATCAGGTCTCACTATGTTGCCCAAGCTGGTCTCGAACTCCTGGGCTCAAGCTATCCTCTTGCCTTGGCCTCCCAAAGTGCTGGGATTACAGACATGGGCCACTGTCCCCAGTCCCACGTTATATTTCTATGAGACAGCTCTGGTCTGGACTGTGCCTCCCTCCCTGGACCTTGGTCCCATAGGGCTGGTCAGCATCTCCCCCAGGCCAACATGGCCACCTGCATCCCCAGTGCTATAGGAGCCCCCTGCCCCTATGAGGCAGTGCATGCACGTTGTTGATCATGACGTGCATGATGGTCTTGGGCATGACACCAACCATGAGGTCCCACACGGTCTTGTTGACAATGGCCATGTAGGAGTCCACAAGGTTCTGGGTGGTTTCCATTTGCCGCTCCAGCTATGGGTCCATGGAGTGCATGAAGCTGTCGGAGCCATTCTCCTCAGCCTTGCTGTCCTGTCATGGAGAACACAGTGGCATCAGGGTGGCCAGGCCATGCAGCCAGGCTCCAGGAATCCCTAGGATCTCAGCACCTCCAAGGGTACCTGGAACATTGAGGCACAGAGAAAAACAACTGGCGTGAACATGCACCGAGCTCCCCACACGCTCTAGACGGTTTCAGGTATCTGCCTCTCAGGACCCCAGACTCCCCTGATTCAGTCTCCTCTTAGTTCTGACTCTAGTGCCCAGAATCTGCCTCAAGTTACCAATCCAGAAATTGGAAAAAAACATCTCCAGGTCCCCTGTTGGAGACCTGGCCAGAGCTTGTGCCAGGCTGCAGACACCTGGCAGGGGGCAAGAAAGGGGCATACTCACTTTCCCCTTGTCCTGGGAGGCCCATGCACCAACACTGCCACCGCCGCCGCCACCAGGGAACACGGCAAAGTAGACACACACAGAGAGGAAAACGGGAAGGGTTGAGTGAACCTGGGACACTGCACCCCAACTTTAATGTGTTGTGGAATTCAGTTAGCTAATATTTTATTGAGGATTTTTGCATCAATATTCATCAGTGATATTGGCCTGTAGTTTTCTTTTTTGGTCTGTGTGTTTGATTTTGTTATCAGGGTAATGCTAGCCCTGTAGAATGAGTTTGCAAGTATTCCCTCCTTCTCTATTTTTGGAATCGTTTGGGTAAGGTTGGTATTAGTTCTTCTTTAAATGTTTGCTAGAATTCAGCAGTGAATCATCAGGTCCCAGGCTTTTCTTTGCTGGGAGACTTTTTATTACCACTTTGATCCCATTATTTGTTATTGGTTTGTTCAGGTTTTGGGTTTCATCATGGTTCAATCTTGGTAGGTTAGATGTGTCTGGAAATTTATCCATTTTTGGTAGGTTTTCCTATTTATTTGCACACAGTTGCTGACCACTAGTGATCCTTTGAGGTTTTTTTTCTTTTCTTTTTTTATATGGAGTCTTGGTCTGTCGCCCAGGCTGGAGTGCAGTGGCGCGCTCTCAGCTCACTGCAAGCTCTGCCTCCCGGTTTCACGCCATTCTCCTCCCTCAGCCTCCCAAGTAGCTGGGACTACAGGCGTCCGCCACCACGCCCTGCTAATTTTTTGTATTTTTTCCGTAGAGACGGGGTTTTACCGTGTTAGCCAGGATAGTCTTATCTCCTGACCTCCTGATCCACCCGCCTTAGCCTCCCAAAGTGGTGGGATTACAGGCGTGAGCCACGCCCCCTTGGGACAGGGACACACACACACACACATAGACACACACACACACACACACACACACAGAGTTGGTGGTTGTGCCGCCCAGTCGCGAGTGTGAGGAAGGGACCAGATCGGTCGGGCAGAAAGGTGCTGGGTCAAGAGAGGAGGGGGCAGCCGGTAGCGCGGGCACGCCGGGTGCGCGCGGGGCGCGCCGGGTTGAGGGGTGAGGGGTGAGGGGTAAGAGGTGAGGGGCGACGAGGACCGGGGCGGGGTAGGGGCAGCCCTTTCCCAGGCGGTAGCGGGGGCAGTGGTGCTGTTGCCCTTTTAAACTGCGGCTTGACGGGAGCCGCGCCTCCTGTCGGTGGAGTCGGTTATAAAGGGAGCAGCCCCGCAGGCCGCCACATAGCTCCCGCCAAGTCCTCGGTGCCCCTTGCCATTTTCCAGCCGCGCTCCCACGAGGGTCACGGCGGCGGGGAGAGGTGGAGCCGCGAGAGCTCGGCCGGGGGCCCCGCCTGGTGGTCGCGGCCATGACAGCGGCTCGGGACAGGCTCCTTTTCCGCGCCCCTCCCGCCGGAGGTGAGGGGAAGATGTCCATGTCCGGGTTCAAGGCCAAACCGAAGTTACTGGCCTCTATCTTCCAGGAGAACCAGGAGCCACAGCCGCGGCTCACGCCCCACCGCAACATTAAGGTGAGTCGCCGGGTGGCGGCCTGGCGGGGCAGGGCGAGGGCGGAAAGCGGGTGCCCAGAGTCCCAGGAGAAAGGGGAAGCTGCCCCAGAGAGGCCGCGGTTCCCCGCCCCTTTCTCCTGCAACTGGCCCGCCCGGCAAGGCAGAGGCTTGGGTGGGAGAAGGCGGAGGGCGCGTCTCTCCAACTCCTAGCGCGGGGCTGGCTTGGGGGCTGCTGGCCCCTCTCGGCCCCTGTCGCTGCGCCTCGAGGTGGGAGCCCGCCGCTGCGGGAGCCCTCTTGGGACCCATGGTCGCCCTCAGTCAGCCCACCTGCTCTAGGGACCGCGACAGGGCGGGGCAGGGCGGCTCCCGCGTTGTTGGAGCCCAGGCGGGGAAGGGGAAAGGCCTTTAAGATTTTCGGTTTTTTGGCCGGGCGTAGTGGCTCACGCCTGTAATCCCAGCATTTTGGGAGGCCAACCGGGCTGATCACTTGAGGTCAGGAGTTGGAGACCAGCCTGGCCAACATGGTGAAACCCGTCTCTACTAAAAAATAGAAAAATTAGCCGGTCGTGTTGGCAGGCGACTTAATCCCAGCTATTTGGGAGGCAGAGGCAGGAGAATCGTTTGAACCCGGGAGGCGGAGGTTACAGTGAGCTGAGATCGAGCCATTGCACTCAAACCTGGGGGAGAAGAGCGAGACTTCTCTCTCTCTCTCTCAAAAAAAAGTTTTCTTTCTTTTTTTCTTTTTGTTGAGACAGAGTCTCACTCACTCTGTCGCCCAGGCTGGAGTGCAGTGGCGCGATCTCGGCTTACTGCAGCCTACCTCTCTTGACAGTCCACTGGTTAAAGCGATTCTCCTGCGTCAGCCTCCCGAGTAGCTGAGATTACAGGCGCCCGCCACCAGGCCTGGCTAACTTTTGTGTTTTTAGTAGAGACGGATTTTTTAGTAGAGACGCGGTTTCACCATGTTAGCCAGCATGGTCTTGATCTCCTGACCTCATGATCCACCCGCCTCAGCCTCCCAAAGTGCTGGGATTACAGGCATCAGCCACCGCGCCCGGCCTCTGTTTTGTTTTATACATGTAATATATTCACAAGTATCTTTACGAAGTGATTTTGATACTCTTGTCTTCTCCCTAGAATCTCTTTGTTCTGTAATAATTCTTTCTTAGTTTATATTGATCTTATTTTCCTTTTTAAAGCCTTTCCTTACATATCTATTCTATGTTGCTTATCATTTGTAGTTTTTTTATTTTTTATTTATTTATTTATTTATTTATTTTGAGAGGGAGTCTCGCTCTGTTACCCAGGCTGGAGTGCAGTGGTGCAATCTGGGCTCACTGCAAGCTCCGCCTCCCAGGTTCACGCCATTCTCCTGCCTCAGCCTCCTGAGTAGCTGGGACTACAGGCGCCAGCCACCATGCCCCAACAATTTTTTGTATTTTTTAGTAGAGACGGGGTTTCACCGTGTTAGCCAGGATGGTCTCGATCTCCTGACCTCATGATCTGGCCACCTTGGCCTCCCAAAGTGCTGGGATTACAGGCGTGAGCCACCGTGCCCAGCCCTGATTCTATATTATAGTGAGTTGTACAATTATTTCATTATATGTTACAATGTAATAATAATAGAAATAAAATGCACAATAAATGTAATGTCCTTGAATCATCCCAAAATCATCTCCCCCAACCTTGTCTGTGGAAAAATTGTCTTCTGCAAAACTGGCTCCTGATGCCAAAAAGTTTGGGGACTGCTGGCATAAGTGGTCTCATATAGTAGTTGTCCTTTTGTGCCTGGCTTATTTCACTTAGCATAATGTCTTTAACGTTCATCCATGTTGTAGCATGTGCCAGAATTTCATTTGTTTTTAAGGCTGAATAATATTCCCTTGTATGTATTTAATATGCCTTTTTATCTTTTCCTCTGTTGATGAATACTTGGGTTGCATCCACCTATTGGCTATTGTGAATAGTTTTGCATTGCCTGTCTTTCTCATGATCGCCATCCTATTTCACATCTAGCAGGTGTGAAATTCCATTGATTGAGTGATTGATTGAGACAGGGTCTGACTCTGTCGCCCAGTCTGGAGTGCAGTGGCATGATCTTGGCTCACTGCAACCTCCATCTCCCAGGCTCAAGCAATTCTTCTGCCTCAGCCTTCCGAGTAGCTGGGATTATAGGCATGCACCACTACCAGCTGGCTAATTTTTGTATTTTTAGTAGAGACGGGGTTTCACCATGTTGGCCAGGCTGGTCTCGAACTCCTGACCTGAAATGATCCACCTGTCTCCGCCTCCCAAAGTATTTGGATTACATGTGTGAGCCACTGCGCCCAGCTAGTAGGTGTGAATTTCTATGTCTTAGTGGTTTTGATTTGCATTTACCTGATGGCAAATGATGTTGAGTATCTTTTCATGTGTTTATTGGCCATTTGTCTGTTTTTTTGGGGAAATACTTATTCCAAAATTTAACTTATTTTTAATTGGGTTATGTATCTCTTTATTATTTAGCTGTAAGAATTTTTTACATATTCTAGATAGGAGTTATAACAACTTTCTTCCTTTTTCTGGATTGTCTTTTTTCTTTCTTGATGGTGTCCTTTGAAGCAGAAAGATTTTAAATTTTGATATAGTCCAATTTATCTTTTTTCATTTGTGTTTTTTTGCTCCTTGTGCTTTTGGTGTAATATCTAAAAAAACGTTGCTACTCCAAGGTCACAAAGGTTTCTGCCTATGTTTTTTTCTATGAGTTTTATAGTTTATCAATATCTCTTATATTGAGCTCTTTTATCCATTTGAATTAATTTTTGCATGCGGCATGAAGTAGGGGGGTATAGCTTCATTGTTTTGCACCTAGACATCCAGTTATCTCAGAACTATCTGTTGAAAAGCTTATTCTTTCCCCATTGAATTGTCTTGGAACGCTTATTGAAGATCAATTGACTGTATATGTGAAAGTTTATTTCTGGATTCTATTCTTTTCTCTGTTCATCTGTCCTTATACCAGTAGCACACTCTTGATTACTGTAGCTGTTTAGTAAGCTTTGAAATCAGAAAGTATGAATCCTCCAGAAAGTTTTTTAAGGTGGGTTTGGCTGTTCTGGGTCACTTGCATTTCCATATGAATTTTAAGATCAGCTTGTCAGTTTCTGCAAAGGAGCCAGCTGGGATTTTAATCACAGTCGCATTGAATATGTAGATCAACTTAGAAAGTACTGCCATTTTAACAATATTAAGTTTTCCTCCACGAACACAGGATGTATTTGTACTTATTTAGGTCTTCCTTTAATTTCTTTCAATCGTAGTTGTGTTGAATGCAGACCTACTTTGAATTAATTCTAAGTAATTTTTATGCTACTTATTGGTTGACAAATATAATTGCTTTTAGTTTTTAACTGTAGTTTTGATGTAATGTGAACTGTATTTGGACCTTGTGAAGCTTATTTCTGCTTTGAAATTTAGTATAAACTGGTTATAATAAAATCTGACTGTGCTAATTTTTTGGTTATGTGAAATAGAAAATCAATGTAAATTTAAAAATTTATTCTGGGCCGGGCGCAGTGGCTCACACCTGTAATCCAAGCACTGTGGGAGGCTGAGGAGGGCAGATCACAAGGTCAGGAGATCAAGACCATCCTGGCTAACACAGTGAAAGCCCATCTGTACTAAAAATACAAAAAATTAGCCGGGTGTGGTGGTGGGCACCTGTAGTCCCAGCTACTTGAGAGGCTGAGGCAGGAGAATGGTGTGAACCTGGGAGGCGGAGGTTGCGGTGAGCTGAGATCGCACCACTGCACTCCAGCCTGGGCGACAGAGTTAGACTCCGTCTCAAAAAAAAAAAAAAAAAAAAAATTCATTCTGAAATGCGATAGATGTTGAAGCTCTTCTGGCAGATGGTTATAAAGAGGAATATATAATCATTCTATTGAGAAAATATAATCAATAATGTGAATACCTAAGGTAGTTTATTTTACATATATATCTCGGTATTTATTTATTTTTGAGACAGAGCCTCACTCCTGTCACCCAGGGTGGAGTGGAGTGGCACGATCATGGCTCATTGCAGCCTCAACTTCTTGGGCTTAGGTGCTTATCTCATCTCATCGCAGCCACCTGAGTAGCTGCGACTACAGGTGTGCGCCACCATGCATGGCTAATTTTTTGTATTTTTAGTAGAGGTTTCCCCATGTTGTCCAGGCTGGTCTGAAACTCCTGGACTCAAGTGATCTGCCCGCCTCGGCCTCCCAAAGAGCTGGGATTACAGGTGTGAGCCACTGTGTTGGCCTTATGTTTTATAATTTTTAAATGATACTTTTTATTCTATTACAAAACATATATAATTGTAAAAAACTTGTAAAATATAAAAGAGGACAAAGACAATAGAAAAATTATTTACAATGTAATTCCCAAGTAAACACTGATTACCTTTTTTTTTTTTTTTAGAGCCTGTTGCTCAGGCTGGAGTGCAGTGGCACCATCATAGTTCACTGTAACCTCATACATCTCATACATTTTGATATTACTACTTCTGGTTTTATACATAATGTGTTCACTTTGAAGCAAGAGAGTATAATTTTATAACGATTATTTTCATTTAATGATCATGATCTCATTGCAATTATTGATCATTTAGTTTATTCCTGAACATTTTGTTTTATATATTTTTGCTATTGTGAGTGGGATATTTGTTATAACTTGGCATTTGTGCCTACACTCAATTTACCTATAGGAAACTAATTTTTGCATACAATTGTTTTAATTGGTGCAGTGGCACAATCTCAACTCACTGCAACCTCCGCCTCCCAGGTTCAGGTGATTCTCCTGCCTCAGCCTCCTGAGTAGCTGGGATTACAGGCACATGCCACCACACCCAGCTAATTTTTGTATTTTTAGTAGAGACAGTGTTTCACCATGTTGGTCAGGCTGGTCTTGAACTCCTGACCTCGTGATCCACCCGCCTCGGCCTCCCAAATTGCTGGGATTACAGGCTTGAGCCACCGTGCCCGGCCTCGGCCTCTTTGTGTGTTTTCGTATATCTTTCATCTGAGTTGCAAGGGGCACCTTGGGTTTCCAGGAATTTTCTTAGCTAACTCTGTTCCTTTATCTATGACCCTTCCTCACTAGTTTTGGATAATTTATTTTCCTTCTTCCTTACTTCACTGATTTACTTTTCTATTTTATTTAGTTTGCTAGTCATTGTTTCTTTTAAGGTTCTTAAGCATAAATCCTTTTTTTTTTTCTGATGGGAAATACTGGGGCATAGCACTAGGAATACAAATTATGTTTAAATAGAGCACAAAGAACCATCTCAAAGGAATAACTGATGGTGAATGTCTGGTGATTGATTTTATTATGTATCATCTCTAATGAGGCTTAATAAATAATTGAGGTTTAACACTTAGGTAACCGGTCTGTATTTAAGTCTGAAAATTTTTGTATGTTACAGTTTCAACTTCACATTGAATATTCTGTAAAGCAGAAATAAATTGATCAGCATTCTATGAATGAAAAATAAAGCCATGGGTCGGGTGCAGTGGCTCACACCTATAATCCCAGCACTTTGGGAGGCCGAGGCAGGTGGATCACCTGAGGCCAGGAGTTTGAGACCAGCCTGGCCAACATGGTGAAACCTTGTCCCAGCTACTGGAGAGGCTGAGGCAGGAGAATGACTTTAACCCAGGAGACAGAGGTTGTGGTGAGCTGAGATCGCGCCACTGCACTCTAGCCTGGTGACAGAGCAAGACTCTGTCTCAAAAAAAAAAAAAAAAAAAAAAAAATTAGCTGGGCATGGTGGTGCACACCCGTAATTCCACTACTTGGGAGGCTGAGGCAGGAGAATCACTTGAACCCAGGAGGCAGAGGTTGCAGTGAGCCAGGGTTGCACCACTGCCCTCCAGCCTATGTGACAGACTGAGACTCCATCCCTAAAAAAAAAAAAAAACCAAAAAAAACCATGCTGGTAATCGAAAAAGCAGTTTGCCTCATCAGAGTTTAGAACGTTGAATTGTAAAGATCTTTTTTGTAGTCCTAGCCAGTTTTAATGGTAACATGAGCAATTCAGTTACTTTCTCAGAGTTTTATATTTTTATCTGTAAAATGGAAATTATGGTACCTACAGTTTAGGATTTTTGTGAAAATCAAGTGAGACTGCAAGTGTCTTGAATAGCAGTGGAAGTACATTGATATAGGTGATATTTTACAGTGGTGTCTTCCTCAGCATCATATTAGTTCAGTGTTTTAAAGCTCTATATTAGTCACAGAAACAAAGTCAAATTTTTGTTCTCATTTCAGATTACAAGTGGACACCTGAGTCAGCAGGACCTGGAATCCCAGATGAGAGAGCTTATCTACACGACTCAGATCTTGTTGTCACCCCCATTATTGACAATCCAAAGGTGCAGAAAGCACTCTGACAAGTGAGTTGTAGACTTTACTGAGATCTGAAATCTGCATAAGATTTTCATTCAGAATATTATTTACTGTCTAATCTTTCCTGTTTCTCTTGTCCGCTACTCTTTCATTTGTGCTGCATGTCTGCATTTCCAGCTCCCGCTCTGTCTGCAACCCTTTCCTCTGCCTTCACTTCCGCTTCACTGGAGTTCTAAGTTTTCCCCCCTCTGTTTTGAATGAGTCAGCTCTGCTTCTCACTACTGCTTTCTTCCACATGCCACGGAGGGGTTGCCAGCCTCTTGACCTCAGACCTTAGCTCTCAGTCCCATCGTTTCTCCATCTGCACTAATGTGAATCACTCTAAGTATTCTAGTCTCTGATGTGTTTTGAAGGCAGAAGCAGTCAGAGGGCACTGCTCACCAGGCTGGGCTGGGCAGGCAGATCACACGGAAGCCCTGCCCTGTCACAGGTTGTTAATACTGCAGGGGAGATGGTGGGGAGACACTATGGGAACTTGAGGAGTCATGGTTCACAATGTACTTCTAAACCACTGTGAGTTTTTTTGCTTCTTGTCTTTTGGAATATAATACTTTATTGCTGGGGGATAATGAGTATTTACTTTAAAAAACAGATGCATTTCTAAGTCCCTCTGTTTTGTCTTGACTTCCAGCTCCCCAACATACTCACATTCCACTACTTATTCTCTATTTTAACTTTACTGCTTCTTTTACTTTTTTTTAGTTTTACTTTTATTTTTTATTTTTTTGAGACAGAGTCTTGCTCTGTCACACAGGCTGGAGTGCAATGACGCGATTTTGGCTCACTGCAAGCTCCGCCTCCCAGGTTCATGTCATTCTCCTGCCTCAGCCTCCCAAGTAGCTGGGACTACAGGTGCCCGCCACCACGCCCTGCTAATTTTTTGTATTTTTAGTAGAGACAGGGTTTCACCATGTAAGCCAGGATGGTCTCGATCTCCTGACCTTGTGATCCACCCACCTCGGCCTCTCAAAGTGCTGGGATTACAGGCATGAGCCACCACACCTGGCCTTCTTTTTCTTTTTTAAATATCTTTTTCTGTATTAATTCATGACTGTTTTTTTCTTGTCTCATTGGGAACATTAGTGTGGTTTAGAACAATGTAAGGGTTTTTGGATTCATGTTTATTTTCTAGATAGACAGCATTTTATATAGATGATTTAGCTGTTTTTCATAATGGAGCTAATTCTTTTTGTGAGTTCATATGTCTGGCAGTGTAACTTTATTATGCTAAGTTTGATGTGCATTGGCGCATTTTCAAAGTGGGCTTTCTAGAACAATTTGTGATATCTTTCCCAGGGGTGTCCAGTCTTTTGGCTTCCCTGGGCCACACTGGAAGAAGAATTGTCTTGGGCCACACATAAAATACACTAACAATAGCTGATGAACTAAAAAACCAATAAAAAAAAATTGCAAAAAAATTCTTACAATGTTTTAAGAGAGTTTATGAATTTGTGTTGGGCCATATTCAAAGCCGTCTTGGGCCGCATCCAGCCCACGGGCTGCGGGTTGGACAAGCTTGCTTTACACAATATTCTGTGTTTCCTTTTTTCCTCTTATAACCATATTTGATAGTTTATGGGAAGCCTTCATCAGTGGAAATTTTTGTGTTTAACTTTTAATTCTAAACTACTTTTAGAGAAAAGATTAAAAAATAGTTGAGAACTCCTGTATAGCTTTTGCCCAGCTGCTCTTAATGTTCACATCTTATAGGTCTATAGTATAGTTAGCAAAACCTGGGAATTAACATTGGTATAGTGTTAGTCAGGCGGGATAATCCTTACCTGTGCCTCCTTTTGGAGGGCAGCAGAATGTGGTAGTTGGAGTTGCATGATACTTGATTCATATCTCTGTGTAATGATGGCATGCAATACCCTGACTGCTCCTTTCGAATTCTTCCTGAAAAGGGAAAAATAAAACATGAGAATAGTGCTGCTAACTACCAAATGCATTTGAATTTTACCGGTTGCCTCTAATGTCCTCTTTTTTTTTGTTCCAGGATCCCACATTACAGTTAGTTGTTATGCCTCCTTAGTCTCATATAGTCTGTCCTAGTTTTTCACGGTTTTGTCAGAATTTCTCAGACTTTGCTTGTCTTTCATGACCTTGACAGTTTGTCTTTTATTTTGTTTTGTTTTGTTTTTTGTCACCCAGGCTGGAGTGTAGTGGCGCGATCTCAGCTCACTGCAACCTCTGCCGACCGGGTTCAAGCTATTCTCCTGCCTCAGCCTCATGAGTAGCTAGGATTACAGGCACCTGCCACTGCACCTGGCTAAGTTTTGTAGTTTTAGTAGAGATGGGGTTTTACCATGTTGGCCAGGCTGGTCTTGAACTCCTGACCTCATGATCCACCTGCCTAGGCCTCCCAAAGTGCTGGGATTACAGGCGTGAGCCACGGCACCTGGCCTTTGTATGTTTTTGTAATACATGTTATAAAACGTATGACTCAAGTCCTTGACACTTTGAAGAGTAACTGGTTGGGTGTTTTGAAGAATGTCCCTTAATTTAGGTTTGTCTAAGGGTTTCTCATGACTCGAATGAGATTATGAATTTGGATTATGAGATTAGAATGAGAATATGCATTTTAGTAAGAATACTACAGTAAATACAGTAATGCTGGTTACTTAATTAGTAAAGGTTTTAAAAATATTACATATAGAAGTTTTGCAGAAGTTAGGTATAGAAATGATGGTTGAATTTTTAATTAAAAGTCTCAAGATGCAGTATCTGGCTGTCCTAAGCTCATGGATCCAACTACATGGTTTCTTCACATTTCTCAAATAAATTATGCACTTTCCAATTCATGCTATTATGGCTTCCTTGAATGGTGTCTTCTCTGATATAATCATAAAGTTCTAGCCATCCTTCAAGACCGCAACCCACCTTCTACCTCTTCCGTAAACCCGGTGTCAACTATATCAAGTAAAGTGCTTGCTGTATTCTCTAAACTACTATTTACAAAAAAAATTCTTTCTGTCCAGGGTTTTGTCTGTAGTTATGTCCTGCCTCTTTTGAATTGTGAAATATTTTCTTGTTTATCAAATGTTTGTCTCATCTTCCCAACCAGAAAGTCAGCTCGCTGAAAATAGGATTGTGTCTTTTATATCTTTGTATCCCCCTTAGCACTTGACATAGAGCCTTACCTTGGCAGGTAAGCAATAGATATTTGTTGAAAGACTGAATTTCTAATTAGACGTAAATTACCTAAAAAGTAAGCCAGGATGGGGTGAATTTTTTCTTTGAAGCTTTATTTTATTACAGATATCAATTGAAATGATTTTAAAAAATAAATTATTATCTATATATGTATGTTTTAATCTGAAAAGGCATCGTTCTTTTTGTTTTTGGTAACAAATTTTACACATTCTTTTTTTGTCCTCATTGATTTATTATCTGATATAAGGGACATATAAGGAGACAGATATCCATCTTTAAAATTGCCTCAAAAGTTTTTTTTTTTTTAACCACAGATAATGAAACAACCACCATCGGTTAAATTTGATGCAAAAATATTGCATCTACCAGCATTTTCAGGTAGGATCATAAAGGAGTTATCGAACATGTAGACTGTCTGTATACAGATACGAATATGAAATTTATTCACAAATGGAATATTTGTATGTGAACAACTAAATTTATTTTGTCTTGACAATTGGTTATATTCTTGGGTCAGTGTTATGTGAATTGTAAATAATCTGTAATTCATTTGTGCCAGCTGTTGACATTTCTCAGCTGAGTCTGGGCTGCCCTGTCCTCTTGTGAGTGGGGAGGTTCCTGTAGATCTGGGCAAGTTTTCCTGTAGAGTGGGTGGGGGGCCTCCTCCCTTCCGTTCATAGAGCTGGTTGAATTTCCACCATTTATGGCAGGTGTAGGTGCACAGGGTTGGGGACAAGAAGGAAGGATTGGGATTCTATTGGCGGGACCAGGACATTTGAGAACGGGACTAGGTGGTTCATGACTGTGGAGATGGTGTGGGAGTGGAGATACTTAAGGGATAATTATTACATTTCTGTTGAGCTAATGAAAATCTTATTTACGGTGAAAGTCAGAAATTTTTACATACCTTAAACTTTTTTTTTTTAACAAATTATATTTTAAGCTGTTAAACTCAATTTGGGGAAAATTATTCATTGTGGCTAGAGTAGAATCTATGATTTGAAGTAAATTTAAAATATATTTAGGTTTAAATAAACCAGCTAAGGGTTTATATCAGTCAACTTAATTAGTGATAAAAACAACCAAAAAAACCTGTGTAGAAGGACGTTTTTGAAAGACCAAAGTGAAGCAAAATATTAATAGTGCTTTCAGTGCCAAGTAGGTCTATTTATGCAAACCTAGAGAATTATTATTGGGAAATACTATTTCCTTTTTCTTCTTTGAGTTACTTAGGAAATTATATTTACAATTTCTTTGTCTAAAGATTGAGATCAGCAAAAACATGTTAGCAAAAAATTTTAGGGAGTATCACATTTCCTAGATTTTGCCCTTTTTTTATAGGGATTAGGAGGTAGGAATTTCAGGTGATTTTAGCTATCATGTTATCCTCGTTATTTTTTTACAGTAATTTCATTGGAACTTTTTAATAACTGTGTGGTTTGTGCTTTTCTCAATATCTGAGAGTTGATTTATTTATACAAAGGCTTTTTTGTCTTTTACTCCAGTTGTATTGAACTTTGCATTTTGTTATAATCTAGGTTGTGAGACAATTCTGCTTTAGACATCTGCTTGGTTTGAAAGCATAGTTTTCCATTGAAGTGTTTAAAAAGTTTCCATGGATAGATAAAGAGATGAGGAATATAGAAGGACAAATAGAAGTAGTGTCATCTTTGGAGTATTTTTGGTGTTGACAGAGTAATGTTTTCTTTGTCCTCATCTTAGCTGTCGTAACTCTGTGTTTATTTCTCATGTAATGTTTCCAGCAGTTGTTTTTCTCATCATCATACGTTTGTTATTTTGTTTCCTTGGCAATGGATAAGTTATAATTTCTGAAAGACCAAGATTGGAATGACTTTTTGTAACAAGTGTGCTCGCAGATCGACTCCAGTGAGAAGAGCTCGGGGACCTCCTGAGCCAAGCTTAATCTCCTTTGCTGTTTGTGAGTGGTGGCTGGTCACCAGGAGGTGGCCACCAGGCTCCTCCTTTCCCCGCTGGTAGGCCTCTGTGACATGACTTATGCATTTAAATTTATGTTTTTTATAGAGGCTCAAACAAGTGCTAAAATAGCAATTTGATTTAACTACCATGAAAAAACTGATTTATCACGATTTTAGGTTTATGCAAATTATCCTCTGCTTAATCCTTACGTCTTAAAGTAGATAAGAGTAGACGGTGATTTTGAACTTTTTGTTGTTGTTGTTGTTTGTAATACTCAGGTTTCCATTTTATGTTAACTTGTAAGATTTTTAAAAAATATGTGAAATCAGGCCGGGCGTGATATCATAAGACAGACCTTTTACCTTCTCATCAGTGACTGGAATGAACGCCTGTAATCTCAGTACTTTGGGAGGCCGAGGCAGGTGGATCACCTGAGGTCAGCAGTTTGAAACCAGCCTGGCCAACATGGCGAAACCCCATCTCTACTAAAAATACAAAATTAGCAGGGCGTGGTGGTGCACTCCTGTAATCCTAGCTACTTGGGAGGCTGAGACAGGAGAATCACTTGAACCCAGGAGCCAGAAGTCGCAGTGAGCCGTGATCATGCCATTGCACCCCAGCCTGGGCAAAAAGAGCGAAACCCCATCTCAAAAAATAAAAACAAAAAACAAACAAAAAAAAATGTGATATCATAAGACAGACCTTTTCCCTTCTCATCAGTGACTGGAATTAACTGCCCATGTGGAACGGGTTGTGGGTGTTGGTTCCTTTACTGGGTCATCTGGTAAACTGCAAGGTTTCTGCTGTGACATTGAAGGCAGACATCAACCCTCTAAGACATTTTTTTCCTATCCTCTGGGAATATTACTTTTTGGACAATCTTGGTCCATTGGTAAGCTCATGGGAATTTGTCAGAGTTTTTTTGTTTCTTTTGGCTCATGTTTAGCATCGATTGGCAGAGTGTTTGGAGTCATCCTCAGAAAGGAATTACAGTGGTTCGGAGGTGTTTTCTGTAGTGGGCCCTCATTTGGGAATTGGCTTGAAAAAAATGTAAGTTCACTTGCTTCCAGGATGGTATTAAGATTGCTTTTTTTGATAGTTGGCGTGTGTCTATCAGGTAAGGGCTGTCATTTAGAGAATATAAAGTGGTAGGAGAAACTAAAAGTACTGTTCTTAGTTTTTATTTTAATCTTATTCGTATACAAGTGCCTTTGTAATTTAGCAAATATCATTTTTGGTGTACAGTATAAATTTCCTTTTTATAAAGATCTGAGTTTTTAACTTTGCTGTCACTTTCTGTGTTTCATGACTTAAATATTTTAATTTTTTCTTTTTTTACATTTACATTTTTTATTCTAGTTCCAATTGCTAATCCAGCATTTGTGGATAGCTGCAAACTGCGATATGTAAGTAACATTTACATTTTAAAAATTATTTCTCATGGTTTTATTAAGTAGTTACAGCATACATATTTATCAAAAGCAGAGTCCTAAGTAATTATCATAAATTTTCCTGATGTAATGATGAATTTACTCATAGGCAATTTTTATGGGCATTCCAATTATAAACTTTAGAATATTTAAAAATAGCCCTTCTCCTAATATAGATACGATTCTGGGATTATCTAAGCTACTCCTGGAAACTTTATTAACTGTTGTTGTTTTTTTATTTTCGTAGAGACAAGGTCTCTCACTATGTTGCCCAGGCTGGTTTCCAACTCCTGGGCTCAAGTGATTCTCCCATCTCTGACTCCCAAAGTGTTAGGATTACAGACGTGAGCCACTGAGCCAGGCTAACTGTTACTGTTTTGAGTATTGGTTATAAAATACTTCAACCCTGATCCCTGTGTATTAATTTAGTTATACTTCCTCAAAGTTTCCCTTGGGCACCCTTATCTGTCCCTATGTAGCACATAGCTTCCCTATGATGTTATTTATAATCTAATGAGATTAATTATGATTTATAAACTCCCGATGGAAGGAAGTGTCCTTACTTTTTATAGAAGCAACATACCAGGTGGAAAGCACCGTAGATCAAGTGTTAGAAGGCTCTGGGTTCCTGTTGCCTATAAGACTTGGCCAAATGATTATCTTTTTCTCAATCTCTGTTTCCTGGGGAGTGTGGGTGGGACAAGGAAATGGCATAGGTTTAGGATTCAGACAGACCTGGGTGTGGATCAAAGATCTGCTTTCTGGGCCAATTACTTTAATTGCTGAGCCGCAGTTTCCTCATCTGTAAAATTGCGATGGGATAACTACTTCATAGATTTTTGGTAATTATTCAACTTTGAATGTGGTAAATATGTGAGATACCTGGTATAGTGCCTGTTTCTTTCTTTCTTTTTTTTTTTTTTCTGAGTCGGCATCTCCCTCTGTCACCCAGGCTGGAGAGCAGTGGTGCGATCTCAGCTCACTGCAAGCTCCGCCTCCCGGGTTCACGCCGTTCTCCTGCCTCAGCCTCCTTAGTAGCTGGGACTACAGGCGCCCGCCACCGCGCCCGCCCGGCTAATTTTTTTCACCGTGGTCTCGATCTCCTGACCTCGTGATCTGCCCACCTCAGCCTCCCAAAGTGCTGGGATTACAGGCATGAGCCACCGTGCCTGGCCGTATAGTGCCTGATTCTTAGTGGGTATTTCATTGACAGTGGGGTTGGGGTTGTAGAAGTTGTAGTTATTATCATGAAGCTTGCTTATCTCATGATTGTTAGGACAGGCACATGAAAAAACGGAGGTGAAAGGATTTTGTGAATTGTGGCAGTGGTATAATAATTATTCTTCTATGCTGGTGAAATATGGGTGAAACAATAGGAGTTTAGAAAATGTTTAATAATAAGGGTAATTCTTATTATACGTCTTCTAATGTTACTCTCGCAAAGTAAAATCTGGTAATAGAAAGTAGGATTTTTAGGTAATGGTTGAGCATTTAATACTTTGAGAAGGCTTATGGTATGCTCATTAAAAATGAATCAATGAAATATGTATTTAAACACTTTTATTTAAAACGTGTTATATACCTGAATGGGGTGCTCCCTGCTGACATTTTCAGACAGACATTCCAAATCATTTCCGAGAACAGTCATCCCTCTGTATCAGCCAGGAGAATGGTTCTAGTATCCCCTTGGATACTAAAATTAACACATACTGTTTTTTCCCCCACTGTTAAAAATTGAGGTTTGATTGTAAAACAGTTTTAATTTGAATAAAATGATACTGAGGTAGACAAGTTCTCTGGTAGGAATCTTCTTTTATTCTCTTTCTCCATCCAAAGCCACTTCCAGTGAGGTTTTCTCTGACCTCAGGTTATATTACCTTGATAGCATATGATAAAGGGTCCTTAACTTAGTCTGGGAGATAATTATTATTGAAGTAGATACTTAGTTTTGTTTTGCTTATAAAAAATTAGAATCACATGATATAGTTTTTTATGTTTGTTTTCCCCCATAACATATATATTATGTATTTTAAATGTTATCAACATTTTAAAATAAAATACATAATACTTAAGGTAAACGTTTTATATGTTGTGAATATCTGATCATTTTGTTTACTATTTTTGGATAGTATTATAATGTTGTAAACAACATTTTGATGAACATTTTTGAGATTAAATCTTCGTGCCCGCTTTTTCTTTTTCCCTTTAGGAAAGATTCATAGAACTAGAACAAATGGGTAGAAGGCAGTAAATATCTTTGTGACTTCTGAAAAATTGCTGAAATACTCTTAAAAAAACATTGTATCAATAGATAATCCCAGTCAATGTGTTTAAAATGCCTTTTGTTAGAACTTCCAACGTTGAGTATTTATCAAATTGTATATCCTTTTATCCTTGCCAATCAACTTTATGAGGTATAATTCATATATAGTAATAGTGTAATACTGTAACTTTAAAATGTGTTACTTGTAAATTACACATAATTTAAAATGTTCCATTTTAGCTATTTTTATGTGTACAGTCAGGAGATCGAGACCATCCCGGCTAACATAGTGAAACCCCCGTCTCTACTAAAAATACAAAAAAATTAACCAGGTGTGGTGGTGTGCACCTGTAGTCCCAGCTACTCGGGAAGCTGAGGCAGGAGGATGACATGAACCCAGGAGGTGGAGCTTGCAGTGAGCCGAGATCATGCCACTGCACTCTAGCCTGGGCAACACAGCAAGACTCTGTCTCAAAAAAAAAAAAAAAGATATATATGTGAAGCACAAACCAAGTGTGGGTCCGCTTCAAGAGGCTGGAACTAGAGCTTTGGACACAGCGAGTGAAAACCCTGCCCCATGAGGCTCACAGGGTGGCAGCGTGCCTCACCCACCCTCTGTTCTTCTGGACACCATGAAAATGTCACATCTGCCGATGTCCTCCAGAGTTGTTTACAGGTTTCATTTGGTTAAGAGCTTGGTTTTATATACATTGTGAGAAAAATCACCAGTTCTGTGTGAAAATTGAAATGGGGGTAGACACTGGCCCTTCCAAGCTGTGCCCGGGGAAGACCTCCCAGGCCAGTCCCAGTGGTGCTCTCAGGCAGCGTGTGGGGTTGTGAGGACAGACAGGGGCCCCTCTCAAGGTCTTTGCTGCTCCATCAAAGACAGACCCCAGGGCTTCGGGAAATCCACAGCCTGGTGGCACTGGCTCATGCAGTCCTTTTCCTGTTTCTAGTGCTGATGAGCGCTTTGACGCCACATTCCACACTAACGTGTTGGTGAATTCTTCTGGGCATTGCCAGTACCTGCCTCCAGGTAAGCTGCACCTCCTTTGTCCTCTTCCAGTTAGAAAACTGAAGCGAGTTTGGGTGTCAGTCAGTCTGGCCGGTGCCCCCGTGTGGTGGACCAGCTCTTTGCTTCGCCTTTGCTCACTCCCACCTCTTCCTCTCTCTTCTCTTCTGTGCTTCTGTGTGCTTTCTACCCCCAGAAGTCCATCCTCCTCTTTTGTCTCAATCAAGCCGTCTTTGCCACTATGTCCTTATTTTCTGCCATGTGTGCCTTAAAGCCAATGTACAAATACAGCGAGTCTCCTTTGCCGGGCAGTGGCCACCTCACCTTCCAGCCTGGCAAGCCACCTCTCCAGGCTCTGCTTCTCAGTTCCAGCTTGCCATCCTCCTCCCTGCGGGACTCAGTGTCTTGGCAGGTGCAGCGCTCCAGCTGCCGGGGGTGAGATATGACAGTTCCAGGATCCTGAGTGCGTGCGCTAAAGAGCACACGCAGGTTACAGGCAAGGTCTGGTGGTTTCAAGGGAGAGCTCTCTAGCGGCTGACTTCTTCCCAACAGTGTCTCACCTCCAAGGCTAAGTGCTCCCTGGATTGGTTCTTTCCCACCAGTCCATCTTTTCAGTCGATTCACAGGGCAAGGGAAATGGGTTTATGGCCTAAAGGTGCATGCAGAGTGCGCACTAGCATATTGATAGGAACAGCTGGGGTTTTTGATCTTTTAGAAGATTTTTAATGTGTTTATTCCAGGGTGATCTCCCACACTGCAGCTGTTTAACTTTCTGCTCAGAGGCAACCTGCAATTACCTCCACACCTAACTACCACTCACACATACGACTCACACACACACCACTCACAACCACTCACAGCCACTCACACATACCACACACCACTCACCCCTCACACACACCACTCACACACACCTCACACACACACACCACTCAGTACTCACACACACCACTCACACCACTCACACTACTCACACCACTCATACACACCACCCACACACACTGTTCACACAACACACACACCACTCACAATCACACACACCACTCACACAACCACTCACATACCACCCACGACTCAACACACACACCACTCACACAACCACTCACATACCACCCACACGACTCAACACACACACCACTCACACAACCACTCACATACCACCCACACGACTCAACACACACACCACTCACACAACCACTCACATACCACCCACACGACTCAACACTCACACACCACTCACACAACCACTCACATACCACCCACACGACTCAACACTCACACACCACTCACACAAATATACCACCCACACACCACTCACCACTCCACACATACCACTCACACAAACCACTCAAACCACCAACACACACACACCAGACACACACACACCCCTCACACACACCACTTACACACCACTCTCACACACCATACACACCACTCACACACGACTCACAACCCTCACACACACCACTTACACACATGCAGGCATGCACTCTCAAACCAGATACACTATTCACACCACTCACATACCACACATACTGGCTGTGCCTTCTCGGTTGCTGTCTGTGTGCCTTCCCTGTCAGCAGGTGACAAGCATCTGGGGGCACAGTCAGCCTTTGCTCACCTTAGCATTTATCCCTGAATGAACAAAGGAGCGAGTGAACCTGTCAATGGTAGACACCTCCCAATAATATTGGAAGAGATTGAAGAAGTCCAGCTGTTCAGGCTTCTCGAAGCATCCGCTTTCCTGCTAGCCCTGGCATTTCCTCCTACCAGCAGGACCCTTGCAAACAGGGGTAGTGGGGGGAGCCTTCCATCACTCCCGAGGTCTTTCTCGCCAGGCCTGCGTGTTGCAGCTTCTGTTATGAGGGCTATTTTAGAAAACAGCCTCCGGTAGTCACCAGTGTAGAATATGCTGCTGCAGGTTGTTTGGAAGGCTGAGGCTATTTTCAGCTGCAGGACCAGCACTGCAAGCCTCGAGCTGCCTGAGTGCAGCAGCCCCCTCTGGGGCTCCAGGCCTGTGTCCCCACTGCAGTGGCCCTGGATTCCGGTCAGGACAGGACACGTTGTCTTGTGACCATGAGGGGCTTCCTTACGCTGGCAGGAAAGGCCCAGGGCCGCCTGGATTGGGAAACCCCTGCCTGCTCCCTGGGAGTGTAGAACGAGTCCCAGGATGCTGCCCTGTCTGTAGTTAGAGGGGCATGGATAGGAAAGAATGTTTTGAGTTCAAGCTTTGAAATAGAGACTTGACCATAACATGACTTTCCCCCCCATTTCATGTGTTTATTTTTTAACAGCTTTATTGAGAGAGAATTTACATATCATGCATTTTAAGTACATGATTCAACAACTTTTAGTATATTTACAGACTTATGCAACCATTACCACAGTCTAGTTTTAGAACATTCCCATCACCCCACAAAGATCCCTTTTGCTTGTTTGCAGTTAATTCCCATTCCTACTCCCAGCAACCACTGATCTGCTTTCTGTCTCTAGAAATTCTCTGTCTCGGGCCATTATTTCGTAGAAATGGGCTCATGAAGTTACAAAGCTTTCCAACTAACTGGCAGACAAGGTGGGTTTTGGGGGGATCCAACTATTAATGGAGGGGGATTGTCTGTGATGATTCCAGATTCCTATAAACATTTCATGTAAGGACGCAAAGCATACTTAAAGGAACTTCAGGGGACAAAATGTGTATCTTTTCCCAACTCGGTTGTGGGGTGGGGTCCTTGTGTGCAAGGCTGTGGAGGCCCTTCCTGCGTGCACTCTTTCTGTAACTCAGTAACAGAAGTTTGCAGAGTGCCAGCCCTGCCCCAGGAACACCTGGACACCGAGTCTGTGCCTGTCTTCTTGTGCCATGCAGCCTTCCTCTGGGCAGGGAAGAGCACATGAGTGTAAATAACTGGAGTGGCCTCTATCTGGTTTCCTCCCCTTGGCCCTCTGGGAAATCCACTTCCAACCTGTCCTAGCCTGGAATAGCTCTTTTCAGCGGAAACTCTTCCTTCAAGCACCATCTCTTCAGCTTAAACCTATCTATCTGTTCTTGTTTTTGTTTGTTTGTTTGTTTGTTTGTTTTAACTTTTTTTCTTACAGACAGATTCTAGGTGTGTTCCCCAGGCTGGAGTGCAGGGGCTCGATCATAGCTCACTTCACTTTAGCCTCAAACTCCTGGGCTCAAGCAATGCTCCTGCCTTAGCCTTCTGAGTAGCTGGGACTACAGGCATGCATCACCTCACCCAGCTAATTTTTTTTATTAGAGATGTCTCACTATGTTGCCCAGTCCGGTCTCAAACTCCTAGTCTCAAGTGACCCTCCCACGTCAATGTCTTAGAGTCACTGGGATTACGGGCATGAGACACTGTGCCCAGCTTGTTCTGTTCTTCATCTAGAATTTAAATTAGTTAAAATTCTAGCTTTAACCAGAATTCTAGATTGTATTTCTCGATAATCATGTGTTCTTCCCATTTTTAACCTAAAGAAAATGCCTACCTCACCCCGCACCAAACAGACACACACACACACACACACACCTTTTAGATTCTATTTCTAACTTCATCATCAGGGTTATCAACTTCTCTGAGATATTTTGCATTCTTTACTTTTATTATTTAGAGTCTGAAGATGCTCATGGTAAATGCAGATTATAGAGCTAACTTTTTGCACAAAAAGCCCACAAAACAGTCTTTGAGAGAGCATGTCAGTGTTACGTTTGGATTTTAAAAGACAGTGAAGCTTAGCTGAGATTCTGTTTTACAGATTTTGCGAATAAATAAAAAGACAGATTCCGTTTGCTCTGGACTGTGTTAGCTGCAGTGCGGAGGGCGGAACCGGCTGAAGGAACTGCTGTGTATTTTCAGCACATCTCAGTCAGCTTCCGTTTCAGTCTTCTGTTTCCATCACCCACACAGGCATATTCAAGAGTTCCTGCTACATCGATGTACGCTGGTTTCCCTTTGATGTGCAGCACTGCAAACTGAAGTTTGGGTCCTGGTCTTACGGAGGCTGGTCCTTGGATCTGCAGATGCAGGAGGCAGATATCAGTGGCTATATCCCCAATGGAGAATGGGACCTAGTGGGTAAGCCATGAGACTAACCGCCTGGAAGAAAGCTTTCCTATTCCTGGGCAAGCTTTAAAAGTTTGGGATTTTCCACTGTCCTTTCCGGTGCGAGCATTTATTGAATTTTGCAGTAGTCTCCATAATTTACTGAGAGCTACAGGAGGAGAAACAGAAAACAGTTAGGATATGCCATGCTTTCCAAGAGGAACTGGCAACTGCAGTGAGGATGCATTTAAACAAACCAGTGTGAGGATAGATCTCTCTACGTTATGCAGATCCACTCCATTTCTAAAAGCAAGTTGAACAGCAAATTTCAGTTGATGGGAACCTATATTTGATTATTTTAAAATAGGAAAACAGTGATTACATTTATAACAGTGTAAAATTGGTAATGTATTATTTATAATTATTATAATCATGTGTTTCCAATCCACCAAAAGAATATGTACCAATTTGGCCAACTATCACTAAAATACTCTTAACTCTATAGTAAATCAACAAGGTTTTATTCAAGCTAATTACAACCCCCCCCTTTTTTTTTTTTAGCACTTTGCAAACTTTAGGACTGTGCTTGTGTGTGGTATACACATTGAAATAAACAGGGTAATTTATTGTATTCTAACAATGGCTCCTTCTCTCCTCCTCCCTATGGAGGAATCCCCGGCAAGAGGAGTGAAAGGTTCTATGAGTGCTGCAAAGAGCCCTACCCTGATGTCACCTTCACAGTGACCATGCGCCGCAGGACGCTCTACTATGGCCTCAACCTGCTGATCCCCTGTGTGCTCATCTCCGCCCTCGCCCTGCTGGTGTTCCTGCTTCCTGCAGATTCCGGGGAGAAGATTTCCCTGGGTAAGCGCCCCAGTGTCTGGCGGGAGTCTGAGACTGGAGACCTTCTGCTGAGATCAGCTCTGGAGGGCTCACAGCAGACAGCGCAGGACTCCATCAGGGTTCCTGGGGATTCCCTGGCTCATCCCATGGACCTCCGAGCCCACGGTGGCTCCAGGACACCAGAGGTCCCTGATTCGGGCTCCGTGCTGGACGGCTGTGTAATCCTGAGAATACTGGAGGACCCTCAGAGGATGGGGGATGCACAGGGAGGGGGCCAGCTCCATTCTGCCTTGAGAGGCCTGTGCTTTCTTCCCTCCTGCCACCCCACCTGTTCCTCAATGGCGACTGGTCATCGAGGGAACAATTTAGCTTAGTATCAGCTTGCATTTGTATGTTACAGTACCCAGTGTAATTCTTACAATCACTCCCATACGAAGCTAAGGAAACCAAGATTTTGAATGGTGGAATGAGTTTCCCAATGTCTTAAAGAGTTGCTAAACATCAGATGTAGGATATGGTAGAAATCATTCCCAAACCCATATCTTCTGAGTATGAGGTTCAGAAAGGTTGAATGTTGTATCTAAGGTCACATAGCTAGCTGAGTAGCAAACGTAAGACCTGAAATCAGGTCTCCTGACTGCATATTTTCTTTTTCCTGCTACGTGAAACTACTTCTCAATAATATTTTACAGAGAATATGAAAGATAATTGTGCCAAGTTAAATTTTTCAGTTTGTGTTGATGCTTTTAAAATTCTGGGTCCTAAACTTGTCTCCATAAGAGACTCCTTTGGGACTCTGGTAAGTGGCATGGAACGTCCCCTGGAAAATGCACACGCCCATACATAGGGAAAACGTGCATTCCACGACATTCCCCCCAGCGCCTCCCTTTCTTTTGAGTGTCAGGTTAGGAGCCCTCGTTAGACAGAATTGAGGCCTTCTTGTCTGTTTTTGTCTGAGGAACCGCTGTGTGTTTATGTTTTAGGGATAACAGTCTTACTCTCTCTTACCGTCTTCATGCTGCTCGTGGCTGAGATCATGCCCGCAACATCCGATTCGGTACCATTGATAGGTAAGGCAAGAGTTGGGCTCCTCTCTTAGAGATATGGGGTTAGGGTTAGAGTGTGCCCAGGATTTCCCAGCAGATGAAACTAGAAGAAATACGGCTGCACTGCCCCCATTTTCTCTGGAAGGTGATGATTTGCTGTAACTATTCAGAGTCACCCGGGCCCAAGTAAGGGGAAGGGGATATTCAGCTTTGAGGTTTGACTTTTATCTCACAGAAATGCCCCCCTTCCCCTCATAATTCTCCTCCTCATGCTTGCTTTGAAGCCAGATATTTCATCGTTAGAGATGCATCATTTTAGCTTAAGATGTTGTTTTCCCACAAAGCCTTTGTTAAAATGGGAGAAGCACACAGTTACTGTGTCCTGAGATAACTCAATGTCTCTGTATAAAAGTTTCTAGGGAAATATGAATGAGAAAAATATATTTTGCACAGGTATAAGGCATGATCCTCTACCCAGGGAGGGACAACAAAAACAAGTCTCCACTCCCACTGGGCAGGGAAGGTTGGAAGGAGGTATACAGACTGTCATTACACCTGCTGGCCCCTGCTGTTTGAGGACCTATGCTGTGTCTACCTGGGGGTGGGCTAGAGGGAGAGCCCTACCTGGATACCCCCAGGCTTTAGGAACCAAGCAGCAAAGGCCCTTCTTTGTGGAACTCCCTGTATGTGCAGTATTTTGGCCAGAGAAACTGTTGGTATGAAAAGCCTTTGTGGGTATCATTTTTCTCTTGGTACCATCCAGACAGGGAAGAACCACCTTTCCACCTGATTCTGACTCCATTCTTTCTACCTTCCAGCACACTGCTTTCAGTAGAGATTTGCAGCCTCCCTTCCGGGGGCAGTTGTCAGGCCTTCTCTCTCTGGACTGATGACCCGCTGGGAAAGGCTTGGTTGGTGCATAGCCCACATCTCGAAGGATGGGATGTTGATGGCCCCAGGGACATCAGCTTTGCTGCCCTCTGTTGATGGAAATTCAGTCTGGGCAATCCTTTGACCCCCATCTCTCCAGAGGTGGTTGGTCTGCTCAGGCTGCCGTGACAAAATACTATGGACTTAGGGGCTTAAATAACTAACAGAAATTTATTTTCTCACAGTTGCACTGCTGAAAGTCCAAGACCAAGGGGCCATTAGGGATGGTTTAACCTGAGACCTCTCCCCCTGGCTTGCAGACAACCACTTTCACAATGCTTTGTCCTCCCCTGGTAGTTCCTCTGTGCACCTGCATCCCTGGTGTCTCTCTGTGTGTCCAAATTTTCTCTTCTTCATTAAAAGAACACCAGTCAGATTGGATTAGGGCTTACCCTGATGACCTAATTGTACTTAATTACCTCCTTAAAGACCCTATCTCCAAGTACAGTCACATTCTAGGGTACTAGGGGTTGGGGCTTCAACATATGAATTCTAGGGGGAAGCATAATTCAGCTCATAAGGGTCACGGTTTGCTCCAGTCTCCTTCCTTTTCTCAGGGGCCCTGATGCTAACTTTAGGTCTCAAACTTCCAGCTCTGGCAGAGCTCCTCCCAGGTACCTCTTGGTCTTTGTAGGAAGGCAGTGAGTTCCTTCCTGGCGTGAGGGCCTGTGAGGGCTAGCTGAATGCTTAGCGCCCTGCACTCTGATGCTTTCCGCTTAGAGTTCAGCCCCTTGAGTGGACAGCCACACCAAAGGTTTAATAATTAGAGCTGCCCACTAAAGAATGCCCCCTCCTTTCTCCTAGACATCTTGGCCTGTGTAATTGCTCATCATTGCACAAATCCTGCAAGGAAGAAGTTCCTATTTTAATGGAGGCTACCGTAACAAATTGCTGTAGACTGGGGGCCTAAGCAACAGACATTTATTTCTCAGAGTTCTGCAAGGCTGCACGTCCTCGATAAGGGTGGCAGCAGGGCTCTGGTGAGGGGCCACTCCCTGGTTTACAGCTGGCCCTCTTCTCGCTGTGGCCTCACGTGGCAAAAAGAGAGTGAATTAGCTCTTTAGCCTCTTTTTATGAAGGACTCTAATCCCATTCATGAGGGCTGCACCCTCAGGACCTGTTGAAGGCCCCTGAGAAAATCAGTCACCATTTCTCTACTTACACAACACTTCTGACACCAAAGCGGGGCGTTTCTCCCACATCGACCAATTCTTGGAAACCAGCTGGGCGTCCTACAGTGAGTTCACTTCAGTCCTGACACCACCTGGAGTTAGCACAGCACTCACAGATTAAGGCTCACAAGACCATTTCTACTTGAGATGCCAGTTAGAAGTTCCGGCTTCCCATGCTTCTGACCAAGTGTCTATAAATCGGGGAGTTCCCAAAAGCACATCTTTGAGTTCAGCCATTTACTAGAGTGACTCACTCTAGTAAACTCAGGGAAACATTTTACTGATATTTATTCATTAATTATAAAGCACAGATGAATAGTCAGATGAAAGAAATGCATAGGGCAAGGTATTTGGGAAGGGGCATGGAACTGCCATGCCCTCTCTGCCCTCCAAACACCTCCCCGTGTTCAGCACTGGGAAGGTCTCCACAGAACTCCATCCTTTTGGGTTTTTATGGAGGCTTCACTACATAGGCATGATTGATTACATCATTGGCCACTGGCGATCCACTCAACCGTCAGTACCTCTTTCCTCCCCAGGGGTCAAGGGTTGGGAGAGGGGACAGAGCTTGAAGGTTCCAACTCTCTAATTACTTGGCTAGTTCCCCTGGCAACCAAACCCCATCCTGAGGGTATCCAGGAACCTCAGCCATAAATCATTTCATTAGCATATAAAAAGACACTGATGACTTCAGAGATTCAAAGGTTTTAGGAGCTGTGTGCCAGGAAATGGGAGGAAGACCAAATACATATTTCTTATTATAAATCACAATCTCATACCTCCCAAAGCCCCACCTCCAGATACCATCCCAGTTAGGACTAGGGTTTTAACCCATGAACTTCGTGGGGACACAAACGTCATCCTTTGTACCACCCCCATTGGAGAGCTGAGGCCCGAAGAGGCTGAGCATCCACTCCAAACTCACAGCCAGTAGCTAGTGGACCAGGATGGAAGCACTCAGATGCTCCATGCTGCCCCTCACCTGGGCCCAGGTGGAAGGACACCCATGACCCATTAGAACCAAAGCTGAGACTGAAGTTCTCGTCCTGAAAAGTCCCTGCCACTGACCCCTTCCTCAGGCTGGACAGCTGGCAGCCAGGTGGTGTGCAGGTTTGCCCTCATTGTGCCCCTGGAGCACAGTAGAGGCCTGCATCATGAACACTGGATGGTTCCCATGCCCTCACATCCAGTATTTACCCACAGGAACAAGCTTATCACCATCCTGCCAGGCGATGCTAGCTCTTATTGACTGACAAGTCGGCCAGAGTGCATGGAAGTGCAATGAAGTGAGGGAAGGTCACTCCGTGGGCGGGAAGTCAGACCACACTGGCTGGTTTTGCCCACCCAGAATGTGGGCTGCAGGCCTGGACACATGGGCATCACTGCACCCTGAGGCCCTGACGGTCAGAGAACCTGATCAGGGTGTGCCTGTCCTGTGACGTGCAGTGCCACAGGATCCCCGGGTCTCACCCTGCATCTGTTCTCTCCACAGCCCAGTACTTCGCCAGCACCATGATCATCGTGGGCCTCTCGGTGGTGGTGACGGTGATCGTGCTGCAGTACCACCACCACGACCCCGACGGGGGCAAGATGCCCAAGTGGGTACGTTCCTCCCACCCCCGATGGAGTCGGAGCCCCGCTGTAAAGGAGGCTCCTCCTAGGGTTTATTTTTAAAATCACACAAAAAACGGGCATTCCTAAAGAAATAGCTTTGGGTTTTTTGTTTGTTTTTTTGAGACGGAGTCTCACTATGTCACCCAGGCTGGAGTGCAGTGGTGTAATCTTGGCTCACTGCAACCTCCACCTCCTGGATTCAAGCAATTCTCCTGCCTCAGCCTCCCAAGTAGCTGGGACTACAGGCGCCTGCCACCACACCTGGCCAATTTTTTTTTGTATTTTTAGTAGAGATGGGGTTTCACTATGTTGGCCAGGCTGATGTCGAACTCCTGACCTCGTGATCTGCCCACCTCAGCCTCCCAAAGTGCTGGGATTACAGGTGTGAGCCATTGTTCCCAGCCAGAAATAGCTTTGTTTCTGTATTTCGTCACCTATTGACGTGTCTTTGTGTAGTGTGCAGTCATGGTGCACGTGTTCCCGGATGCCCCGTGGCACTGCTGTCTAATCTAACTGCAGAGTAGAGTAAGGCTCTCAAACTGGCTGCCCTGTGTGTTCTATCAATCAGCACGGTGTTTTGAGAAGCTAGTTTGTTTTTTGATGCATGCCGTGAAGCACTGTGCTGCAGTTGGAAGCAACAGATGAGACAGATGCGTAGCAACATGGTTGAGGCTTCACAACAGAATGAGGAGCAAAGAGTAAGAAACAGAATGAGCTGTGTACAAATATGTACGTTCAGTACATCTAGGGATATCATCCAACCAGAAGTCTATGAAACAAAGACTAATTGTCACCAGTGCAGAAGGGGGAAGGGATAAAAGGAAACGGATGAAAACAGAAAGGATGGCATCCCACAGCCTGTCAGCTTAGCCTGGGCCATACCACTCCTGCCCCAGCTGCTGGCACCGTGCCCGGCCACATCTGCGGATGCTCACCCACCCAGGGATCCTCTCCTGCACGGTGTCCAGAGCTCTGCATCCACCCTTGCCTGGCAGTCAGGAAACCTTGATGAGGGCCTAGGGAGGGCCTGAGCTTCTTCCCCTCTTCATGTGAGCTTTGTAAAGCTTCCCCGTCCTCCTGTCTAGAGAGCCTGGCCTAAGGATTTGGGGAGCTAAAAAGGCCCTCACATTCCAAAAGTTGTCTGTCTTTGGAGAGCACTTGTGTCCCAGTTCAGAAGGGAATCTAGGAATCACCAACAAGCTAAATGCAGCTGTAGGGGGTGAGATGCTGTCAGGCACCCTCCAGGAATAGGGGATTGCTGGGCCTCCTGAAACAGTCATTGTGGAGTTGTTACCTGAATGCTCACTTAGCAAAGACTGCTTCTTAAGAAATGCTTTACAAAATTACTGTTTCTTCTCAGAGTTTCACCCACATGGCCCATTCCCCTTATACACTATTTAGTAAAGACTTACCTGTGAGCCCACCACAGTGGTGTGTGGCTGTAGTCCCAGCTACCTGGGAGGCTGAGGTGGGAGGATCATGTGAGCCCAGGAGCTCCAGGCTCCAGTGAGCTATGGTGGTGTCATTGCCCTCCAGCCTGGGTGACAGAGCAAAACTCCATCTCCTAAAAAAAAAAAAAAAAAAAAAAAAAAAAAAAAAAAAAAGACTCACTTGTAGCTCATTACACAAGCAGTAATGTGAGCTCAGCCTACATGGTGATGTCTCACACACAGACCACATCACTACATTCCCTGAGGCTTGTTTTGTGAAGGCCCCCCCTTAAAACACTGGGGTACATTTGCACACATTCACCTGTATTTTTGTCTGATTTCCTTATAACGCTGACCCACACTTAAGAAAATGCAAGGCCAGAGGTGAGAGGCCTGAGAGCTGGAGGCTTGTTGGTTTGCTGCTCTTTCTGTCTGTCCATCCATCAGTTTGAAGCAGGTAATACATTTACCTGTTTCTAAAGTCAAAATAAAATTAAAATTATACATAAGGAAATCCTGCTCCCATTCCTTCCCCTTTACCCTGCATCTACCGTCAATACTGATAACCGTTTTAATGAATTCCTTATTTTTCCTTCTAGTATTTATTTATGCAAATACAAAAATCTAAACATTCTCATTTCTTGTAAGTATTTTGACTGATGAGAAGATAAGAGAATTAAGACATTGAGACACAAAACCATTTTTAACGACCTGGAGCACTCTACTGCTCTAGAACAATCTTAATTAAGAACATATGCTAATTATTCACCTCTCAGCATAAAAGCTTATTAAAACCAATTGGCTGCAAATGAAAGATGAAGCTTATGCATTTCTCTTGCTTTATATAGCACACTGCATTTTTCTTTCATTCCATGTGTATGTGAAACACAAACAGCCTCCGAGGGACTTTTATTATGATCTGTTGCTATGAAGAAGATACTGCCGGGTGCAGTGGCATTATGTGACATTTGCACAGCCAGAAACAAAACTGTAGCCTAACAGAAGAGGTCAAGAGCACAGTTTGAGGAGTGCCAAGAGGATAATTTTATCTTTTAAATGCTTTGGCTTTGAAAGTTAATGATTCAGGCCATGGAATTCAAAATGGACTTGGCAGAGTGTATCGTATGAGCTTGAGATGTGCACTGGGGGACGTGTAGACCCTGCCATGGAGGGAGAAGTGCCTGGTGCTGCTCGCTCCCTGTGTGCACTGCTGCCACTGGATGCAGGCACACTCACTGCCCTGCAGCCTCCCAGGAGAGCTGGCTCAGGCTTTCTGGTGCCTTCCCAGAGGGGTGGGGTTGTGCAAGTTTTGAAGAGAATCTTACAGACCCTTTGACAGATGAGACTGGGAAAGGCTAAACATGTGAAGTGACATAACCACTTACTTACTCATTGTACATCGTTGGGCCAGTTTATTAGCCTCTTTGAACCTCAGTTTGTTGGTCTGTAAAGTGAGGGGATTATACTCATTTCACCGGACCCTGAAAGGCCCAAGTGAGATGACTTATCTCATGAGCCTTGTATGGACGGCCCAACTCACCCAAGGTTTCACCTGGGGCCATATGTCCCTGCTCCTTACTGATCATAAAAAACCCTCCAAGGTCAGCAGACCCAACCTTTCCAGGACACGCAGAGTGCCGCCTGCTTGTAAAGTACAATGGGAAACAAAGGGTTATTTTTATAGCTGCAGTGAAACTGGTCTTGTGCTTCCCTGTTCTTGTCCCCAGACCTGTTTGTTGCAGTTATCTTTGATGTTATAAAAAGATGACCAAGAATGAAAGCTCTGCAGATACGAACTGCACAATTTACTATCTGTATATTTATTTCCTAAAGATAGGAAATAAACCTGTTAGGTTACTGATGGAATTTCCCCAAAATCATAAAACAAAATGTAAATGAAATCAGGATCTGGATAATTTCAGGGAAAAGGCCCACTTTTCATACACTTTACATGGATGGGCTTGCAAGAATGCTTCTTTACCTGGATTGAGGCTTCAGTTGTCTCTCTTCTTTCCATGAGAGGCAAAACCAGGATAAACTCCATGGTGATTTTTCTCCAGCTTCTTTCATGCACTCTAGGACACACTTTAGACCAGAAGTTAGCAAATTATGGCCTAGGTGGCCAAATCCAGTCCACCAAGTGTTTTTGTAAATAAGTTATTTTAGAAAACATGCCCATCCATTTGACGCCTTCAATGTGTGCTACATCAGCAGAAGTGAGTAGTTGCCTGGCCCTTTACAGAAAGTTTGCCAACTTCTGCCTTCAACTTTTCAAAGTACTCTCCCAGACATCATCTTATTCGGTCTTCATTGAAGCCTACTGAGTTAGGTTAGAGGTTCCGAAACTGCCTTGGTTCACAGCACGTTAGTATCTCAGGAAATTTTTCACAGAGCCCCTGGCCAAAAGAAATAATACCCAAGGCTCTCTTTTTAAATAGATCAAAACACTTTAATAAGTATTTGTGCCTTAACAATGTAGCACCTATGGGGCACGGCACCGCCTCTCAAATCTTGGGATCAGATTGGAGACCACTAACCTAGTTTCTGTTTCACATGAAGTTCCTTGGTGTTTGCTTTTTATCAGGGTACTTTGAAAAACAGCTTTGCAAAGTGGTCACGTCATCACAAGAGATGTGGTAATCTGATGTTGGAAGCCTGAACTGCTTCAAGCTTCAAGTTTACCTGGTGTCTCATGGATATCCTGGGATTGCATTTGAAAATGTACAACCTCCCCCAGACACTCTTTGCGAATTTGCAGTGGCCTTCCAGGGCACCTAACAGGTAGTGTGGGAGCCAGAGTTAGATCTGAAGGTCCCCGGGTTACAGATGAGGAAGGATCAGAGAGGGAAATTGACTTTCCCTCTTTACACAGCTCAGATAGCCTTCCCCTTCCACGAAGCTGTCTTCCCTGAGATTGCAGTGTGCCTGCCCCGGAGAACAATTTAGCTTGTTCCCAGGGTGCATCAGTTTTAGTCTTGCCTCACGTTGAACTCGACTGCTTGTCATACGCAAGCACTGCTTGCCTGCTAAAATCATCCGGGAGGCAGTGGAGGCTGCTACCCCCAGGACCAATGAAGCAGGGCTTGTATTGTAGGATCTTACTGCTGTTGGGATCAGCCCGTGTCCGCCTCAGGGCTGCTCTTAACGTTCTGTTGTCTCCCCAGACCAGAGTCATCCTTCTGAACTGGTGCGCGTGGTTCCTGCGAATGAAGAGGCCCGGGGAGGACAAGGTGCGCCCGGCCTGCCAGCACAAGCAGCGGCGCTGCAGCCTGGCCAGTGTGGAGATGAGTGCCGTGGCGCCGCCGCCCGCCAGCAACGGGAACCTGCTGTACATCGGCTTCCGCGGCCTGGACGGCGTGCACTGTGTCCCGACCCCCGACTCTGGGGTAGTGTGTGGCCGCATGGCCTGCTCCCCCACGCACGATGAGCACCTCCTGCACGGCGGGCAACCCCCCGAGGGGGACCCGGACTTGGCCAAGATCCTGGAGGAGGTCCGCTACATTGCCAACCGCTTCCGCTGCCAGGACGAAAGCGAGGCGGTCTGCAGCGAGTGGAAGTTCGCCGCCTGTGTGGTGGACCGCCTGTGCCTCATGGCCTTCTCGGTCTTCACCATCATCTGCACCATCGGCATCCTGATGTCGGCTCCCAACTTCGTGGAGGCCGTGTCCAAAGACTTTGCGTAACCACGCCTGGTTCTGTACATGTGGAAAACTCACAGATGGGCAAGGCCTTTGGCTTGGCGAGATTTGGGGGTGCTAATCCAGGACAGCATTACACGCCACAACTCCAGTGTTCCCTTCTGGCTGTCAGTCGTGTTGCTTACGGTTTCTTTGTTACTTTAGGTAGTAGAATCTCAGCACTTTGTTTCATATTCTCAGATGGGCTGATAGATATCCTTGGCACATCCGTACCATCGGTCAGCAGGGCCACTGAGTAGTCATTTTGCCCATTAGCCCACTGCCTGGAAAGCCCTTCGGAGAGCTCCCCATGGCTCCTCACCACCGAGACAGTTGGTTTTGCATGTCTGCATGAAGGTCTACCTGAAAATTCAACATTTGCTTTTTGCTTGTGTACAAACCCAGATTGAAGCTAAAATAAACCAGACTCACTAAATCCTTTCCAATAATTGACTGGTGGAAGGAAAACAAAAAACAAAAACTAAAAACCTCTTAGCTTTTCTGCAATTCAACTTTTTATTTTTATTTTTATTTCTATCAAAGACGGTAGAGAGAAACAGCTTGATGCTGTTTCTACATCAAAAAAAAAAAAAAAAAAGACAGACTGTTGGTCTTACTAAGGATGTTTTTACCAGCCTGCCTGACTTCTGCAAACCTACCCTGTCAAGGAGATCAAAGGGACGCAGGTTTCTGTTTATTCTGAACAAGGGCCAGGCCCCGCGGAGTGTCTTTGGTGGATCCCAGATAACTCCTAGGTGCTGCTCTCAGACACTGAGGAGTTGAGCAAATCTGTTCTATTCTGCAGAACCCATAGGACAAATAAGAGTTCTACTAGAATTAACAGCCCAAAAGAATAGCTACAGCTAAGTGAAGCCACTTACGTGGGCTTTAAAAAAATAATGTGTTAGCTGATTCACATGCACTGGAGTTAATTAGTCTTAGAAATGTGTGCATCCATACAAATGCACAACATAAAGTGAACATATTCCTAGGCCCTTTCTGCCTGTGTCAGGGCCAGGAAGTAGAGGCTGGGAACTCTTCTGGTCCCCAGTATGGCAGGCGCCAGGGAGGGGATGGTGTGGCCCATCCCTTCTCTGGATACCTGGCCAGTGGCAGGCAGCAGGGAGGAGCTGGCCGACCCTCAGTGACTGACAAGCCAGCAATTCTGAGTTCTGGCCTTTGGGAGTCTGCCTGCTCCAAGCCAGTCCACCCCAGCTGCAGCCCCAAAAGCTGGCTCAAAGTCCTTGGGTGGATTCACTGGAGATGGGCAACTTAAAACAAGAGAAACTTTAATTTTTAAACCTAAGTGATGATACAGCTCTTCCCTTAGATTATCGCCCAGGCTGGAGTGCAGTGGCATGATCTCAGCTCACTGCAAGCTCCACCTCCTGGGTTCATGCCATTCTCCTGCCTCAGCCTCCCCCCGAGTAACTGGGAATACAGGCGCCCGCCACCATGCCTGGCTAATTTTTTGTATTTTTAGTAGAGATAGGGTTTCATCATGTTAGCCAGGATGGTCTCATTCTTATTCTTTAATGAGATCAGAGGGTAATTCACCAAGAAAGACCTCTCCTGTTCCATTGTGTCATCCAACAACTGCTCAGAGCTCAAAATTATAGAAGGCTTCTGAGCCCCTAGAGATTTTTAATTTGCTTCTAATCCCTGAGGTGGGAACATCATGAGGGAAGATTTGATTTTCAGAGTTAAATAAATTGTATGTGCTTTTCCAGCCATCTGGCTCACTCATTTCTGGGTAATGCACATGACTTTGTTTGCACTGGAGGAAGATGGAAGCTTGCGTGTGTGCGGTGTGTGTGTGTGTGTAAGTGTGAGGTACCTTGTGTGTGACAAGAGACCTCACTTACGAGAAAGTTGGTGGATCAGGACATTCCAGCCTCAGGCGGCTTGGAGCAGGATCATTCCTCAGCAGGCATTCCTTCCACATGCTATGGATGAACCATGCACAAGATTTTCGGTTTTTTTTTTCTGTTTTGATATATAAAAGGAATGCTTCATTTCTTATCATTATCCCAAAATTGATCCCTCCCACATTTTTGCTTTAAAAAGAAACCTTTTTGGTTTTGTATTTTATACAGGAACACAAAATGCAAACAAGTTGTGCATATTTTGGACTCTCAAATAACTACTCTGTCCTTTAATAAAGTAATAATAAGGAATAGATGTGCACATAGTTAGAAAAGTATGAGTGGTTAAAAACAACAGTCTCCCATACTGCCTGTTTTCTCTCTCAGAGGGGACCACTAATGAGCTTCTAAGGGCATTTCTAGAAAGGAAGAAAAGAAGATAAGAGGCCAAAGAAGGAGGGACGGGGGTTATGGAGAGAGACCTTCCCTTTCCAGCACTAACGCTCTGTGAAGGGCGCTGCACCTTGCATTCTTCATGTGGTGTTTTGTCTTAGAGGTCGTCCCATAATAACATATAAAGATCTACCTCATTCCTCCTAGTAGCTGCTTAGCATTCCATTATCTCAGCGGACTATCATTTATTTGAATAGCCTTTTATTGGTGAACATATGGATACTTCCAGTTTTTATTTTTATATACAAATCTATAATTGGCATACTTGTACATACATCTTGACATAGTTTTGTGACTAAAACGGTATAAATTCCAACTTAGAAATGGAATTGCTGGGTTTAAGGCTACATGTATTTAAAATTTTGATAGCTATTGCCAGATTATCTTCTAGAAACTGATCGAAGGATGTAACTCCATCAAGAGTACAATAAAAGGCCCAATTTCTCAGCTTTCTATAATAGCACTGGGTATTTTCAAACTTAATGTTTTTCCCAATATAATTGGTGAAACATGATATTTACGAATATTATTCTGATTTTGGTTTATTTTGTGTATAAAATGGGACATCTTTTAAAATTTTTTTGTAGTTTTAATTTTGATACATTTATATATTTTACCCAGTTCCTAATTGGGTTATTTGGCTTTTTCTTAATTTGCTCATGCACTTTGGGACATTTTTGTCTTATGTCTTTAAAATATTTTTATCATTTGTCTTTCGATGTTATTTATTGATTTCCTTATTTATTGGCATAGAGTTTAAATTTTTATGTTGTCAATTTGTGAGTATTTTTCTTTGTCGATCGTGGGATTTGTTTCCAGTTTTTAAAAGCCTTCCTCATTCTGAGATTATAAATAGACTTACTCGCATTTTCTTCTGAAACTTTATGGTTTTATTGGTTTACCTTCACATCTTCAGACTCCCTGGAATTCATTTGTTGCAGGACATGAGGGAAAAATCCATACTTTTTCCTCGAAATGGTGGTCAGCAGTATCAATAAATATGTAATAATGCATTTCTAAAATACAGTCATAGTGTTTTCCCCAGTTGTTCAAAATGCAGCCTTATTTGTAAACTAAATTTCTTTAAGTGTTTGGTTCTGTTTCTGTTCTATTTATCTCTATGAATGCCTTTCATTTCTAAAGCATTATTCATACTAATATCAGTATTTTCAAGTCAACACTCCCATCAACTCTGAATCTCTCTCTCATATGAATCTTTTTTCAATTAGAGTCACAATGAATTTACAGATTGAGTCTTCCTATTCAAAAGCATGAAATCTTGTGTTTAAGTCTAATTTTATGTAACTTAGTAGTGTTTTATGATTTTGTTCACTAAGGTGCTTTGAATTTATAGTTTATTTCTAGATGTTTTATCATTTGGCTATCATTTTCAATGGAATGATTTATTCCACTTTATTTTCTATTTTATCCCATTGTATAAGAAAGTAGTTGGTTTTTATGTATGAATGTTATAATCAACCACAAATTGTGATTCCTACTTGTTTCTAAGGTATACTTTTGACTTCTCCTTTCCAATGTGTCTCTTATTTCTTTCTTGTATCTAGTTGATTTGAGATCAGTGTTGAGTCACAGTGATTCAGGTGGCATGCTTATCTTGTTCGTGACATCAGTGGGACGTTTTAATGTCTCAGCGTTTAACTTGTATGAAGACATGTATTTTCCTTGCCATAATAAAAAAGTATCTGTGTGTTCTCAAACTATTAAGACTCTCTGGGGAAAATGTAGATGTTAGATTTTTGTCAAAGCCTTCTCAGTGTCCAGAGGGATTATCAGAAGGTCTTTTCCTTTGCTCTAGTAGTATGTTTAATTATATTAATAGAATACTTAAGACCAAATCATTAGTGTATTCCTGAGATGTTCTTTACTTATTAGTATCATGACTTTGGTTATCAATATTTATAATTAAGATTCATCATTCTACATCTTGCTTTTATGTGTTTTTTGTCCAGATTTAACTTTATGCTGACTTAAAGGAAGAAATATTATAAAACAAAAACCTCTATATTCTACAATCATCTATTGGTTTTGGATTATTTTCTGCTTAAGTGTAGAAGAACTAGCTGGGGCTGTCTGGGCCTGCCGTGGTATATTTCTGGATTTTGCTCATCAGGCAAGTTAGGTCCTCGAGCCCTTCTAGAGTCCATTTTAATGACATTTTTAAAAATAAAATTAATTCCATCCACTTTTCAACATAGTTGCGTAGTTTTGTAATATATGCACTTCAGGTGTTTTCTTTCCTCTGTATTTGTGGCTTTTTCTCCTTTTTCCGTTTGTAATTGTGTGCATTTCTCCTTTCTCCCGTGCCTATTGATTTAGCTTGCCATGAGTTTTACCGGTTTATATTTTTAAGACATCGGACCCTTAGACTTTGCAGTCCGAGGACCTGTCTGCAGGGTCTTGGGGGTCCCTGCGTTGACCCAGCCCTCCCAGGTGACAGCAGTGGGCCAGCACAGCAGAAGCCACAGTTGTTGCAGGTGCTTCTCCAGCCAGTGCTGGGCCCAACACACGGTTCAGCCCTTCCTCTGGGCCCTGGGAGCCTGTGGGACAAACTAGTCGGGGCAGCATGGTGGGTTAGATGTAGCTGGTCATTGCACTCACGGGGACCCCAGTGAGTTGGAGAAAAGACTGACAGAAGCTTTAAGCAGAGCCCCCTGGAGGTGCACGCCTCAGGAAGGAACTCTTACATAATTTAACTTTTTCTCATTCCTTCATTTTTTATGTGGTACAAACCCTTCCCAACCTCCCTAGACCTTCCGTCTATCAGTGTTTCTGACCTCACCATGGATAGCTCCTTTTGTAATTACTGTTTACTTCATATGCGTTTGACCTTCTAATGCCATAGCTTGTCCTGAGTTGGGGAAGGGGTCTCAAAGTTATGGCCCCTGGGGATGCGGCCCACAGATTCTATCTTTCTCAAACTCTTTGTGACGAGACGCCCCCTGTGTTTGCACACAGCCCGCTTCGGGAATGCCACCTTTCTGCAGTGCTGCAGTTCCACACTCTTTCTTGTCTTCTCTCCACCGTCACGTGTAACATTTTGCACTGCTTTCTAAATTTCCTTTTTTTCTGCCAATGGCCTTCCTACCATTTCCTCTGCTGCTGTGTTAGAGTTCTGTGTGTTCACCTTTGATAAATACTTCCCATCAACAAATTCTGCAGGTATGTTTTCTAATTTTTAGTTTTCTGCTTTTATCTTTAATATTTTCATTCTATTTTACTTTTTAAAAATTATTGTATATTTTTAAATTTTCGTAAAATATACATAACATAAAATTTATCATTTTAACCAGTTTTAAGTGTACCATTCAGTGTCATTAAATACAGTCACATTGTTGTACAGTCTTCACAACCACATATTCCCAGAACTCTTTTCATCTTCCCAAATTGAAACCCTGTCTCTATCAAACATCAACCACTCTTGTTTTGGTCCTTTTTTTTTTTTTTTCTTTTTTTGAGACAGAGTCTCATTTTATCACCCAGGCTAGAGTGCAGTGGTGCAATCTCTGCTCACTGCAACCTCTGCCTCCTGGGTCCAAGCGATTCTCATGCCTCGGCCTCCAGAGTTGCTGGGATTACCAGAGCACACCACCAATCCCAGCTAATTTTATATATTTTTAGTAGAGATGGGGTTTCACCACGTTGGCCAGGCTGGTCTCAAACTCCTGGCCTCAAGTGATCTGCCTGCCTCCTCCTCCCAAAGTGCTGGAATTACAGGCGTGAGCCACCACACCTGGCCTCCTTTTGGTCTTTATAAATTTGGCTAGGTACCTGATACAAGTGGATTCATATAGTATTTGTCCTTTTGTGACTGACTTATTTCACATTACATGAAATAAGATATCCTCAGGATTCAGCCATGATCCTTTTACTTTTTTTTTTTTTTTTTTTTTGAGAGGAAGTCTCGCACTGTCACCCAGGCTGGAGTGCAATGGCGTCATCTTGGCTCACTGCAACCTCCACCTCCCGAGTTCAAGCAATTCTCCTGCCTTAGCCTCCTGAGTAGCTGGGATTACAGGCACCCACTACCACTCCCGGTTAATTTTTTTTTTTTTTTTTTTTTTTTGTATTTTTAGTAGAGGTTGCACCATGTTGGCCAGGCTGGTCTCAAACTCCTGACCTCAGTTGATCTACCCGCCTCAGCCTCCCAAAGTGCTGGGACTACCAGCGTGAGCCACCGTGCCCAGCCAGTTCTCTTCTACTTTTATTTTGTTGTTGTTGTTCTAAGTTATTCAATAGATGCCTAATTCATGTGTTTCCAATTATTCTTATTTAATCAGATAAGTATTTTTGGCTCTGCATTTTATTCTGATCAAAGCTTTAACAGCAGTCCATACGTCTTAATATGCAATGTTTTCATTTGTATTTTCTGGATATTCTATAAGTTGAATTGTTGTACCTTCTTCAAGCTGACTTTTTAAATAAAGGCTAGTGAAGTGAAGCAGCAGTGGAAATGGAAAAGGAGCAAAGAAACCTGTAACTGCTTGTAATCAATTCCTTGTACACCCCACTGCACTCAGACCAGCCCGAACTGAGCTTTGTTGAGTGTTTTAAAATTTCCACATTTTTTAACTTAAAAATTAATTTCTAGTTACATTACCTTATGCTTTAAGCAAAATGCCTTTTGTTCTATTTCTAATATTTATAATGTGCTGAGGTGTTTCTGAGGGGTTTGTATGATCAGTGCCTGTGAATGGGTCCCTCTCTGAGAACGACCTGGGCGGGTGTGTGGGAGTTCCACCCCTGGCTTTGCTCACTGGCCTGGCTGGGGCCACGCTCCCTGTCAGCAGCATTCCTCTTTCAATCATCCTTCCATTTACCACAGGATGTTTAACGATTTACCGGATTTTCATTCTATTTTCAATACTTAACCTTGAATTCACATTTGTCTGCTTTTAAAATCAGCCCCACTGATTTCTTATGCTGAGATGCCTCTCTCGTTCATTCTTACACTCACACAACACCTCCCGTCTCCACATGTGTGGGGAAAAATCCCACCCATTCGCCAGCACCAGCTGGGTGTCCTACCGTTCAGCTCAACTCTGACACTAACTGGAGTTAGAGCCAGCCCCACAGGGGAGGGGCTCAATTCCCAGGACTGCCCTGCTCCAGATGCCAGTTGTAAGTGGTGGGTCTGCAGGTCACCCACAGCTTCTGTCCAACTTGGCTATAAATCGGAGGTTCCCACGCCCCCCTTCTTAGGTCCAGTCATTTGGTGGAACAGCGCAGAGAACCCAGGGCAACACTACTATGTTTATCCACTTATTATAAAGAATACAGCCAAATGGGAGAGAAATACAGGAAAAGATATGGTGGGGGTGGGTATGGAGCTGCCATGGCCTCTCCAGGAGCACCACCACGTGTTCCCCAACCCTGAAGCTCCCGCACCTGTACTTAGGAATTTTTAAGGAGGCTTCATCATGTAGGCATGATTGATTATTGATTCAATCTCCAACTCCTCTTTCCTCCCTAGAGGATGGGGTGTGGGGCTGAAAGTTCCAAGCTTCTAACCATGGCTTGGTCTTTCTGGTGACCAGCCCTCATCTAGGATTCCACCAAGAGTCGTTCATTAGAACAAAAGATGCTCCTATCACCCAGGAAATTCCAAGGGATTGGAAGCTCTGTACCAGGAACCCAGTCAAAGATGCTCCCAACCAATATTAGAACAAAAGATGCTCCCAGTACCCCCATCACTCAGGAAATTACAAGGGTATTAGGAGCTCTGTGTCAGAAACTGGAGACACAGACCAATATGTATTTCTTATTATTTTATACTCAATTTTATGTTTAACCTTTTTGAGGCACTTTGTTTTAGGTTTATTTATCTTGGATCTGCACTTATATTTTTAATACATATTGCTGATATATTTGGTTTAATATTTTTTTCAATATCTGTAATTAATATTTCTTTTGCATTCCCTTTTGGATTTTTTTATTTCCCCCCTCCTTCTGATTATGTGCAATCCTTTTGTTAAAATGAAAGATTTATTGCTTTTATGTGTTTAAGTGGTTACCTATATAATTTTACATAATTCAACCTATAGTTCATGATTTATCAACCTGACAGTTTCTATTAATTCTCCACTTCTCACTTCAAACCCCAATATATTATTAGTTATCTTTTTGTTTTTAGGTTTTCTGCAGGTTCCTTATACAACACTCTGTGATATGCTTTAATATTTATCAATTCAGAAGAGTATCTGTTGACTACTATTGAGAGAAAATTGAAAGATGTTTAATAGGATGGGCAATTCATTCATTTTGTGGTGATCTTCCCTTTTACCTAATTTTCATAGTGCAATTATCTTTGTTATTTTTACAAATTCATGAGTTATAACATTTACTTTCTGAAATTAATTTCCTACCATCACATACATGGTATATTTATTTATGCAAAATGAATTTTCCTTCTTTTTCCTCATTTTGGCTTGAATATGCAATGATGTGTTTTATTCCTCTTATTCCCTTTGGAGATCTGAAATTCTTCCTCTATGATGGTAGCTTTGTTATTTTTGGCATTGTCTATTCTGTTTCCTGCTATTTACAGTTCGGGTAGGTTTTTTTTTTTTTCTTCCCGTTCTGAAATGAGTTTTTGCTCTTCAATTTGTTTCCAAAACTCTGCAATTTACCTTTCATTTTGCTTTTCTATCTTTTAGCTCTTTTTTATTGAAATCGATTTCTTACTAACTTCTTACACAACATTTTGGAGAACTTTCTTGCATGGATTCAGTTATATATTTTGCTGCAGAATGAAATCTTTGTCTTTCTTTACAGACCATGGTCCACCCTGTGTTCACTGTTCCCCTGCAGTACATTTGCAGGAATGCCTTGCCATTTATTTCACTCTTACTTTTGCTTAATTTGGGCAGCTCCATGTGGATCTTTAAATTCCTCTGAAAAAGCAGGTCTCAGCCCCTTTCAGACTCTGTGCTCCCCCTTCTTCCTGCTTTCCTGGCCTGGGGTTCTGAGAGGAAGGCCAGCCCCTAGGATGGACAGCCTGGGCGTTTTTGTCTTTACTTTGTTGCTGTTGATGTTGGTCTGTTGGTGCTCCAATACATCTTAGGCATTACCCTGGAAGGAGATCTATATCATTATTTATTGCTCTAATTCATGAAATTCTGGGTCTTTGGGGTGAGTGAACTCTTATTCAGCTTTCTCAGTTAGCCGCGTACTCCCGGTGAAATTTCCCAACCTCTCTCCTTACACCCTTCAACCTCCAGTCAGGACAGATAAAATGTCCATGGATTTGGCTGTTAGGGCTGGTAGTTGGAGGGCTGGTGGGAGCAGGAATTTGGTTATAGTCACATCCCCTTTCCTTCCTGCCCATAGGGAAGACACCTGAAGACCTCCTGCCTGTGACTTTCCTGCATCTGCTGAGATCCTTAGTGGGAGGCGGGACTTCTGCACTCATGGGCTCTCTTAAAACTTTTTCCCTCCAACTTACAACTTCCCTTCTCAATGAGCCTCACTCGAGACTGGCAGCGTAGGGTGGGGAGAGGGATCCGCTATTTGGGTTGGAGGGACACGCGGGGTGGGTCGCACTGATTCAGAGTCTGTCCTTTGCAGGCCCACACCACCTTCTTCTCTGTGTCCTCCTGGCTGCAGCGCTTTGAAGAGTGTGGCAGGAGGCTCCATCATTCTGTGTTGCTGCTGCTGTTTGCTATTGTTGCTTTTTTGGGCAGCGATATCTCTGATCCTGCCTTCCTCCACTCGCAACGCGTTGATAGTCACTGACCACATATTCAGGGCAATGGGTAACAATGGAGAGAGAGTGTGTTATGTCTCAGCACCAAGGCTGCTGGTAAATTATATTCCCAGTAATTTTAGAAGATTGTGGCAGATGCTTTTCACTTCATGTTGAAGCTATTCATCTTTACATTGAAGGACCTTATGAAGCTACAGAGTTTAATCTTTTTCCAACTATATTTGCCCCCTTTTCTTTCTGTGGTAAATGAAAACGGCCAAGAATTCGCCATTTAGTATCTTTGTATTAATATGAATAGTGTAATTGTTTTTCAAACACATTATTTTAAGCTGTCATTTAAGATAAAGATAGTCTTGGTGAAATCAATATGTCAGGGTTAAAGTGAGTATGTTTTTCTCCTACACATTTTGGTAATTACCATACAGTCACCCCCATCTGTGGCGTTGCTTTCTTTTCTTTTTTTTTAGACAGAGTCTTGCTCCGTCACCCAGGCTGGAGTGCAGTGGCGCGATCTCGGCTCACTGCAAGCTCTGCCTCCCAAGTTCACGCCATTCTCCTGCCTCAGCCTCCCAAGTAGCTGGGACTACAGGCGCCTGCTACCACGCCCAGCTAATTTTTATATTTTTAGTAGAGCTGGGGTTTCACCATGTTGGCCAGGCTGGTCTCGAACTCCTGACCTCAGATGATCTGCCCAGCTCAGCCTCCCAAAGTGCTGGGATTACAGGCGTGAGCCACCACACATGTCCTGTGGTGTTTCTTTCTGTGGCTTCAGTTATCTGTGGTCAACCACAGTCAGAAAATAGGCGAAGACAATAAGATGTTTTGTGACAGAGACCACATTCACATAACTTTCATTACAGCATATGGTTATGATTGTCCTATTTTATTGCTAGTAAGTGCTGTTAATTTCTTACTGTGCCTAATTTATACATTAAATTTTATCATAGGTATGTATATATCAGAGAAAAAACATATGTAGGGTTCACTACTACCCAAGGTTTCAAGCATCTACTGTGGGTCTTGGAACATATCCCTGTGGATAAGAAGGCACTACATTACAATATAGACTTCTGTTGTACTTTTCAAACATCATAATGCTCAAGAAATTACCATCCACTTGGAATTAGAATTTGCTGCAGTCCCAGCCATACTTCAGCATGCCCCCTGTGCCCTGGTCAACCTTGTTGGTTCTCTGGCTCCCATGTGACCATATTAAACCCCGCCAGCATCCTCATTGCCAAGCCCCAGGTGGTGTCTGGAGAGGGACGTGGGCTTAGTCACTTAAAAACACAGTGCCTCAAATCCTTTGTGGAAAAGACAAGTTCATGCTATTCAATTAGATTCAGAATTTCCAAATATACAGAAGCTCAGAGCTCGTCTATGGCATCAGGTTCCAAGCTTTTTTTTTTTTAAAGGTTAGTTCAAGTACAAAAGATAAGAGTATTTGTTCCAGAGACAGGTCTGGGGGACTTTGGTGTCTGGCCTTAAAGAGAAATTGTGAAGGAGTCATTTTGAAAATGGTGTTGGTGTGTACTGGGGCCTCAGCCAAAGAGACTTGGGCTCAGGAGGCAGTGGGTCAGCCAGGCAGATGGGGGCTCATCCGCGTGTCTGTGACTGGGGGAGACAGGGACCCTGCCATCAGGAGGGAGCAGGAGTGGCAGCAGTGGGGGCCAGCAGTAGGTGTTTGTTCCAGGTTCCCTGAGCTCTCCTGAGATTCTTCCAGACTCCTGGAAATAACTGGGCAGAGGAGAGCCAAAGCCAACTGGCTGAGGTCAACCCACAGCTGCAATTCAGATTCACATGGATGTGATCCCATTGAACTGCAGGCTGAGATTCAGTCCATTCACCTGAGACATGTGAGACCCCGTTGTGGTCTGAATTAAGATTCTTCAAATTTATATGTTGAAGCCCAACCACCGTACCTCAGACTGTGATCTTATTTGGAGAGGGCCTTTAAAGAGGTAATTGAGTTAAAATCAGGCCATGAGGGTGAACCTTAATCCATTCTGACTGGTGTCCTTATAAGAAGATGAGGTTAGGATACAGACACAGTCAGAGGGGTGATCGTCTGAGGCACAGGGAAGACAGCCATCTACAAGCCGAAGAGAGAGGCTGCAGGAGAAGCCAGCCTTGCCCACCTTGATCTTGGACTTCCAGCCTCCAGCACTGTGAGGAAATGCACGTCTGTGTTTAAGCCCCCAGGCTGTGGTTCTTTGTTGTGGCAGCCCCAGCCTCCAAGGCAGGCATCTGTCAGGTGCTGTCCCCTCTGCCAGACACAGGGGGTGCAGTCATGAGAAAGCTTATCTTAGCTGGAAGGAGCTCGTTCTTAGGAAGGGAATTAGGTAAAAAGAGAGTAAGGGCCACACAGGGAGGGATCCCAGCCTTAGACAATCATGGGAGACTTCCTAGAGTTGGTGGCGCCTCAGGTAAAATCAGATGAGGGGATTGAGGCCCACCCCAGCGACTTGCCCAGCCTCACACAAATAGCTGTTTGAACTGAGACTAGGAACTCAACATCCTGAGGCTGCTTTCGTTAACCTCAAACTTACTTTGTCCATTCTTCTTTGTAAATGGCAGGGAATGGAGAATGGCACCCTGTGTTTTGGTGTCTGCAGTGGAAGGGGGTGTAGACCCCTCTGGCTGGCTTGATTCAAAGTATCGGTTCCGTCACTGGTATGTGCTGTCCTCTGTTGCTATGAAAATTTATGGCTAAAACCATCTTGCTTTGAAAGGTTAACTTTTTTTTTTTTTGAATTGGAGTTTGGCTCTTGTTGTCCAGGCTGGAGTGCAATGGCGCGATCTCGGCTCACTGCAGCCTCTGCCTCCTGGGTTCCAGCGACTCTCCTGCCTCAGCCTCCAAAGCAGCTGGGATTATAGGCATGAGCCACCACACCCAACAACTCTTTAATACCATGATTCCTGGGACACTAGTGGTCCCTAAAACTGCTTTTACTTGGGGCATGGGCAGGGCATGGGCTGAGAAGGAACATCCCCCGGGCCTTGCAGTCACAGTTTCCCATGGGATGTTTTAGCGTGGTTAAGCGCTGTTTAGCGTGTTAAGGCACTGCAGCAAGAATAAGCATGCTGGGTCCTGATTCTGAAAACCTCTCTTTAAGGCACTCAGGCCTTGCGGTTCTGTTTTCTCTACACTCTCTGTGGTGCCTCTAGTACCGTGATTAAAAACAGTGGCCCCACAAACACGACCTCACCTTCAAATCCAACTCTGCCCCCTGCCGACTGACCTCCAGCACACTGCTCACGTTATCCAAACTCGGGTGTCCCCACGTTAAAGGAGTGACTATAGTACTACCTGCCAAGACACTGTCGCAAGGACAGCCCAGAACACAAGACGCACTCGAAAATGTCAGCTAAGTTTATTTTCCGCAGGATCAAACCTCACTCCTCCCACATAGGAGATGCCATCTTCTTGTTTTAAAGGCTTTATGACAAACAGGCATTCCTTTGAAGTTTAACAAATTCCTCCTGCCACCATGACAATGACGTCTAGCAACACATTCTCTGGTGAGAAAAAGGAAAGTTTAGAAAGACATTGTCAGTTGTCTCTTCCTAAGTGATATTTACCAGGACCCAAATACCAAAAAGCACAGCTCAGAAACACAGGGGCTAGGCCGGGCACAGTGGCTCACGCCTGTAATCCCATCACTTTGGGAGGCTGAGGCGGGCAGATCACCTGAGGTCAGGAGTCCGAGACCAGCCTGGACAACACAGAAAAACCCCATCTCTACTAAAAATACAAAAATTAGCCAGGCATTGTGGTGCATCCCTGTAATCCCAGCTACTTGGGAGGCTGAGGCAGGAGAATCACTTGAACCCAAGAGGCGGAGGTTGCTGTGAGCCAAGATTGTGCCATTGCACTCCAGCCTGGGCAACAGAGCGAGACCATGTCTCAAAAAATAAATAAATAAATACAGGGGCTTTGGCAGTGGGTCCAGGAGGCATCTGGTGAGGTCATTAGGGAGGGGTCATTACACATGGAAAGCAGCAGAGACCGTTTACTGAGTACATATTTGTTGAATGCTTTTAGGACATGAGATGAGAAGGGGGAGAAATACTCACGATGTGGAGCTGGAGGTGCGTGGGCAGCCGGTGAACAGTAATGGAACATTGACACAAGCCAGGTGGGACGAGTGTGGTGGGATGGCCTGCGAGAGGGGAGCAGAGGGGACAGGGCTGGGCAAGTACCCAGAGGCAGCCGCCTGGTGCACCTTGAGAGGTATGCATGAGAGGAACACCAGAGAGGGCCAGGGTGGGCAGGGTGGCGGTGGGCAGGAGGAGTGAGGGTGGGAGAAGGCACTGTCTGGGATGGGAGATGGGGGTCTTCGGGATTCCCTAGTGCTTTCCCTAAGAGCAGTAGGGGCGACTGAAGGCTCTGGGCCAGAGAGTGGTATAATTCAGTTGTTTTTAGATTCTGGAAAAAGAATTGGGAGCTACAGCATATTCTTTCCACTTCTGCCCTAAACTTTGTTGAGTCCCATATGCTGGGAGGCTGACCAGGTGTGGCAGTGGGAGCTGGATCTCCCTCCAGTCTTAAGGTGAGATGTAGGATGTGATTTATAGGTCAGATATGAGATGGAAAATGGCAGCCGACAGGACGTGGCTGATGAGGGAATAACCTGCTCAAAGCCTGGGACAGAAGGACTAGGAGGAAGAAATGTTGAAAGAGGGTTTCAAGGCATTTTCCAGGAGAGTATGATCTAAAGCATCTTCTCTATCTCCCCAGGTGAATGTTTGCTAGCGCTGCAGAGCCCCTCAGTCACTCAATCGGTGCAGACGGGTGGCAGAAACCACTGGAGTCATGTGAATGGGGACACTTTCCTATGAACAGCGGTTACACAGGCAAAGGCACCCGCCCCTAAAAGAAGTCAAAGACTTTTTTTCTGGAACCAAGATGGCCGAATAGGAACAGCTCCGGTCTACAGCTCCCAGCGTGAGCGACGCAGAAGACAGGTGATTTCTGCATTTCCATCTGAGGTACTGGGTTCATCTCACTAGGGAGTGCCAGACAGTGGGCGCAGGACAGTGGGTGCAGTGCGCCGTGCGCGAGCCGAAGCAGGGCGAGGCATTGCCTCACTCAGGAAGCACAAGGGGTCAAGGAGTTCCCTTTCCTAGTCAAAGAAAGGGGTGACAGACAGCACCTGGAAAATCGGGTCACTCCCACCCGAATACTGCGCTTTTCCGACGGGCTTAAAAAACGGCGCACCAGGAGATTATATCCTGCACCTGGCTTGGAGGGTCCTACGCCCACAGAGTCTCGCTGATTGCTAGCACAGCAGTCTGAGATCAAACTGCAAGGCGGCAGCGAGGCTAGGGGAGGGGCGCCCGCCATTGCCCAGGCTCGCTTAGGTAAACAAAGCAGCCAGGAAGCTCCAATTGGGTGGAGCCCACCACAGCTCAAGGAGGCCTGCCTGCCTGCCTCTGTAGGCTACACCTCTGGGGGCAGGGCACAGACAAACAAAAAGACAGCAGTAACCTCTGCAGACTTAAATGTCCCTGTCTGACAGCTTTGAGGACAGCAGTGGTTCTCCCAGCACACAGCTGGAGATCTGAGAACGGGCAGACTGCCTCCTCAAGTGGGTCCCTGACCCCTGACCCCCGAGCAGCCTAACTGGGAGGCACCCCCAAGTAGGGGCAGACTGACACCTCACACGGCCGGGTACTCCTCTGAGACAAAACTTCCAGAGGAACGATCAGACAGCAGCATTCGCGGTTCACGAAAACCACTGTTCTGCAGACACCGCTGCTGATACCCAGGCAAACAGGGTCTGGAGTGGACCTCTAGCAAACTCCAACAGACCTGCAGCTGAGGGTCCTGTCTGTTAGAAGGAAAGCTAACAAACAGAAAGGACATCCACACCAAAACCCATCTGTACATCACCATCATCAAAGACCAAAAGTAGATAAAACCACAAAGATGGGGAAAAAACAGAGCAGAAAAACGGGAAACTCTAAAAAGCAGAGCACCTCTCCTCCTCCAAAGGATCGCAGTTCCTCACCAGCAATGGAACAAAGCTGGACAGAGAATGACTTTGACGAGTTGGGAGAAGAAAGCTTCAGACGATCAAACTACGAGCTACAGGAGGAAATTCAAACCGAAGGCAAAGAAGTTAAAAACTTTGAAAAAAATTTAGACGAATGTATAACTAGAATAACCAATACAGAGAACCAATACAGAACCAATACATCTGCTTAAAGGAGCAGATGGAGCTGAAAGCCAAGACTCGAGAATTACGTGAAGAATGCAGAAGCCTCAGGAGCCGATGCAATCAACTGGAAGAAAGGGTATCAGCGATGGAAGATGAAATGAATGAAATGAAGCGAGAAGGGAAGTTTAGAGAAAAAAGAATAAAAAGAAATGAACAAAGCCTCCAAGAAATATGGGACTATGTGAAAAGACCAAATCTACGTCTGATTGGTGTACCTGAAAGTGATGGGGAGAATGGAACCAAGTTGGAAAACACTCTGCAGGATATTATCCAGGAGAACTTCCCCAATCTAGCAAGGCAGGCCAACGTTCAGATTCAGGAAATACAGAGAACACCACAAAGATACTCCTCGAGAAGAGCACCTCCAAGACACATAATTGTCAGATTCACCAAAGTTGAAATGAAGGAAAAAATGTTAAGGGCAGCCAGAGAGAAAGGTCGGGTTACCCACAAAGCGAAGCCCATCAGACTAACAGCGGATCTCTCGGCAGAAACTGCAAGCCAGAAGAGAGTGCGGGCCAATATTCAACATTCTCAAAGAAAAGAATTTTCAACCCAGAATTTCATATCCAGCCAAACTAAGCTTCATAAGTGAAGGAGAAATAAAATCCTTTACAGACAAGCAAATGCTGAGAGATTTTGTCACCACCAGGCCTGCCCTAAAAGAGCTCCTGAAGGAAGCACTAAACATGGAAAGGAACAACTGGTACCAGCCGCTGCAAAATCATGCCAAAATGTAAAGACCATCGAGACTAGGAAGAAACTGCATCAACTAACGAGCAAAATAACCAGCTAACATCATAATGACAGGATCAAATTCACACATAACAATATTAACTTTAAATGTAAATGGACTAAATGCTCCAATTAAAAGACACAGACTGGCAAATTGGATAAAGAGTCAAGATCCATCAGTGTGTTGTATTCAGGAAACCCACCTCACATGCAGAGACACACATAGGCTCAAAATAAAAGGATGGAGGAAGATCTACCAAGCAAGTGGAAAACAAAAAAAGGCAGGGGTTGCAATCCTAGTCTCTGATAAAACAGACTTTAAACCAACAAAGATCAAAAGAGACAAAGAAGGCCATTACACAATGGTAAAGGGATCAATTCAACAAGAAGAGCTAACTATCCTAAATATATATGCACCCAATACAGGAGCACCCAGATTCATAAAGCAAGTCCTGAGTGACGTACAAAGAGACTTAGACTCCCACACATTAATAATGGGAGACTTTAACACCCCACTGTCAACATTAGACAGATCAACGAGACAGAAAGTCAACAAGCATACCCAGGAATTCAACTCAGCTCTCCACCAAGCAGACCTAATAGACATCTACAAAACTCTCCACCCCAAATCAACAGAATATACATTTTTTTCAGCACCACACCACACCTATTCCAAAATTGACCACATATTTGGAAGTAAAGCTCTCTTCAGCAAATGTAAAAGAACAGAAATTATAACAAACTGTCTCTCAGAGCACAGTGCAATCAAACTAGAACTCAGGATTAAGAATCTCACTCAAAACCGCTCAACTACATGGAAACTGAACAACCTGCTCCTGAATGACTACTGGGTACATAACGAAATGAAGGCAGAAATAAAGATGTTCTTTGAAACCAACGAGAACAAAGACACAACATACCAGAATCTCTGGGACGCATTCAAAGCAGTGTGTACAGGGAAATTTATAGCACTAAATGCCCACAAGAGAAAGCAGGAAAGATCCAAAATTGACACCCTAACATCACAATTAAAAGAACTAGAAAAGCAAGAGCAAACACATTCAAAAGCTAGCAGAAGGCAAGAAATAACTAAAATCAGAGCAGAACTGAAGGAAATAGAGACACAAAAAACCCTTCAAAACATTAATGAATCCAGGAGCTGGTTTTTTGAAAGAATCAACAAAATTGATAGACCGCTAGCAAGACTAATAAAGAAAAAAAGAGAGAATCAAATAGACGCAATAAAAAATGATAAAGGGGATATCACCACCGATCCCACAGAAATACAAACTACCATCAGAGAATACTACAAGCACCTCTACGCAATTAAACTAGAAAATCTAGAAGAAATGGATAAATTCCTCGACACATACACTCTCCCAAGACTAAACCAGGAAGAAGTTGAATCTCTGAATAGACCAATAACAGGAGCTGAAATTGTGGCAATAATCAATAGCTTACCAACCAAAAAGAGTCCAGGACCAGATGGATTCACAGCCGAATTCTACCAGAGGTACAAGGATGAACTGATACCATTCCTTCTGAAACTATTCCAATCAATAGAAAAAGAGGGAATCCTCCCTAACTCATTTTATGAGGCCAGCATCATCCTGATACCAAAGCCGGGCAGAGACACAACCAAAAAAGAGAATTTTAGACCAATATCCCTGATGAACATCGATGCAAAAATCCTCAATAAAATACTGGCAAACGGAATCCAGCAGCACATCAAAAAGCTTATCCACCATGATCAAGTGGGCTTCATCCCTGGGATGCAAGGCTGGTTCAATATACGCAAATCAATAAATGTAATCCAGCATATAAACAGAACCAAAGACAAAAACCACATGATTATCTCAATAGATGCAGAAAAGGCCTTTGACAAAATTCAACAACCCTTCATGCTAAAAACTCTCAATAAATTAGGTATTGATGGGACATATCTCAAAATAATAAGAGCTATCTATGACAAACCCACAGCCAATATCATACTGAATGGGCAAAAACTGGAAGCATTCCCTTTGAAAACTGGCACAAGACAGGGATGCCCTCTCTCACCACTCCTATTCAACATAGTGTTGGAAGTTCTGGCCAGGGCAATTAGGCAGGAGAAGGAAATAAAGGGTATTCAATTAGGAAAAGAGGAAGTCAAATTGTCCCTGTTTGCAGATGACATGATTGTATATCTAGATAACCCCATTGTCTCAGCCAAAAATCTCCTTAAGCTGATAAGCAACTTCAACAAAGTCTCAGGATACAAAATCAATGTACAAAAATCACAAGCATTCTTATACACCAATAACAGACAAACAGAGAGCCAAATCATGAGTGAACTCCCATTCGCAATTGCTTCAAAGAGAATAAAATACCTAGGAATCCACCTTACAAGGGACGTGAAGGACCTCTTCAAGGAGAACTACAAACCACTGCTTAAGGAAATAAAAGAGGATACAAACAAATGGAAGAACATTCCATGCTCATGGGTAGGAAGAATCAATATCGTGAAAATGGCCACACTGCCCAAGGTAATTTATAGATTCAATGCCATCCCCATCAAGCTACCAATGACTTTCTTCACAGAATTGGAAAAAACTACTTTAAAGTTCATATGGAACCAAAAAAGAGCCTGCATCGCCAGGTCAATCCTAAGCCAAAAGAACAAAGCTGGAGGCATCACGCTACCTGACTTCAAACTATACTACAAGGCTACAGTAACCAAAACAGCATGGTACTGGTACCAAAACAGAGATATAGATCAATGGAACAGAACAGAGCCCTCAGAAATAACGCCGCATATCTACAACTATCTGATCTTTGACAAACCTGAGAAAAACAAGCAATGGGGAAAGGATTCCCTATTTAATAAATGGTGCTGGGAAAACTGGCTAGCCATATGTAGAAAGCTGAAACTGGATCCCTTCCTTATACCTTATACAAAAATCAATTCAAGATGCATTAAAGACTTAAACGTTAGACCTAAACCCATAAAAACCCTAGAAGAAAACCTAGGCATTACCATTCAGGACATAGGCACAGGCAAGGACTTCATGTCTAAAACACCAAAAGCAATGGCAACAAAAGCCAAAATAGACAAATGGGATCTAATTAAACTAAAGAGCTTCTGCACAGCAAAAGAAACTACCATTAGAGTGAACAGGCAACCCACAATATGGGAGAAAATTTTCGCAACCTACTCATCTGACAAAGGGCTAATATCCAGAATCTACAATGAACTCCAACAAATTTACAAGAAAAAAACAACCCCATCAAAAAGTGGGCAAAGGACATGAACAGACAGTCTCAAAAGAAGACATTTATGCAGCCAAAAAACACATGAAAAAATGCTCACCATCACTGGCCATCAGAGAAATGCAAATCAAAACCACAATGAGATACCATCTCACACCAGTTAGAATGGCAATCATTAAAAAGTCAGGAAACAACAGGTGCTGGAGAGGATGTGGAGAAATAGGAACACTTTTACACTGTTGGTGGGACTGTAAACCAGTTCAGCCATTGTGGAAGTCAGTGTGGTGATTCCTCAGAGATCTAGAACTAGAAATACCATTTGACCCAGCAATCCCATTACTGGGTATATACCCAAAGGACTATAAATCATGCTGCTATAAAGACACACGCACACATATGTTTATTGTGGCACTATTCACAATAGCAAAGACTTGGAACCAAGCCAAATGTCCAACAATGATAGACTGGATTAAGAAAATGTGGCACATATACACCATGGAATACTATGCAGCCATAAAAAATGATGAGTTCATGTCCTTTGTAGGGACATGGATGAAATTGGAAATCATCATTCTCAGTAAACTATCGCAAGGACAAAAAACCAAACACTGCATATTCTCACTCATAGGTGGGAATTGAACAATAACACATGGACACAGGAAGGGGAACATCACACTCTGGGGACTGTTGTGGGGTGGGGGGAGGGGGGAGGGATAGCATTGGGAGATATACCTAATGCTAGATGACGAGTTAGTGGGTGCAGCACACCAGCATGTCACGTGTATACATATGTAACTAACCTGCACATTGTCACATGTACCCTAAAACTTAAAGTATAAAAAAAAAAAAAAAAGAAGTCAAAGAGGGCTATCAGGTGTAACAGGCAACCATGTCAAGTGATTGCCAGCCCTGGGGCAGTGAGGAAAGGGCTGAGATTTTCCATTGTTTGATTTATTTCGAGAGAACCTGTCATTGCTGAAGCATTTTTAATGGCAGATACTTTAGAGCCCTTGTCAGATAATTCCAACATCTGATAGTTGGGTCTTGGCAGCAGCTGATCGTGGTGCTCATGCTGGTGGTGATCTCTGCACTCTTGGAAGGATGGTGAGTTTTCAGTTGTTTGGTGGACGTTCTGCCTGTCATGTTAGGTGACCTGGGTCCCCTGTGACTCTTTTGCTTTAGAAGGCAGTGACCTGTTTAGGTTTGGCACATGGGTCCTGGCCCATCTTGCAGGCTGTGGTTCTACTGGCATCTAATTTCCAGAGTCGCTGCTGTGTTGTTCTCTCCTGCTTGGTTTCTCGGGGGTCCTTGTGGCTCTCAGGATCCCTCCTGATGCAGGCTGAGGGGCAGACGGAGTTTCCCCAGGCTCTGCCCTGAGTGTCTCCCAGTGGGGCCCAAGGCTCAGGCTGTCTGAAGAAGAGGCTTGGATCCCCTGCAGGTGCCCACCAACCAGATATTTCTGGGTGGGGAGGAGGGGCTGTCAGTACACAAGGAGGGGAGCCACCCTGGGGCCACTTATGCGGACAGGGCTTCAGGTCCCTCCTCCGTCAGGTGGCGTCAGGCTGGCCTGGTATTGCCAGAGGGCCCTGTTCCATCAGAGCGGGAGCAAGCCTAGCTGGCTGCCATGGGTGCTAGGCTGGGGTCACCTTCTGTTGGTCTTGGGGCCATAAAGCACCCTGTTGCTGTGCCTTCCTTCTCCCCCTGGGGTCCCAAAACCAGCCCGCCTTCCTCTGAACACCTTTCGGAGTTCTGGTTGCCTCTGAGCCTGGTTTCTGGTTGTGCTTTGAGCAGCAGGGAGGGGCCTGCCCATCTAATTGGGACCAGCAGTGAGAGGGGGTTTCTGTGTCCCTGAGGAGAAGGATGCAGTGTGAGGGGAAGGTGGGCTGTCTGGAAATGCTTGTGGAATGAAGGAAGTGTTCAGGTACTGGAGAGATGCAGGTGCGGCTTGTGGATAGAGGCTGCCTAACTTAGGGAACTACCTCGCTGTAGGTGTGTTTGGGGAAAGTGAGTTTCCTGGATACTGATGGGGACAGACACAATCAGCCTCTTGTGGTCTCCCAGGATTTGGCTCAGTGGCTACAACACATCATTGCACACTTGAATACGGCGAGACCTGAATGCCTTTAGCCCAAGACCCTTTTATTACCTTTCCTTTATGCATCCTATAATTTGAACTATTGTCTCCACCAAATTATTCCTTCCCAGCATTTCTGGAGAAAGAAATGTAATGAAATATTATTCAGTAAAATCCCACAGTAAACAAGAACACACAGTGCTAACTTAGTCCTGGTGTTCATCAGTTATTATTGCTCTAAGAAGACAAAGGTGGCCCCTAATATGCAGGAGCTGGCCCGGTGCCCACAGCTGGGCCTTGGTCTCTCCTGATGAACATAAACAGTTCACTGAACAGGAACGGTCAGGGAAGCCACTTGGTGAGTGTGACGGAATAAGACAAGAACAAGACTGGCCAGGCGCGGTGGTTCACACCTGTAATCCCAGCACTTTGGGAGGCCGAGGCGGGTGGATCACAAGGTCAGGCGATCGAGACCATCCTAGCTAACATGGTGAAACCCCGTCTCTACTAAAATTACAAAAAAATTAGTCGGGCGCGGTGGCGGGTGCCTGTAGTCCCAGCTACTTGGGAGGCTGAGGCAGGAGAATGGCGTGAACCTGGGAGGTGGAGCTTGCAGTGAGCCGAGATCATGCTACTGCACTCCAGCTTGGGTGACAGAGCGAGACTCTGTCTCAAAAAAAAAAAAAAAAAAAGAACAAGACCATTATGTCATTAGGTCTGAACACAGACAAGGCAAGAACATGGTTCAAACCATAAAAGTGACTTAATATCCCCCTCTCCCAGCTCATGCTAGTGAGTGCTGCTGCTTTATAGTTAAAAGCCTGCTGCCTGGCTCTGGTCTGCCTTCTTCCAGGTAAGATTAACCCACGCATCGCATAGCATCCCCTTCTTCCAAACACCAACCAAATCTGGAGCAAAGCCCCACTTCCTTGAACGCTCTCCCCAGATCACCCAACATGCCCCAGTTCTGTAATGAGTCCTGGCAAACCCCCTCTGCCTGAGACACCCCACAGTTCCCGCTGGTGTGCCCTGCGTGTAGTCTCTCTCCCTCCAACAAATAGTAAATCCAACTCGTTCAACTATAGGCCTGATCCTGAGGTCTTTGGCTGGAGGACGTTTTCACTTATAGGATTCATAGGCTAATTTCCAGAGCTCTTTTGAAATTGGTAAAATAGTTTACATTTTCCACCTTACCTGGCCACCAGGCTCCTGATGGCATAATGTCAGGATTAAACCTTAGGATTTAAAGTCTATGATTCTGGAACACTCAGGATTTTAACTTTCCAGCTCAGGACATCCTTGCATTTTTTTATGGTGTCTGGTTAAGACTAGCAGTGACTTCATGAAGGTGGAAATCATGCATTCTTCATTCATTAATCTGATGATTTCACTACTGACAAATGAAAATTACCCAGGCCTTTCAACTTCCCTTCCCAGCTCTCCTGCTGTTTGACCAAAAGACACACATTCTACTGATTTTCAATGACTATTTATCTGCATTGAAAGAACATTTTTCAGAAAACAGAAAGAGACATTATAATGGGTATTTACCACTGGTATGTTCATAGAACGGCCCCAAAATTGTTAACTTCACATGCATATTAGCATAAAACAAAATAATAAATAGGTAAAATTTACTTTAAATTTCTGTTTACAGATTTTTAACAAAATGGCACGGAAAGGGGCTTCCAAGCCAGAAAGCCTTGGCACATCAGGTGAGCCTTTGACACACTGCCTGAGCAGCCTACGGGCTGTCCCATCTGGAACTGGTGCTAGAGTTAGGGAAGCTTCAGGAAGAGACCGTGGGATCTACGCAGCTGTTCTGTTTTTCCTTCCTGAGAGTGTGAGGCCGGGAGGAGACATCATCTGAACGTGCACTTCCTTTCTTTCTTTCTTTTTGAGACAGAGTCTCACTCTGTCACCCAGGCTGGAGCATAGTGGCGTGATCTCGGCTCACTGCAACCTCTGCCTCCCAGGTTCAAATGATTCTCCTGCCTCAGCCTCCTGAGTAGCTGGGATTTCAGGTGCCCACCACCACGCCCAGCAAATTTTTTGTACTTTTAGTACAGATGGGGTTTCACCATGTTGGCCAGGCTGGTCTCAAACTCCTGACCTCAGGTGATCTGCCCACCTCAGTCTCCCAAAGGTGTGAGCCACCACGCCCAGCCTGATTGTGCACTTTCTACAAGTGCAAGACCCGGCCCTCCTGGACTTCATGGTTGTGGTCTGTGCTCTTTGTATATCACAAATTTGAAGGCCTTTAGCCTAAGACCCTTTTATTACCTTTCCTTTATGCATCTTATAATTTGAAATATCATCTCCACCAAATTATTGTGTAATTATATAATTGCCACTTTAACTACTTCACACGTCAATAAATTTAAAAAGCCTTTAAGTGTGTATTTTTGATATGATAAAATTGTGATAGGGTTCTGGAAACTGTGTTCTTCAGATTTGGTGGAGGGGCTTGGGAAAAGGTAGGGCAATAGGTATTTTTTAAAAAGAAAGAAACTAAAAAACTTAAGTTGTTTATTTGAAATTCAAAATTGTCACTGCGTATCCAGTGTTATCTGCCCACCTGAGAGGAGGTAGAGTGGGAAGGTCATCACAAAAGAACCCGAAAAGCTGGGCAGGGGAAAGGGGTGTTCTGCATTAAGGAAGGCTTGCTCTGTAATAGGATCCAAAGTGTGTGATTCCTGACTGCCCTGCAAGTGGCTTGGAGGCTTTGGGCATCTCTCTTGGAAAATAGAAACTTCATGGATGGCTAAAAGAGATGTGATAACAGTGTACATGGCAGAAGATCCTCTGCTGATGGGTTCTAGAGAGTCACTGATTCCTTAGGAAGATCTAGTTACAGGCAAGAGCCTTGAATAATCATGAGTCTGGGCCAGTCAAAGGAGGCAAATGCCCCACCTGGGAAAGGTGGCTCTCTCTAATCCAGGTGGTGTTCTGGAAGAAAAGGGAAATAAAAGGCCTGTGTCCTGCTTCTCCACCCGGAGGACTCTGCTCAGCCCTTAGGTCTTCTGAAGGGCTCTCCTGGAAGCCTACTGCAGCTGCAGGCCTGCAGCACCAGTTGCGGATAAGGGAAGATGGAGGTTGACAGAGGGGCCTGCCTCCTCTTACTTTCCCTGCCCTGGCCTGAGTCCTGTGGTTCGTGACTGTGCTGTCTTTAGTGGGAGCTTGCCAAGCCCAGCAGTGTCCTGGTGTGGATGAGAAATTACACACTCATCCTATTCTTAGCTCAGGGGCCTCTGTGCATTGAACTGGTTGCATCAGCTTCATTTTTACTGCAAAACCACCCTTTACAATAGGTCGGAAGTATGATTCTGGCAGACAAAGTGAGGACAAGAGGACAAATGGGGCCAAAAGGAAGCAAGGTTGGGATAGTGGGTGGAGTGACTTCTAGGGATTGGGAGGAAAGTCCCTACCCTTCCCTCCATGGGTCTCCTGACCTGAGCAGGCTCTGGGAGGACAGGGCTGCTCGAGCCACCCTGAGAACCTCCCAGGCTGAGAGGATTCCAGGACGCCCACTCTGGAGATACTGAGACCAGCTCTGGGGAACACGGTGCCAGCTTGAGTGCACCCTGGGCCTGCAGCATGGAGAAGAATTTAGCATCCCAAGCCCCCACCCCTGAGATGCTTCAGGTGGGGCAAAGTGGCTGCAGCAGCCTAAACTTTAGGTTGTCAGAGTGATACGGAGCTGCACAAGGCCAGGCACTGAGTGAGTGCCCTGAAAGTGCTGGTGGGGGAAATATGTGAGTTCAAACTACCCTTGAAATTTCAGATACTTGTCATCTGTAAATTATGAAAACGTGCTCCTTACTTTCTTAGCAATAGTGTTGCTTTTACATATACGTGCATTCCTCTCCTGTGGCTACTGTAAAAGTTACCACGAACTCGGTGGCTTCAAACAGTGGGAATGTATAGTTCTGGTGGTCAGAAGTCTAAACTGAGTCTTATGGGAACAAAACCGAGGTGTCTGCAGGGCAGGGCTGGTTCTAACTGAGGCTCTAGGGAGAATCGCTTCCTTGCCTTTTCAGCTTCCAGAGCCGCCTGCGTCCCGTGGCTCCTGGCCCCTTCCTTGCATCACATCACCTTCCCCCCGACTGTGTCATCACACTGCCTTTCCCTACTGTCATCAAGTCCCCTGTGCCTTTCTCTTATAGGAAAATTTATGATTACATTTAGGGCCCGCCTGGATGGCCCAAGATAATCTCCCCAACTCAAAGTTCTTAATCACATCTGCAGAATCCCTTTTGCCTTCCAAGTCACCATATCACAGGTTCCAGGGACCAGATGGTGGAGGTCCTGGGGGGCCACTATTCAGTGGACCACACTGCCCTTTTCTCAGATTGAACTGGTGGCCTTGTCTGTCCCTCTTCCCCGACAGGTAAAGGGATTCAGGGTCTCTGCTCTTCACGACGTCATCCATAGAGAGTCTCTCTCATATACATCTAAGGTGATCTTCAAAATAACCCACGAACCAGGGATCATTTACAAACGGGAAATTGGGAAGAAAACTAACATTTACAGAGTTAAATAATTCAAATTTTAGTTAAACACTGCTATATACAGCCCCATTATTGCTTCATTTGACCCTCCTGCCATCTGGGAAGTATCTGTTTTTACTCCTATTTTGAAAGTAGAAAACCTGAAATAGTGAGGTCATGTAACTGATCTAACACTGCAGGTCTTGGAAATTAGAAAACCTGAAATTAGTGAGGTCATGTAATTGCTCTAAGACAGCAGAGCCAGAAGTAAAGGCACTGAAGTTTAAAGCAGACCTGTGATTTCCAACCCTTAGCTCTTCCCTGTCCCATTTTCCCCTGTCCATCACTCCCTCTGCACAGTCCTGCAATGGTCTGAGAATGGTGGCCAGTGCTGCAGGAGACCCATGGGTGTGCCTTTGGGGTGTGCATTGACAGTTTTCTTTGAATGCTTCTAGAACCACAAAATATCAGGGCAGAAAGGCATCTCAGAGAAAACCTACCCCAAATAACTTCTCAAACTTCAATGCACAGAACTATCTGGCTGCTTATAAAAAAACAAGAGTCTGTAAGCCCCATTCCCAGAAATTTTAATTTAATAGGTCTGCACTTGAGGCCCAGGCAGGTTTTTTTTGTTTGTTTGTTTGTTTGTTTTTTGTTTTTTTTTTTTTTGAGATGGAATCTTGCTCCATTGCCCAGGCTGGAGTACAGTGGTGCGATCTCAGCTCACTGAAACCTCTGCCTCTAGGTTCAAGTGATTCTCCCACCTCAGCCCCCCGAGTAGCTGGGACTGTACAGGTGCATGCTACCATACCCGGCTAACTTTTTGTATTTTTAATACAGACGGGGTTTCACTGTGTTAGCCAGGATGGTCTCGATCTCCTGACCTCGTGATTCACCCTCCCAAAGTGCTGGGATTACAGGTATGAGTTATCCGCCTGGCGCATCTACATTTTTAACATGCCCCAAAGCTAGTTTTGAAACAATTTAACAGGAAAGAAAGGGTGAGAGGGGTGCATTTGTCCTTTCTCACACTGCTGTAAACATATTACCTGAGACTGGGTAATTTATAAACGAAAGGGGTTTAATTGACTCACCGTTCCACATGGCTGGGGAGGCCTCAGGAAACTTACAATTATGCAGAAGGCAAAGGGGAAGTAAGCACCTTCTTCACAAGGCAGCAAGAGAGAGAGAGCACAGGGGAAACTGCCATTTTTAAAATCAGATCTCATGAGAACTCACTCACTATCACAAGAACAGCATTGGAAGTGATCCAATCACCTCCCTCCCTCGACACGTGGGGATTACAATTTGAGATGAGATTTGGGTGAGGACACAGAGTCAAACCATATCAAGGGGTAATACATTTTCTCTAGAATGTAGCATTAGCCTTTCTTTTTGAGGAACATGTTTGTGTGTTATGGAAGTTAATCACGGTGGGCCACATCATTGGAAAACAGCAAATACTGCTTTCTGGTTTTTGGCCGATTAGGTCAGGTGAAGAAGTTTGGCAATCTGGCTCTGATTTGTGTGAGAGATACCAGTGAAAGGTGGATTTCATATTGTGAGATGAAACATCTGGAGAGGACTAGAGTCTAACTTGTGCATCAGCTGGAAAGAAAGACTGAGGGGTCATGGGAACTTGCACATTACGATCCATGTAACTGCACTTGCCAGAATGTAGGATCAATCTGCTGCTGAAGAATATCCTAAATCAGAGAGTAGATAGGAACCAGAGGCCGTAAACTCACCAGAGATGTTAGTGCGGCCTTGAGGTTAACTGCTGCTTGGAACACAGAGACGTGATGCACTGAAACTAAATCTGGGCTGAGGGAAAGCATGTCCACACCAGGTGCCCAGACATCTGGTTGGCTTTGGCTGATTTGTCCTGCAGGCACCTGCCTTGTCTGGATTTGCACACTTTCCAAGTTGCCCATTACCCTGTGCATTTCCCAAGCTGCCTTCCCTGGCTCTGATGTACGATGAACCTGCTTGAGTGGCATATTTATCATAGTGCAATCAAGAGGCATGAGCCATGATTGATGACATATCATAAATGGGAATATGCGTATCATCACACTGGGATCTGACTTAGCAGTTCATTTGGCCTTACTATAAGCTGATTTCTTGAAAGAGCTCAGATTCCTGGCTCAGAATGCCTTTGATAGAAGAGTGTGTTCTCAATGGAAGGGAAGCAATAGTTATAATTTTTTCTCAGTGGACCAGTTCTCAAGTGAAGGCAGAATTTTAACCAGTGTTCAGCGTCTTCCATTAAAATCCCCAGCTCTCCATTTTTCAGTGTGAAAAAATCCAGGCCAGGGTTTCTGCAGACAGTAATTTTTGATGGCAGGGTCAGCAAATTGGACTAAGTGTATGTACTGTGATCTCCATAAAAGGGAATTACTGAATTTTCTGTCCACTTAGCAGCGTCTTTTGTTAATGATGGGCAAGAAGCTTGTATTATTTATGGAGCACTTTGACATCTCAGCAGTTTATGGAGTATATATGAAGAATGGGAGCACTTTATCTTTTAATAAAATGTTGCATAACAACTTTAGTACTGAACTTTTTTAAAGAAGGAATCATGGATTATCCTGCAGCCAAGTATTAACAGAAAGGACATACTGTGATCTCACATTCAAACTACTTCAAAGATAAGGAGATTTATTTTGCCCATTACAATTTTCTCCCAGAGCAAATAACCATTTTTATTAAAATGCTGTAAGTTCATCCAGGTAGGATTTGGGTGAAGATAATTTGGGACAAGCCACTGTGTACTGGTAATGAAAACAGAAATGAATTCAAGCTTCTAATGGAAAAGTGACAAGCAAATAAATTAATCTCCAGGTTATTCAATTTTAGAAAGTGATATAAGATGTAAGATATAACTAAAAACTGAAAAGGAAAGTTAAAACAGTCTCCAGGTTTCCATATGGATGATTTGTAATTAAAATGATACTGGAGGGGAGTCCAGGACACATCTGAATATCGAGCTTTGCCCACAACCTTTCTGATTGCTGTTTCTTAGGTGTTTACTGCAGTGCTTCTTTCTCCATTTCTGCATAAGTGTGGACAAAATTCACATGTGCCTATTACTAGTATAAAGGGCACACACGGCCAGGCGTGGTGGCTCACGCCTGTAATCCCAGCACTTTTGGAGGCTGAGGAGGGGGGATCAGGAGATCGAGACCATCCTGGCTAACACGGTGAAACTCTGTCTCTACTAAAAAAAAAAAAAAAAAAAAAAAAAAAAAAAAAATTAGCCCGGCATGGTGGCAGGCGCCTGTAGTCCTAGCTACTCAAGAGGCTGAGGCAGGAGAATGGCGTGAACCCGGGAGGCAGAGCTTGCAGTGAGCCGAGATCCCGCCATCGCACTCCAGCCTGGGCGACACAGTGAGACTCTGTCTCAAAAAATATAAATAAATAAAATAAAATAATAAAGGGCACACACTGTGCTTGCTGCCTGAGACTGGCCAAGGGGTCTCTTAGTTTTGTCTGTTACTTAAATTATCAACTCCACCTAACTACAGGAAACACAGAAATGGTGTGTTGCAGTCCGGACACTGTGAGCAGCATGAAATTCTATCTCGGTGTCTAGGAAATGGGGTAGGGAAGGGCCAGTCCAGGGCACAGGTAAGAATAGACTTTTGCCTCTGAGCTCTCCCACCTTTCTCTTTCTCCTTATGAGTTGCTCTTTACCCTAGGATTTCCAGACACTCATGCTATTCTTTAGTCCTAAAAATTCCTCCTCAAAGTCTTGCTTTTCTCAAAATGCCTTATGCCCCATAGTTACCATGTGAGCTTCCTCCCACGTCCTTGGTCCCACTTCCCTCCTGTGGGCAGCTTAGTCAGTGTGCCCTTCCCTCCACACGCCCAGAGGGCTGGCTCCTGCAGGCAGCACCTTTGCAATGGCCTCCAAAACAGACTTGAGACAAGCGCATAAAAGGGAGGAGGAAGCAGCGCTCCTGTAGGTCTCCTGGCTCTTGCTCCAGCAGGATGGCACAGGAAGACACATGAGGTCTTTTTTCTTAACTCAGATGTTCAGATCAGAACTCTTGTCTGGAGCCAATGAGCTGAGCCCCTGGGGAGCCAGGACTGATCCTGGTTTTAAGGCAGTTAATGTTCCCTATTCTTGCCTCCAGGTGTTTTTGAAATCCTCCCTACCCAGATAGGCACAAAAATAGATTATGTGTCTGGCTGCAAAGAAAAGCTATGCACATTCCTAAAAGCAAAAATGATACAAGCCATATTTCCTTCCATAAAACAAATAAACTAAAAGTAAAGAATGAAAGGATAGCAAAAAAGAAAATAATTTATCAATAGATGCAGTTTTCAACAGATTACATAGAAATAGCAACAGAGAGAATCAGTGAGGTAGACATTAGCACTGAGAAATCACTCAGATTACAGCAGATATATAAAAAATGGCGACTGGGAATGATCATTTAGGAGGAATTAATGATAGAATGCACAATCTGTAAGAGTTCTAGGAGAGAAAGAATGGAGAGGAGGTATTTGGAGCTAACAGCTGAAAATTTTCCATAATTGAAAAATGTAATCAAATCAAAGAAAAAACAACCTAAAGAAAGTAGAAGCAATATAATAAGATTTAAACAAAATGATTTAGCAGCTAAAATTCACAGATTTCATCACTAAAATAAAAAGACAGTTCTTTGCAATGAAAAGAGCATTTAAAAATATTTTGTAATATAATATAAATACAAATATAATTTTAAAAGCAAGCTGGTATAAATATATAAATATATTTAAAATATAAGATATTAAATTAATATATTTCAATGTCTAGATTAAATGGACAGTTTTTGAGAACACTATAAATTATCATTTTTAACTTAATAAGAAACAAAATTCAAACAGTCAAAAGCATCTAAACCAAATTTAAAAGATAATAAAAAGAAAAAAATCTATCCATAATAATGAAACCAAGTTCAGGGATTTTCTTGAGTTAATAAATTTTATGAAACTTTAGCTCATAGATTAGATTATCCCTGTGTGATACAGACTTTGCTGTAGCATCAAACAATATGGGAAGGCTGCTACCTTATTCTGTGAGGCTAGTATAAAACTAACACCACAACTAGACAAAGCTGACACAAAACTAAATGAGATCAGCCAATCTCACTAACACAGAGAGCTGCAGAAATTAAACCCCAAAAAATCTTAGCAAATTTCACAGAATAATGATTTTTAAAAATGTGTGTGTCTTGTAAAATCAAGACTTAGATATGCAAACATGATTCAATAGTTTCAAAATCTATTAATTCAATTCTGTATGTCTTCAGATTAAAAGAGGAAAACAAGATCATCTCAATCAATATCAAGAAAGCATTTGCTAAAACCAACATCCTGATTACATTTCTGATAAAAATGTAAACAAAGCAAAACAGTGAAGTTAGAAATAAAAGAAAACTTTCTTAATTTTGTATAAGAGAGATCTAGAAAACTGGAGCAAACATAATAGCTAATGGCAAAATATCATAAATATTCATGTTAAAATTATACACAAGAAAAGGACACCTACTAGCACCACTTTTATGCAAACAGTGAATAAGAAATCTTAGCAGTAAATACAGAAACATTGTACAGACAGCATGAAGAAAAGACAAAACTGCCATTTTAAAAAGTTTTATCTGATAATCTACCCCAAAATTTCACAGAATTAACTGATAAACTATATTAACTAGTAAGGTGGTCTGATATAAAATAAACATTTAAAAATACTAACAATAACCAATTAGAAAACATGATAGAAAGAAACAAATGCCATTACCAATTGTTTAAATGCACACAAAACCCCAAAGAAGAACTTTTATTATCTAAATGGAACCTCTTCTAGCATTACAGAGACCCCAATATCTAACAACTCCCTTAGCAACGTGACGTTCCAGGTGGTTCCAGGCAGGTGTGGAGGCTCTGGGTGCACAGGTGAGCAGCGACTCTGCCATCTTTTATACCCTGCTTCCAAGGCTATCATGGAGTTGCAATCCTGGTTAGCCAGAGAGGAGGAAAGCATGGAAGAGTGTGTATGTAAGGTTGTTATGGGGTGGCCTGGAAGTGGCATTCATGTATTTCAGGGCTCATCTGTGGCATCACACCTTAAGGTCACTGGTTTGATACTGATTAGGGTAGAATCAGCTGTAGTAACAGACTCAAACGTGTAACAACTCCATCCAAGAGCAGTTCATGTTTCACTCATCCAAAAGCCCAGGGCAGCAGTCCAGAGGGGGAGGTTGGGACTCTGCTCCACTGCATCATTCAGGGACACAGGGGTTCTGTCACCTTCCACAGGTTTCTCCCAAGATCACCCTGGGAGTTGTCATCCAAGGCAGGAAGGAAAGAGAGCTTAGAGAAAGTGTGGGATGGTTTTAAGGTCCTGGCTTGGAAGTAACATCCATCACTTCTGCTCAAATTCCACTAACTACAACCTCAGTCATATGACCCCAACTAATTGCAAGGGAAGCTGGGAAGGGAATCTAACTGCTTGCACAAAGAAAAGGGTTGATTAAATTTTGAAGAGTTGCCAGCAAATTCTACCATAAACCTGACAAAGAGTATACAAGTCTGATGTGAATAAAATTGTAAACTTTGTTGAAGAATGTTAAAAAAAAAAAATAAGAGGAGACATACCCTATACCTACACTGAAAGATACAGTCATGGAAAATGTAAATTATCTCCAGGTTAATCTATACATCTCATGAAAAACTGGATCCCTTCCTTAACCCTTATACAAAAATTAATTCAAGATGGATTAAAGACTTAAATGTCAGACCTAAAACCATAAAAACCCTAGAAGAAAACCTAGGCAATACCATTCAGGACATAGGCATGGGCAAGGACTTCATGTCTAAAACACCAAAAGCAATGGCAACAAAAGCCAAAATTGACAAATGGGATCTAATTAAACTAAAGAGCTTCTGCACAGCAAAAGAAAGTACCGTCAGAGCGAATACGCAACCTACAGAATGGGAGAAAATTTTTGCAATCTCCTCATCTGACAAAGGGCTAATATCCAGAATCTACAATGAACTCCAACAAATTTACAAAAAAAACCAAACAAACCACCCCATCAAAAAGTGGGCAAAGGATATGAACAGACACTTCTCAAAAGAAGACATTTATGCAGCCAAAAGACACATGAAAAAATGCTCACCATCACTGGCCATCAGAGAAATGCAAATCAAAACCACAATGAGGTACCATCTCACACCAGTTAGAATGGCGATCATTAAAAAGTCAGGAAACAACAGGTGCTGGAGAGGCTGTGGAGAAATAGGAACACTTTTACACTGTTGGTGGGACTGTAAACCAGTTCAACCATTGTGGAAGTCAGTGTGGCGATTCCTCAGAGATCTAGAACTAGAAATACCATTTGACCCAGCCATCCCATTACTGGGTATATACCCAAAGGATTATAAATCATGCTGCTATAAAGACACATGCACACATATGTTTATTGCAGCACTATTCACAATAGCAAAGACTTGGAACCAATCCAAATGTCCAACAATGATAGACTGGATTAAGAAAATGTGGCACATATACACCAGGGAATACTACGCAGCCATAAAAAATGATGATTTCATGTCCTTTGTAGGGACATGGATGAAGCTGGAAACTATCATTCTCAGCAAACTATTACAAGGACAAAAAACCAAACACCACATGTTCTCACTCACAGGTGGGAATTGAACAATGAGAACACATGGACACAGGAAGGGGAACATCACACACCGGGGCCTGTTGTGGGGTAGGGGTAGGGGGGAGGGATAGCATTTGGAGGTATACCTAATGTTAAATGACGAGTTACTGGGTGCAGCACACCAACATGGCACATGTATACATGTGTAACTAACCTGCACATTGTGCACATGTACCCTAAAACGTAAAGTATAATAAAAAATAAAAATAATAATAAACCCCCCCAAAAAAAGAAAATTTTCAATTTAACTGAAAGTTTTATGAACTTGATAAAAGGTTTTTAAAATTCATATGGCAGATGTTTTAGTCAGTTTTGTGCTGCTATAACTGAATATCTGAGACTAGGTAATTAATACAGGACAGAAATTTATCTCTGACCGTTCTACAGCCTAAGTCCAACTGAGGTGCTGGCTGGCTTAACTATCGGGTAACGGCTATTCTCTGCTTCCAAGGTGGTGCCTTGGATGCTGCATCTTCCAGAAGGGACAAATGCTGTGTCCTCATATAGCAGAAGAAAAGTGTATTATTAGTCCGTTTTCATGCTGCTGACAAAGGCATATCCGAGACTGGGCAATTTACAAAAGAAAGGGGGTTATTCGACTTACAGTTTCACATGGCTGGGGAGGCCTCACAATTACAGCAGAAAGTGAAATGCATGTCTCACATGGCAGCAGACAAGAGAAGAGAGCTTTTGCAGGGAGACTCCCATTTTTAAAACCATCAGATCTCGTGAGACTTATTCACTATCACGAGAACAGCACGGAAAAGATCTGCCTCCATGAGTCAATTACCTCCACCGGTTCCCTTTCACAATATATGGGAATTCGAGATGAGATTCAGGTGGGGACACAGCCAAACCATATCAGGAAGGAAGGGTGAAATGGGGCCAGACTTTCTCCTTCAAGCCCTTTTATAATGATATCAATTTGAAGAAACCTAAACATCTCTCAAAATGCCCCATGTCCCAACACTGTTGTATTGGGCATTACGTTTACAACATATGAATTTTGGGGGACATATTCAGACCACAGCAGTGGAGAATGTCTAATTCATTTTTACAAAGAGAACGATAAGATGGCAAATTTACTTGTATTTCATTCCATTTTGTGTTCCCATAAAGGAATACCTAGGGCTGGGTAATTTATAAAGAAAAGCAGTTTCTTTGGCTCATGGTTCTGTAGGCTGTACAAGAAGCATGGTGTCAGCATTTGCTTCTGGTGAGGGCTTCAGGCTGCTTCCACCACCAGTGGAAGGTGAAGGGGAGCAGGTTTATGTTGTGGTGAGAGAGAGAGCGAGAGAGGGTGAGAGAGAGAGCGAGAGAGAGGGTGAGAGAGGGTGAGAGAGAGGGCGAGAGAGCGAGAGAGAGAGCGAGAGAGAGGGTGAGAGAGAGAGCGAGAGAGAGGGTGAGAGAGAGAGCGAGAGAGAGGGTGAGAGAGAGAGCAGAGCGAGAGAGAGGGCGAGAGAGAGGGCGAGAGAGAGAGCGAGAGGGAGGGTGAGAGAGAGAGTGAGAGAGGGTGAGAGAGAGGGTGAGAGAGGGTGAGAGAGAGAGCGAGAGAGAGGGTGAGAGAGAGGGCGAGAGAGAGGGTGAGAGAGGGAAGGGGAGCTCAGGCTCTTTTAATCAACCAACTCTCTCATGAACTATTAGAAAAAGATCTCACTCACTGCCAAGCAGATATCACCAAGCCATTTACAAGGGATCTGCCCTCGTGACCCAAGCACCTTCCACTAGCCTCCACCTCCAACGCTGGAGATCAAATTCAGCGTGAGATCTGGAGGGGACAAATATCCAACTATACCAGCTTTTTCTTATCACTATTGATCTGTTGTATTTAAAACATTGTAGTATTGTACCAAAGTAGAAAAATAAAACAGATAAACAGGCTCGAGGTTTTAGAAATATATCCTTAATATTACTCATCCTTAAAAAAGGAAGGAAATCCTGTCACGTGCTACAACATGGATGAATCTTGAAGCCACTAGGCTAAGTGAAAGAGCTGGTCATAAAAAGAATGCTGCATGATTTTACTTATATGAGATACATAGAGTAGTCAAATTCATGGAGACAGAAAGTACACTGGCAGTTTCCAGGCTTTCCAGGATTTTCACCCTTTTGAGGGTGAAATGATGAGTTATTTTTTAATGGGTACATGTTCAGTTTTGCAAATTAAAGAATTTCTAGAGATAGATGGTGGTCACAATTGCACAACAATGTGAATGTACTTAATACTACTAAACGGTACATTAAAAACAATTAAGATGTAAATTTTATGTGTTTTTGCTATAAAATTTTTAAAACTCTTTAAAAATTAATATACTCTTCTGTTAATGAGATAGTAGCTTATGACAAAGATAATGGTGTTTAAAGTCAATAGTAAATGAATAGCTCATTCAATAAATAATTTGGAGATAATTAGATATCTATAGGAAAAATTTTTTCTTACATTATAAAAAATGTTCAGATATAAAATGGTACTGTAAACTTATTAGGAGAAAACATTATAGAGTGTTTTCATAATAGTGCAATGGTATAAATGCCAGATAAAAGTTAAGATTGTAAATTTAGTAAAAGAAAATATACGGAGTGGTTTCATTATATTGAAGTGAAGTACAAGTATTTCTAGGCAATGTGCAAAAATCAAAAGTCCTACATAAATCTAATGAAACGTTTGTCTTCATAAAAACCTAAAATCTTCTTTAGTGAAAAAGCAAAACACTGTAAAGTCAATGGGCAAGTGGTAGATTGGTAGATAATATTTGTAACATATTTAATCAATACGGATGAATATCAAGAATATATAAAGAGATCCTAAAATTGATAAGAAAGAAAAACATTTTAATAGAAAAATTTAGACCATGAACATACTCTCTCGGAAGAGTCAAACATAGTAAGCATATGAAAATGTGTTAAACTTACTCAAAAATCAAGAAATAGTATGTTACAACCATGAGACTTTTTCCTCATCTATTAGGCTGGGATTAATTTAGAAGAGGCAGGGTAATCAATGTTCTCATTCATCATTGGTGGGAGTGCAAATGTGTAGCCTTTCAGAAAAAGTGGCAGTAATTCTCAAAATTTAAATATGTACATATTTTGATTCATAAACTTTACAGCAGGAATCTATCTTAAATATGATGCCCAAGTGTGAAAAGGCATATATACATAAAAATGTTCATTTCAGCATTGTTGATTTAAGGAGAGATTGGGAAGTTAGATATTCATCGACAGGGGAATGAATAAATAAGTTTTGCTATAACCATACTGCAGAATACTCTGCAGCCATTAAAAAGAATAAGTTTGGCTTATAGGTACTAACCTTGGAGGATCCCTAAGACATGCAGTTTAACAAAACAATGCATATAGAACGATCAATTGTGTAATTGTATAGTAACGTAATGGAAAAGATTCATGCTGTATTGGTTGGGTATGGCCACAATTCTGTTGTGTAACAAACTCACTGGTCTTGAGGAAAATAACTTACTCGTATGAATCTCTGGGTCATGGAGCAGCTCTACCCTGACACTGAAGCAGTGCTCTGGTCTGCTGCACCTGATTCTCAACCTCCTGAGTCAGCAGGCTGGCCAGGATATGTACTTCTCACAGCGGTGGCAGAGGCGCAAGGGCCTGGACAGAAACATTTCAGACCTCTTAAAGTCTTGAAAGGAAGAAAGAAATATTTTTCCATTGCATTTAAGCAGTAGTGCATTTTAGCTAATTTCTACAATTACCATTGATGTAGTAGATGGAGAAATCTATTAAGTCCTTAAATTCTAATAACCTTGATGCCACAAGCCACATTAACAATATTAAGATTACTCCTTTGAAATGAACAAGTTAACCAGCTTTGCCCTTGTAGAGCTCACAAAGACCACAGATTTTATCCAGCCAATACCACTCAGTCAAAGCATTGGAGTTTTAAACGTAGACAGGTTCCCAACACAGCCACAGTCCAGCAGGTGAGGGGTTTGCTGGCTCTCTGGGACACTTCCAGGACAGATGTGTACTGTCCTACAAAACAGCTCATGCAATTCAAAGAAATCGAGATGGAGCTGATGTCAAAAGCACACTAAGTACTTAATAATGAGTTCGTATGGTTGTATAGTTAATAATTACTGTTAGGAAATCTACAAAGGCTAAAATACACCCTTACATTTATCCAGTAAGTAGTGTTTAGATACCTATCTTTTTGAAGTCTAAAAATAAGCATGAACGCTAATATCATTTGGGCTCCTTCTTCAAAGCTGTTTCCCCTTGACTCTTTTATGAGTAAAAAAATATGCATAAAGTACAGAAAATGTGAGCCGTTTATGAACATCTGATGTGAGATGTTAGGGTTGACTTGGTATGTCCTTTGTCTTGAATGCAATGCTGAGTGGGAAACGGGATTCCTATAACCCAAGGCGTGCAGTGGTATTATGATTCAATTATCACCTCAGTTGCAGGGGAAGAAAGGCCTATTGCAGCAAGTACCTTGGGTGCTGTATCTGACCTTCACGGTGGTGGTGACAGCAAGGCTTGCGTCATGTTCAGAGAATCAGACAGCTTCTCCAGTGACACTAAAACCAAAACAAAACATCTTTGTTTTACTTACAAGCAGCAAGGCAGATAGAGCTGTATAAAATAGATGCAGAATTTAATGGAGTAGGTACAAAATTACAGTGTAAGTTCAATCCTCAGACTCGCCAATACATTTGTGTAAAAGTTAGGCTTTGATTGTAGCAGGGGGCTCTCCAAGACTTGGAATTGGGTTATCTGTGTGGATTCAAGAAAAGCTGGGAAATTTACACCCCAAGTCTCTCTAAGCCATCCTTGCTGAAGGAAGCAGCCTCCTCTCCCTGCCTGTAGAATCTTCCCTTATTTGAAGACCTTTTAATAACTTCACATGCTTGAGCTCCCTGGTAAGGTGATATCTAAAACTCTCAGGGCTCACTCCCATCACCCATTAGTGCATGAGACCCATAATTAGGGTCACAAATGTCAAGTATGTTCCACAGGGAGAAAAGCAAAGTCCAATCCAGAAGGACATGGTTTATAGGAGAGAAAAAAAAGAGAGAGGGAAGAAAAATGATAAAAAGGGCAATACTCACCAATTCAAAGTACCAGAAACATGGGTAAATGTAGTGCATGAATCCTAAGAACATTACACCACAGAGCACAGAATTCAACACTGAATAAGGCTGACCCCATCCATGTGAGAGCACTTACAGAGATTCTAGCTGAATGTGCTGATTTGGGCACCATGGAGCAGCTCTCACAGTTTGCATGGATGGTGGAGTGAATTTGAACTTAATGATGGCTCACATCTGAAGAGGCCAGACTCTCCTGCTCTCTGTGATGGACTTGTTCAGGGAAATCTCTGCATCCCAGAGAACATCTTCTTCCACCATACCCAGGACACCATCTTGGTTGAATCTGGTGAGCAAGCACAGCAAGAACCCTAAATGTCTTAATGAGACACATGTGTGGCAAAGAGTGAACAATAAACCCCATGAAATCTCGAGGCCCATGCCTTGGGGAGGTTTCTCATGGCCCTGTGGTCTGAAGCATGTTTGGGCATTTCTTCCAAAGTGAAACAGAAGTTGTTATTTCATCTATTACCTACCCCTAAAAAATGGGCACGGTGTTGAGAAAATGTCTTTGGAGGCAACAAATACCACATTTGAGAGTGCTGTCCCAACCCATTTATTGAGTAACCAACAAAGCTCCAAGGTAAGTGACTGGGGCCATATGGACACACATAAAAGCATAATTGAAGGCCAGGTGTGGTGGCTTACAACTGTAATCCCAGCACTTTGGGAGGCCGAGGCAGGCGGATCACAAGGTCAGGAGTTCGAGACCAGCCTGGCCAATATAGTGAAACCCCATCTCTAGTAAAAATACACAAATTAATCAGGCCTGATGGCGGGCACCTGTAGTCCCAGCTACTCGGGAGGCTGAGGCAGGAGAATTGCTTGAACACAAGAGGCAGAGGTTGCAGTGAGCTGAGATCTCACCACTGCATTCCAGCTTGGGTGACAGAGCGAGACTCCGTCTCAAAATAAATAAATAAATAAATAAATAAATAAATAAATAAATAAATAAAAGCATAATTGAATATCTGTTTTCAGGAGCTTCTGGCAAGCCCAAATGAGAATCGCAATGCAAATATATAGGGCTTTGGAGAAAAGCCATGTTCTACTCTGCATATAATTATTATTTTAAGAATCAACTCTTATCTTGCTATGCTACTGAGCTTTGTCAAGACAAAATGAGAACTTCATGACCACTGTTCATCATGAATTGGCTATGCACCGACACACTAGGCCATAAGGTGGGAGGAGAATAAGATTCGGCAAGTCCAGAAACAGGTTTCATGAGCAGGTGACTGCTAAGGACTCCGATTCCATCTTTTCCTTCTTCTCCATCTTTTCTTCCCATAATTTACACTTAGGACCTCATTGGGAGTTGCCTACGGCAGCTGGTTTGCAGATGGTTCTGTTATGCTGGCACCAGCCATAAGTGGATCGCTGCCAATGCTACTGTCTCACTCAAGGATAGTGCTGAAGAACAAAGGGAAAAGGATAGCTTCCCAGTGGACAAAACTTGTAGCAGTAAAATTTAGTTTTTCATTTTATCTGCGTAACAGATGGCCAGAAGTACAGATCTACACAAATTCATGTGTGGTTCTCTGAGTAGATGGTCAGAGACTGGGAAAGAATGGCATTGGATAACTAGTGACAGACTGAAGAAGAGATGTGTAAATGGACTTCTCAGAAGGGACACAGGGTGGGGCATACCTGTGTCCCACGTGAATGTTCCCTGAAGGTCATCTGCTACACAGGAGACTTTCAGGAATCAGGGGGATGTGATGACACATTCAGTGGGTGTGCTGGAAGGCTCCGGGGTGTTTGCTCAATGGGTCTGGGTATAAAGTGGCTAAGGAAGTGGTGATAGAAGCCACTCAAGGGTTCAGCAGCATTAACTTCCCGGGGGAACCACTCAGCCACATGATAGGGCAAGCAGATTGTAACACTGACCTCCACCAATTTCTGCCTTGTCCTGATATAATGGCACAATGGCCTGAGAATACTCAGTTACAGCGCCCATAAAGTGACAGCATTCTGGAAGTAGTATATGCTTTGAAGCAGCAATCAATCAACAGAATACAGGAGTCTGGAAATCAAAGAGGCATAATTGGAAATGGCTCTTCTCATATTTCTTCTGCAGGATTTTTGCTTCTCCCTCCAGAATCTTGTGCTTTGCTGGTTTGGAGATTCTAGTTCCTAAGACAGAAGTGCTTCTGCTGGAGAAAATAAGGCTGTATCTGTTGAATGGGATACTGAGGCTTTATTCTGTCATTTGAGGCTTCTTATTCCACTATAAAGAATAGAGTAACTGTCCTGGCTGATCCCTAAGCAGAAATTGGGTTTCTGCTCACAAGGGAGGTAGGAAGAACCATGTCCCCCTAAAAACCCAGGGGATGCTCTTGAGTGCTTCTTGGCTCTGCCACACATAATAGAAAATGTTAGTGGACAATTTTGTGGGCTAGATTGTGTCCCCCGAAAAAGCTATGCTAAAGTCCTAACCCCCAATACCTGTGAACGTGATGTTATTTGGGAGTACAGTCTTTGCAAATGATATCAAGGGTAGATGAGCTGGATAAGGGTGGGCTCTAGTCCATGTGACTATCGTCCTTATAAGAAACAGAGAAGGCCGGGCGCGGTGGCTCACGCCTGTAATCCCAGCACTTTGGGATACCGAGGCGGGCGGATCACGAGGTCAGGAGATCGAGACCATCCTGGCTAACACAGTGAAACCCCGTCTCTATTAAAAATACAAAAAATTAGCCAGGCATGGTGGCGGGCACCTGTAGTCCCAGCTACTCGGGAGGCTGAGGCAGAAGAATGGTGTGGACCCAGGAGGCAGAGCTTGAAGTGAGCCAAGATCGCACCACTGCACTCCACCCTGGGAGACAGTGAGACTCCGTCTTAAAAAAAAAAAAAGGAAACAGAGAAGAGACACAGACACACACAGAAAGAGTGCCATGTGACAATGGAGGCAGATACTGGAATGATGAAGCAACAAGCCAAAAAATTACCAGGACGTGCCAGCAGCATCAGAGCTAGGAGAGGGGCCTAGGGAGGCTTTTCTTTCAGAACCTCCAGAAGGAATGCATTCTGCTGACATCTTGATTTTGGACTTCCAGCCTCTAGAACTGTGACAAAATCAATTTGTTTTTTGAGCCACCACTCAGTTTGTGGTAATTTATTTTGTCAGCCTTTGGAAATAGAAATGGACAATAATAGCAACCTCACAAAGGCAGGACTGCTAAGGACTCACACCCTTTGGGAATTAAGGTTTGGGTCACCCGACAAGAAAAAGGATCCCCAACTAGTTGAGTTAAATATTAGCTACGATACTGTGGCCAGAAATGAAGACTGTAGCAGCTGTCCATATTTTCTTCTTATAAATATGTGTGTGCACACATGTGTGCATATATGTGCAAGTGTGGGCATGCATGTTGTAAACTAAAAATAAAATCCAAGCTGGGCACAGTGGCTCGCACCTGTAATCCCAACACTTTGGGAGGCCGAGGCAGGTGGATCACCTGAGGTCAGGAGTTTGAGACCAGCCTAACCAACATGGGGAAATCTCATTTCTACTAAAAATACTAAAAAGTACTAAAAAAAAAAAAAAAAAAAAAGCTAGGTGTTGTGGCTCACACCTGTAGTCCCAGCAACTTGGGAGGCTGAGGCATGAGGATTGCTTGAACTGGGGAGGCGAAGGTTGCAGTGAGCCGAGATCATGCCACTGCACTCCAGCCTAGGTGACAGAGCGAAACTCTGTCTAAATAAACAAATATAAAATCCAGACTCTCCCACCTATTGAACAGACCCCATTGTGGCCAAGGAGAGCCCACAGAAACCTGAAAACTGAGTTCCTGGCCATGACAGGATGGGACATCAGACATGCCTTGTTATGCCCCTTCCCTTTTACGGTTTAGTCACAACAGCCAGCATTAATGTTAAAATAGAGACTGTAAGAATGACAGAACAGACTCTTTGTGGCCATAAGATACCAAATTATAAACAGGACCTACCATGCCAAGCAAGAGGTAAGTCACACACCCCTACACTGAAAGGATAAACTATGTTCTCACAGCTTTTTCTTTTTCTCTAGCAGCTAAACAAGCCCCAGCCTCAACGTAAGCAATATTAAAACAATCACAATCCATCCAGCTCACAGACAGACACTCACTCACTAAACTCCTGTTCCACCAGCCATAGTTACAGCTTCGATCAGACAAGAGACTGATTTCAGTAACTTTCTCCTGATAAGAGCCCACCAATCATGGACTGGTTCTGGCTGGTTTACAGAGGTTGCACACTTAAGTGCCTTTGTCTCCTGATAAAACCTGTTGACATATAGGGCTAAACTGTAACAAATTTAAATGGTAACTCTCCACCCCAAGGTGAATATGGGTTGTATGTTACATGCATGTTTGTTCACTAGGCATGTGTCAGGACCACCTTCATGAATATTCACAGCTCCTCCTGTAACTTGTTGAATATGTGTGTTTAGTCAACCTATTCAGAATGAAGCTTCTACAACTCAACCCCTTCTCCTTCAAAGTGCCTGTCTCCGGGCTTCAGCCAGAGGCATGCTTCCCAGCCTGCAGGTTGGCCACCTTGCAGGATGTAACCCTTTATAAGAAAAAAGTCTCCTTTCCGTTTCTAAATTTAAAAATTGTGGATTTTTTTTTTTCAGTTAACAATATCCATTTAAACTTTTCAAATAGATGGTTTGCAAATGTTTGGCATGGGAAAATGCAGGCATATTTCATGAGTAGTTGTCAGAAATTAGGATCAATTTTACGAGGTGACTATCCAACAGGGACCAAGGAAGGAATCTCTGCCATTTTCATAGAGCCACTGATTGGCCCACTCATTGAAAATGCTGAGCAAGACCTCACCCTCACTCGCCCGGTCCTGAACCAGCCTGGCAGAGTTCTTGTCCCACTCAGAGATAGCGTTCTACATCCTATCTGAGTGACAGGATCAGCCCTGCCCTTATCAGCCCTCCGTAGATTCCATAATGAGGCTCCTACGAGTCTCTCTCATCTTCTCATTATCTCAACTACGATCCCTCTCCCTTTTATAGCACAAACTCCTCCAGTCCTGTGACATCTGTGATCATCAGGAACTTTTATTTTACCCATGGCTTTTTCCTCCTACACTGCTTCCCTCCACTTATCCAGAAACCCATCAATCTCTAAATGCTCTGCTCATGTATAATATCTTCCCTAAACTTCTGCACATCTCTAACCCATTAATATCACATAGTTTATGCTTAGTTCCTCCTCATTCATTTTATGAGATTTTGTTTAGCCCTAAAGATTTTTTCCATCTGGCTTGAAATTCTTACTTCTTTTTTTTAAATTTTTTGCCAAATTCAATCTTTAAAATAGGGGAACGATCCTCTTTCCTTCAAGAGATTTTGATGTCAGAAAGCACTGACTCACGCAAAGGTCCACATTTTCAGATTCACTGGCAAGCTGGTTGGTGAGGACAAGCTTTTGACTGAATCAAAGCTCAGTGGTTTTAAAGTGGAGTTGGGCAGAGCCTAGGCTTTTTGTGAGGGTGCTTAGGTGTCACTATGAAGGCCAGACGAGGGAGAGGGTGAGTGTGAGTTGAGTGAGTGAGACCGGAGCTTCAGCCAAAACAGCTATACTTTTGTCTATGTATATGCATATGTCTATATGTGTATATGTATGTATGTGTATGTGTACATGTATATGATATGCGTGGATACATGCTCATGTATATGCACTTGTGCATGTATTTGCATATGTATTTGTACATGCATTTGTATGTGTATGTGTATATGCATGTATATTTATATTAAATAGTGGGTAACTTTTCATTTCCCAGCAGGTTCAGATGCTTTAGAAACATAGTTTGAGATTCACTGCTTTAGGACCACATACTCATGATGAAAGACAAAAACGAAAAATAAACAGAGTCAGGGAGATTAAATCTATAACCAAAGACAACATGAGTATTTAATGTCAGCTACTCAAGCTCCAGTTTCCCCCTTCTGGTGAAAGGCTTGTTCCCTGGGGTCTTCTCTCTCAAAGGTCAGCGGCAGGAACTCCTTGGGGACTGGATGAGTAACTGGCATCTTTCAGTCCTGGGGTTGGGCTGTGCCTGTGGCTCTGAAACTCAGAAACTCCTCAGCCTGTGACCTCATGGGCTGGATCTGGCCCTGGCTCTGCCACTCAGACTCCGTGACATCTCCTCAATCCCTTCCCGCTGCAGCAGAGTGGCTACTGTGCTGCTCTCCAGCCAGCCTGGGGACTACTGTCTCTTAGGGCTTCACTGTAGGATGCACCTTTTATTCTCTGGATAGTTTTTATGACTTTGTTTGTTATTTACAGGCCAAGTTCAGTGGCCCCTGTAAACACAGTCACAATCTGCAACCGTGCTCTTAATTATGATCTTATTAAGAAATAGATTCCCACACAACTGGCACAAGGATGCCAGAAGCCAATATTTCTAATTCATAAATGTTTAGACTTATTTTCTCTCACCAAAATGTGCCTCTGAAAGCCTCAAGAGAAGAGGAAATAAAGAAATAAAAGTGAAAAAAGCAACCAGCAATAAGGATGATTCTGTTACTTCAACTATGCCTAAGACAGCCTGACCTTTAGCTGGAAATGGCCAGTCCCTTCTGGACTGTTAGGCAGAGAACTAAAAGTCAGGGGCTTCATGAAGAGGGTGGAGATGAAGTGAGGCTCGCCAAGGCCTGCCTGCCGTCCCATCGCTCTGAGGTGATGGGAGGTTCTATCCTGTTTCAGAAATTAGCACACTGAGCCTTTGGAACCCTGTAGGTCTCTCCTAGATTGCAGCCTGTCAGATGGTGTCCCTCAAGTGGCCCTACCTTCTTAATGTGAAGAGCAGCACTCAGGCAATATGACTTCCTCCAGCTTCAAAGGCAAACAAAACTTCAAAGGCTGATGCAGCCTTTCTTTTTCTTTACAGCAGATCACTAACAGAGCCTTTTGTACATTGCAAACATTTGTAAATATATATTAATATTTGTTCTAGTCCTGACCTGAACAGAACTTTTTGCATGATGAAATGCATAAACCTCATCCTAGAAATAAATGAGCATTCTGGATAAATATTTTAGCATTTTTATGAAGTTTTTTTTTTTTTTTTTTTTTTTTCGAGACAGAGTTTCACTTTATTGCTCAGGCTGGAGGGCAGTGGTGTGATCTCAGCTCACTGCCACCTTCACCTCCCAGGCTCACCCGATTCTCCTGCCTCAGCTTCCCAAGTAGCTGGGATTACAGGTGCCCACCACCACGCCCGGCTAACTTTTGTATTTTTAGTAGAGACAGGGTCTTGCCATGTTGGCCAGGCTGGTCTTGAACTCCTGACCTCAAGTGATCTGCCCACCTCGGCCTCCCAAAATGCTGGGATTACAGGCATAAGCCACCGCATCAGGACTTTATAAAGTTTTATTGTTTTGTTTTGTTTTTTTGAGACGGACTCTCGCTCTGTCACCCAGGCTGGAGTGCAGTGGCACGATCTTGGCTCATGGCAAGCTCTGCCTCCCAGGTTCACGCCATTCTCCTGCCTCAGCCTTCCAAGTAGCTGGGACTGCAGGTGCCTGCCACCATGCCCAGCTAATTTTTTTGTATTTTTTAGTAGTGACAGGGTTTCATCGTGTTAGCCAGGATGGTCTCAACATCCTGACCTCGTGATCCACCCACCTTGGCCTCCCAAAGTGCTGGGATTACAGGTGTGAGCCATCATGCCCGGCCCATAAAGTATTTCAATGGGCTAAGAATTCTTCCAAACCTCAGCTGAACACCTGCTCTGCTGATTCCTGACAACTCCAGCTGGGTCCCCAGGACTAGACAAAGATTTCAAGCTTCCTTTAGCAGCTATGTTGCTCTTTGCACCCATGCCTGCAACTCTTTAATCTTTTTTTTTCTGTAAAGTTTTCTAATGTCAGTCTTTGAATTAGCTTTCTAGAGATCTGGAAGATCCCTTGCACCATGAATAGCTAAAGTTAAAAGAAATGTATAACATAGTTGAAAAGGAATGGAAGGCGTAGTAGATGTAGATTGAATTTTCCCTGATGTTTATAATTATTTGCAATTACTCATGTCATTTTCATCCTTTTACAAGATCATGGCCCTGTTTCATAGGGGAGAAAGCTAAGGGTAAGAAGGTAAAGGGATCTGTCCAAAAGCTGACAACTAACCCACTAAAGGCTCAAGGTCTTACTTAGACTCCATTTATTTTCTAAACCAAATGTTTCTGCTCTTTCCCTCACATCACAAGGGCATGCAGAAGGATGCTTATAAATCACCACTGACTGCTGGGGTGGAAAGGAGAAACGAGTGCACAGACCAACATGCAGATTCACCTGCAAACACTGTACACACCTGTCCTGGAACTCTCTCCTTGCTCTGGAGCCAAGGATAATACAGAGAGGACAAACACTGAGGTTTTAGTTCCAGGCACCTCTGTGCCTGGAGACAGGCAGCACCTTAAAAACACATGATGAGGCAATTTGAATGTGAAACATCAGGGTGCTTTCCCTAAAGCATCCTTCATGTTCCATCAGCAATTGTTCTGTGGGTGTAATCAGTTTATGTTTTCTTCTGCTCTTTCCACAGTCTCTCCAGATATGTCTTCCTCCCTCTGTAAGGGAACATGAGAAGCATTGCCAGTTTAAAAAAAAATTGTTAATAAACATACAACTTGCATGTGCTTGCTTGAGATGCCCATTACTGAAGAATTGGCTCTAGAAATTCTAGAATAGGAGCACTGATACAATTATGAAACTGATCCTCCCAAGCAAAATACTCTAACTTTTTGTTAACAGAAGAAAAAGGCTTTGAGCCAGCTTTCAAAATCTTTTCAGTTTGTGCCTTTGAACTTTATGGTGAGGGTGGGGAAGAGCAAAATCTACTAGTCAAGCAGAGACCTTGTCTGCTTTCCTTCCACAGTCTCAGAAACTGGGTAGAAATTAACTGCCTTTAAAGACAAGAGGCAATTGCAATTCCATGAGCACCAGCCTTACATCCCCATCATTTGTGTGCTGAGAAAGGTGACAGCAGCCTTCAGGTTCAATGGAATCACTTTGTTTCCTGGTGGAAGTATTCCTCCCTTTGGAACTAAGACCCCTAGCCCAGCAGAGTATAAAGTCATGGGAACAGGAAGCAAACATTCCGCTAGTGGTCACCAGGGGTAATGGTGAGTTGTGTCACTCCCATATCTACCCCTTGATTCTTGGACCTATGCATTTGGCCATGGGAGAAACAGAACCATATATTAGACACTGATTTAAAGCATATTCAGCCTTTTGGAGAACTTTGTCCCAGCCATGCAAGGTATTGCCATCTAGCTGACTCTGTGACTGAGTCTTCAAAGAGCCATTCCACTATCTTACCAAGCCTGCTTTTGTAGCATGGTGGGGAACATAGAAAGGCCAATGAATTCCATGAGCATGAGCCCGTTGCTGCACTTTGTTTGTTGTGAAGTGAGTTCCTTGATCAGCAACAATGCTGTGTGGAATAACATAACAGTGACTAATGCATTCTGTAAGTCCACAGATTGTAGTCTTAGTAGAAGCATTGCATGCAAGGAAGGAAAATACATATTCAGGGTAAGTGCCTTGTCTAGTAGAAACAAAACCCTGCTTTTCCCATAATGGAAGCAATAGAATGTAATCAACCTGCCCCAGGTTACTGACTGATCATCTCGAAGAATGATCCTGTATCAAGTAATCAGTGCTGTTTCTTCTGCTGACTGATTGAGCATTCAACAGTGGCCATAGTCAGGTCAACCTTGGTGAGTGGAAGTCCGTGTTGCTAAGCCCATGCATAATCCCCATCTTTGCCACAATGGCAAAGAGCCCATTGGACTATGACAAATGTGGATGGGGAAAGAAACTGACTGTATCCACAGAATGAGTCATTCTATCCATTTTATTACTAAAATCTTGGTAAGCATTCACATGGGACACAGATATCTTCATGTTTTTCTCTCATTCAAAGAGGTCTACTCTCATACCTCTTCTCCATACTTCGTTTTCACCAATACTCCTATATTGTTCCTTCTAAGGACATGACCATTAAGCCAAACCATTTGCCACAGCTCATAAATCAGTATAGAATCTCATTGCTGGCCATTTCTCATTGTAAATAAAGTGAACAACCAGGTGTGCTGCTTGAAGTTTTGCCCATGGAGAGGATTTTTTCTTTATCAGTGTTCTTCAGGAATGATCCAGAGAGGGTCGCAGTGCTGCAGCTGTCCACTTTTCGGTAGTGTCTGCATATGCTGCAGAACTATCTGTAAACCAGGCTTGAGATTCTTTTCCTCTACAATTGATCATAGGGAACTCTCCATGAGGCCATAGGTTCAGGCTTCTATGGAAGGCATGGACATTTGTGTCATTTCTTCATGTAACTTAACTGTGCCATTAGGGCCTGCTCAAGCTCAATCTTACATATACTACTTCCATTTGACGATAGATTGTTACTGTGCACATCTACCTCTTGAGTTGGTGGGTAAGAAAATACCCAGCTCATAATGGCCAACTCAGCTTGCATGGTAATTTGATGGACCAGGATTAGGTGTTCAGGCTCTAAAAGGGCCCAGGAATAGGCCAAAAGCTGTTCCTCAGAAAGACAGTAGTTATTCACAGGGGATGGCAGATCCTTTCTCCAGAGTCCTATGTCTGCACTGCGATTCACTTAAAAGGGCCTGCCAAAGGCTCCACACAGCACTTCTCCCTGCCACTGACACTTCAAGTACCATTGGATCTGATGGCTCATGTGGCTCAAGGGGCACAGCAGCTGCACAGTAATGTAGGCCTTTTGCAGAACCTTCTCTTTTCTAGGCTCCACTCAAAACTCGCAGCTTTTTAGTTCACTTTGTAAATGGGTTGGACCTGAATGAGGAATACGTTGCCTCCAAAATACTAAGAGGCCTCTAGGCCTTGAGCCTCTTTCTTGGTTATAGGAGGGACGGGATGTTGCAACTCTCTTTCACCTTACAAGGGATATTTTGACACACCCCACAGCACTAGGCCCCTAGAAACTTCACTGAGGTAGAATGCCCTTGCATTTTAGTTGGATTTATTTCCTACCCTCTGACATGCAAATGTCTTACCAATAAGTTCAGAGTGGTTGCTACTTCACACTCACTAGGTTAAATCAGTATAATGTCATTAAGATAATGGACCAGCGTGGTATCTGGTGGAAGGAAAAGGCCTCAAGTTCTGTATGAACTGAATTTATGACACAGGGCTGGAGAGCTGATATACCCTTGGGATAGGACACTCAATTTGTATTGTTGGCCTTGCAGGTTGAAAGCAAACTGCTTCTAATGGCCTTTCGAAACAGATACAGAAAAAAAAAGGCATTTGCCAGATCTCAGATACCAGGTACCAGGGGATGTGTTAATTTGCTTAAGTAATGAAACCACATCTGCTAAAGCAGCTACAATTAAAGTTAATACTTGATTAAGCTCATGAATCCACTGTCATTCTCTAAGGTCCATCTGTCTTCTGCACAGTCCAAATAGCACAATTGAATGTGGATATGGTAGCAACTGCCACGCCTGCATCTTTCAAAGTCCTTGAGAGTAGCACTAACCTCTGTAATCTCTCCAAGAATGCAGTATGGCTTTTGGTTTACATTGTTTAGGTACAGGCAGTTCCTATGATAATGGCCCTCACTCCACAGGTCAGAGAACCAATGTGGGGATTCTGATAGTTGCTGAATATGTCCATTCCAATTATGCACTCTGGAACTGGGAAATAACCACAGGATGGGTTCAGAGATTACCTGAATCTACTATAAGATGAGCTAAAACTCCACTGATCACCTGATCTGCATAACCCCTACTCTGACTGTTGAGTCACAGTGGTGTTCAGTGCCACCAGGAATTAGTGTCAATTCAGAGCCAGTGTCCAGCAGTCACCAAAATGTCTGATTATTTACTTTTCCCTAATGCTTAGTCATCTTGTTAAAAGGCCATAAGCTCCTCTGGGGAAGGCTGAGAAAGAGATTAACATTATAAATTTTTGGCAGTGTCATGGGTTTCTTCCTCAAGGGGACTTGGCTTTTATCCCTTACAGGAAGAATAAAGGCCTTACTTTGCCTCTGATAATTGATTGAGGGATCATGATTCTCTGTTTTTCAGTATTAGAGTTAGACTTTTATTCACTTGACCTACAACTTTTTCTGCTTATACAGATCAAGTAAGAATTTAGTTGGCTTCCTATCTATTTCACTTCTAGGAGCACCATGATCAACTAGCCAATGCCATAGGTCTCCACGAGTGAGACTATTCTAGTGGCTGCTGTGACATTGCTGTCCACTGTGTCAGCTAGGCCCACCTGGATTTTGGTGGCTGAATGCTGGTACTTGGCTCCTGCCAACCTGGGATCCAGTTACTCCCATTACATTTAGTTTTCCCAATTCAGTGACTCTAGTTTCCACTAAAAATCTTGCCTATAGAGAACAAACACATCAAGGATGCTGAGGCTCTCCTCAAAAATTTATTTCTCACCATTTTGGTGAAAGGTATGTCTTTTGAAGCCTCCCAGGGCATATAAGTAGGTCTTAAATGGAAAATCCACTCTAACATCCCAATGTCTTTAAGCCTTTAATCCCTTCTTCGGCATTAAACCAAGGCACACCTGGCATTTATATTTTAACTCCCTTGCTGTGGGCCACCTTTTGATCCCTTTTTGGGTCCACCAACCAAACTGTTAGAGTCCTTTCTGACTCCCCAAGCTACAATATTAAATGCAGAGTCTCTGCTTAGTGGGCCCATATCAATAAACTTACCCTGATCTAACTTTCTCTCATTAGCCCACACACTTACTATTCATTTCTGCACATATAGCCTGGATTTTTGTCTGTATAAATAAGAAAACACAACTAATTCCCTTGGAGTGTGTCACGCCTCTTCATGGGTCACACTTTCTACCTCGCCTTTAGAGTCCTGTTGTGATGTGAGTGTAGTTATGGGGTGGGTCCTGAAAAAAATCAGCTGTGTTTTGCATGGCAACTACCTCAGGGGGCCCATTGCAGTCACCTCAGGCTATACAGTGTTAATTGCCCCAAATAGGTTCAGAGCAGCCATTCCTACTGGGCTGGAGAGTTGTTTCTACTGGCAAAGAAGATTCATCAGAATGTAGGGGCTTAACGATCCCAGCTTCATCAGAGTCTTGCCCCACATACCCATTCCAACTTTCAGGATGCTCTCAGGGCAGCTATTAACTTAAGACAAAGCAGGCTTCCAAAGAAAAAAAAATAGCAGGGATAAAGCAGAGACTTACACAAAGATTGATGAGGCTAATTCTCCAACAAGATGTAAGTTGAACTGAACTGAAACATCAATCAACTGAATCTAATTAACTTTTATAGAATAATTCATTGAACGACAGCAGAATATACATTCTTCTCAAGCTCACATTGAAACACTCACAAAGGCCACATGTTTGGCCATAAAACACACCTTAACATATTTAACGTATTTGTTTAAATAAAAATTAAATATAAAATATAAACTCAGATGACAATAGAATTAAAATAGAAATTAACAACAGAAATATACCACAAAAATCCTAAAATGCTTATAAATTAACCTCAAATAACACATGGGTCAAGAAGGAGCCTCAAGAAAAATTTTTACAAAATATTTTGACCTAACTGAAAATGAGAATTCAAATTATCAAAATATGTAGAATGCAATGAAAATAATACTTAGAGAAAAATTTATAGCATTAAATGCATATATTACAAAGGAAGAAGATTTAAAATCAATAATCTAAGCTTCCACATTTGGGAATTATGAATAGAAAAATAAATTTAAGCCTAAAGCAAACAAATAAGCAAAATTAGAGCAGAAGTCGATGAACATAAAAAATGGAAAATAAGAGAAAATAAAATCAGAAGCTAGTTCTTTAAAGAGATCAATATAATTGATAAACTTCTAGTCAGACTGAGAAAAATACAGAGAAGACCAAAATTATTAATATCAGAAATTTAAGATATGTCATCAGCAGGAATCCCTTCAATGTGAAAAGATAGTAAAATAATATGATGAATAACTCCGTGACCCCGAATTTGATAACTTATATGAAATGGGCCAATTACTTGCAAAATGCAAACTACCAAACTCATCAAAGATGAAATAGATAATCATTACAGGTCAATATGTATAAAAAATAAATCAGGAGTTAATAACCTTCCAAGAATGTCAGCAGAAGGATCAGATAGTTTCACTGGTGCATTGTATCACACATTTAAGACAGAAAATACAATAATTCTCTACAATCTCTTCTGGAAAATAGAAGCAGAGGGAACACTTTCTAATGCATTCTATGAGGCCAGCACTTCTCTGATACTAAAATCAGATAAATCATTATTAGTAAGAGTAAGAAAAACTATAGACTAATATCTCTCAGGAACAAATACACAAATCCTCAAAAAATATTTGTAACTTGAATCCAACAAGGTATAAAAGAATTGTATTCCACAACCAATTTATTTCAGATATGCAAAGCTGGTTCAACACTGGAAAACAATGCTATCTACCACATCAACAGGTAAAAAAATAAAATTTATATGACCATATCTGATATGGTTTGGATTTGTGTCCCTACTCAAATCACATGTCAAATTTGAGGAGGGGCCTGGTGGGAGGTGATTGGATCATGGGGGAAGATTTCCCCCATGCTTTTTTTGTTGTCAGAGTGAGTTCTCATGAGATCTGATGGTCTACGGGTATGTGGCACTTTCCCCTTTGCTCTCTCTCTCCCGTCACCACAGTAAGATGTGCTTTCTTCCCCTTTGCCTTCTGCTATGATTATAAGTTTCCTGAGGCCTCCCTACCATGCTTCCTGTTAAGCCTGCAGAACTGTGAGTCAATTAAACTTCTTTTCTTCATAAATTACCCAGTCTCAGGTAGTTCTTTATAGCAGTGTGAGAACAGACTAATACAGAAAATTGGTACGGGAGTGGGGCATTGCTATAAAGATACCTGAAAATGTGGAAGCGGCTTTGGAACTGGGTAAAGAGCAGAGGTTGGAACAGTTTGAAGGGCTCAGAAGAAGAAAGGAAGACGTGGGAAGGTTTGGAACTTCCTAGAGACTTGTTGAATGGTTTTGACCAAAATGCTGATAATGATATGAACAACGAAGTCCAGGTGGAGGTGGTCTCACATGGAGATGAAGAACTTGTTGGGAATTGGAGTAAAGGTCACGGTTGCTATGCTTTAGCAAAGAGACTGGTGGTATTTTGCCCCTTCCCTAGAGACCTGTGGAACTTTGAACTTGAGAGAGATGATTTAGGGTATCTGGTGGAAGAAATTTCTAAGCAGCAAAGCATTCAAGAGGTGACCTGGCTGTTTCTAAACATGTACAGTCATATGCATGAACAAAGAGATTATTTGAAACTGGAACTTACATTTAAAAGGGAAACAGCACAAAAGTTTGTAAAATTTGCAGACTGACCATGTGATAGAAAAGAAAAACCCATTTTCTGGGGAGAAATTCAAGCCTGCTGCAGAAATTTGCATATGTAAAGAGGAGCCAAATGTTAATAGCCAAGAATGGAGTCTCCAAGGCATTTCAGAGACCTTTACAGCACCCCCTCCCATCACAGGCCTGGAGGCCTAGAAGGGAAAAATGATTTAGTGGGCCAGGCCCAGGGCCTAGCTTCTCTGTGCAGCCTTGGGACATGGAACCCTGCATCCCAGCCACTCCAGCACCAGCCATGCCTAAAAGGGGCCAAGGCGCAACTCAGGCAGTGGCTTCAGAAGGTGCAAACCCCAAGCCTTGGCAGCTTCCATATGGTGTTGAGCCTGCATGTGTGCCAAAGACAAGAATTGAGGTCTGAGAACATCTGCCTCGATTTCAGAGGACGTATGGAAACACCTGGTGTGCAGGCAGAATTCTGCTGCAGGGGTGGAGCCCTCATGGAGAATCTCCACTGGGGCAGTGCAGAGGGGAAATGTGGGGTTGGAGCCCTTACACAAAGTCCCCACTGAGGCACTGCCTAGTGGAGTTGTGAGAATAGGGCCACCATCCTCCAGATCCCAGAATGATAGCTCTACCAACAGCTTGCACTGTGCACCTATAAAAACCAAAGGCCCTCAACACCAGCCCATGAAAGCAGCCACAGAGGCTGTACCCTGCACAGCTCCTCCCCAGGGGTGGAACTGCCCAAGGCTTGGAGAACCCACCCCTTACGTCAGTGTACCCTGGATGTGAGACATGGAGTCCAAGGAGATTATTTTGGAGTTTCAAGATTTAATGACTGCCCTGCTGGGTTTTGGACTTGCATAAGGCCTGTAGCCCCTTTGTTTTGGCTAATATCTCCCATTTGGAATGGGAGCATTTACCCAATGCCTGTACCCTCATTGTATCTTGGAAGTAACTAATTATTTTATTTTATTTTTACAGGCTCATAGGTGGAAAGGACTTACCTTGTCTCAGATGAGACTTTGGACTTCGGACTTTTGAGTTAATGTTGAAATGAGTTAATACTGGGGGACTGTTGAGAAGGGATAATTGTATTTTGAAATGTGAAAAGGACATGAGATTTGGGAGGGGCCAGGGGCAGAATAATAGGGTTTGGATTTGTGTCCCTGCCCAAATCTCATGTCGAATTGGAGGAGGGGCCTGATGGTGATGGGATCATGGGGTCGCCCTGGTAAGACGTGCCTGCTTCCCCTTCTCCTTCTGCCATGTTTTTAAGTTTCCTGAGGCCTCCCAGCCATGCTTTCTGTTAGGTCTGCAGAACTGTGAGTCAACGAAATCTCTTTTCTTCATAAATTACCCAGTCTAAGGTAGTTCTTTATAGCAGTGTGTGAATGAACTAATACAATATCTATTGATGCAGAAAAAGCACTAGACAAAGTCCAGTACCCATCCTTGATATAAACTTTCAGCAAATAGGAATAGAGGATAACAGCTTCAACTTGACAAGGAACATCTGCAAAAAACCTACAGCTAACATCATACTACTTCGTGGTAAGAAACTGGAAGCTTTCCCCCTAAGTTCAGGGACAAGGCAGGGAGATCTTTTCCCTCCACTCCCATTTAACATTATACTATAAGTCATAGCTAATACAATAAGACAAGAAAGGAAGTAAAAATTGTGTAGGTACAGAGGGAAGAAATAAATCTGTCTTTATTGATTGTGTTAGTTTCTTATTGCTGATGTAGCAAATTATGACAAAGTCCATGGTTTAAAATGATACATCCTTATTCTATTACATTTCTGGAGGCTAAAAGTCCAAAATTAGTCATATAGGGTGTCATGACTTGAATGTGTACCCCAAAGTTCATGTGTTGGAAACTTATTCCCCAATGCAACAATGCTGAGGTGGGAACTTTAGGAGGTGATTAGGTCATGAGGGTTCTTCCCTTATGAATGAATTAGTGCCATTATTGTGGCAGTGGGTTAGTTATTGTGGGAGTGGGTTCCTGATGAAATGATGAGTTTGGCTTCCCTCTTAGCTCTCTCACCATCTCTCACCTTTTGCCTTCTGCCATGGGTGACATAGCCAGAAGGCCCTTACCAGATACTGTCACCTTGATATTGTACTTCCAAGTCTCCAGAACTGTGAGAAATATAATTTCTTTTCTTTATAAATTACTCAGTTTGTGGTATTTTGTTATAGCAACCCAAAACAGACTAAGACATAGGACTAAAATCAAGGTGTTATTGGGGTTGGTCACTTGCAGAGTGGAGTCTGTTCCTTGCTTCTTTCTGCTTCTGGTGGCTGCTTGCATCCCCTGAAGTGTGGCCGCATCACTCCAATCACCATTTCTCTCATCACATTGCCTTCTCCTACCCATAATCAAAGCTACTTCTGCATCCCTTTTATAAGGACACTTGCAATTATATTTCAGGCACTCTGGACAATCTCAGACAATCTCCCCATCTTTTAACCACATGTGCAATATCCCTTTTGCCACGTAACATAATATTCACTGGTTCCAAATATTAGGACTTGGTTAGCTTTGGTAATTATTATTCAGTCTATTGCATACACAGATGACATGATTATTTATGTATAAAATCCTAAGAAATGGTCAAAACAAAGTCCTGGTATTGATGTGATTACAGCAAGATCACAGGATAAAAGGCCAATATTCAACAGTCATTTGTTTTCCATACACCAACTATGGACATTTGAAATTCAAAATTATACTCACAAAAACATTTACAATGGCACCAAAAATGACATTCTTAGGTAAACAGCTAACATAATATGTACAAAATCTATATGCAGGAAACTACTAAACTCTGATGACAGGAATCAAAGAATATTTAAATACATTGAGAGATTTATTTAGACAAAAGAGCCTTTGGGATCCAGGTGGGAGGTTGTGAAACCCTGGTCTGGCTTAAAACCTAGGAGGTTGAGGAAAGGGGAGGCCTGCATCTAGGTGGCAGGCTTGCTGACTGTTGGTGCAGGCAATAGGTCTGGAATCAGCCTCATCTCCTTGTGGGCTCGGCTATAAGCCTGTTTGGCCTTGATCCTGCTACCACAGTCATCTGCCAAAGGACTGGGGTGGAGTCACGGGCACTGCTCCCTCTGGTGATGGGCTCGCTGACCTCAGCCTGGGCAGTGAACTCTGAAGCAGTCCTGTAACTCAGCCATAGACCCTCTCAATTGTGTTTTGAGAGCATTCTTGCCCAAGCACAGTCTTGCCAGGAGATACAGCTATCTGTGCATTCAGAGAAGGTCTACCAATCTCAGACCCACAGAAGGTCCTGTAATAGTTTTGTAACTTGGCTCTAGGCCTTCTCATCTGTGAGCTGAGAGCAGTTTTTCCCACTCAAAGACCCCCCCAGGAGGCATGCTCAATCTTTCACACCCAGGGAGGCAGGCTTGTTTACCTTGATACCACAGTAGACTCCAAAATGGCCCTGTAACTCTTCTCCAGTCACTCTTACCTGTGCAGTCATGCCTGCCCAGGGACTTACCCAGTGACCCAGGAGGAGCTATCCCAAGGACCTAGAAGGATCCGCACCGGTATACACACCTGGTAACAACCAACTATGGACCCTGAGTAGACAGACACTTGTCCCATCACCAGCCCTACTGACCAAAGTCATGGAGGTATAATCCATGCCAGCTTGAGCACCTGGGAAGAGGCCCACTAAACATGGTCCCCACTGTGGGCCCAGCAGCAGTTGTAACTCAGCTCTGACTCCACTTGACTGCAATCTCAGAAGTAATCCCATTAGCCTAGGGACCCAACAGAAGGTCTTGACCTTCTGTCTAACAGCAGTAGCATACTTACTCTTCTCCAGAGCACATGGAACATTCTTTAAGATAGATCATATGCTGGGATATAAGACAATTCTTAGCAAATTTAAGAGTGTTGAAATCATATCAAGTATCTTTTCTGACCACAGTTGTATGAAATTAGAAATCAATAACACAAGAGATTTTGGGAAATTCACAAATATGTACAAATTAAACAGCATACTCCTGAAATCAATGGCTCAAATAAGAAATCAAAAGAGAAATTTTAAAGTATCTTGAGACAAGTAAAAATAGAAACACAACATACCAAAACGTATGGGATGCAGGAAACACAGTTTTAAGAACAAACGTTATAGCAATAAATGCCTATATTAAGAAATAAGAATAATCTCAAATATACAAGCTACTTAGCCCAAAAAAAACCAGAAAAGCAGCACAAACTCAGTCCAAAGTCAGAAAATTAAAAAATATATATTAGAATAAAAAGAAATAAAATAGAGACTAGAAACACAATAGGAAATATCAACAAAACTAAAGTCGCGTTTTTGAAAAGATAAGCAAAGTTGAGAAAACTGTAGTTAGAGTAACCAAGAACAAAAAAGATGGCTCACAATAAAGAAAACGTAACGAAAGAGGAGGCATTACCACTGATACCACAGAAATACAAAGGATCATAAGAGACCACTATGAACAACTATACACCAACAAATTGAATAACCTAGAAGAAATGAATAAATTCCTAGAAATGTACAACCTGCAAAAAGTTAATCATGAAGAAAGAGAAAATATGAACAGAACAATAATGAGAAAGGAGATTAAACCTGTAATCTAAAACCTCAAAGAAAAGAAAATCTCAGGACTAGATGGCTTCAAGGTGAATTCTATCAAATATTTGAAGAAGAATTCATGGCAATTCTCCTCAAAATCTTCCAAAAAGTTGAAGAGTGGGAAGGACTTCCAAACTAATTTTATCAGGCCAGCATTATCTTTATACCAAAGCTAACTAAGAACACTACAAGAAAAGAACATTACAGGACAAAATCACTGATGAACATAGATGCAAAACTCCTCAACAAAATGTTAGCAAACCAAATTCAACAACACATTTAAAGGATCATACACTATAATCAAGTAGGATTTATCCTGGGATGCAAGGATGTTTCATAATGTGCAAAACAATAATTGCGATATACCACATTAACAGAATAAAGGATAACAATCATATGATCACCTCCATAGATTCAATAAAAGCATTTTACAAAATTCAACATAAATTCATGATACAAACTTCACAAATTACATATGGAAGAACTGTGCCTCAATACAAGAAAGGCCGTATATGACCATCCCACAGCTAACATCATACTCAGTGATGATAGCTGAAAGCTTTTCTTTTAAACTCAGGTACAAGAAAAAGATGCCCACTCTTGCCACTTCTGTTCAACATAGTACTGGAAGTCTTAGCCACAGCAATTAAGAGAGAAAAGTAAGTAAAAGGAACCCAAATTGGAAAGAAAGACATTAAATTATCTCGGTTTGAAGATGACATGATCTTAAATATTGAAAACTCTAAAGACTCCATGAAAAAACTGTTAGAACTAATAACTAAATTCAGTAAAGTTTCAGGATACAAAATCAACATACAAAAGTCAGTGGGTTTTCTATACATCAAGAACCAACTATCCAAAAAATTAAGAAAACAGTCCCATTTACAATAGCATCAAAAACGATAAAATAGTTAGAAATGCATTTAATCATGCATGTGAAATATCTAGATATGTATGCTGAAATGTATAAAACACTGATGAAAGAAATTAAAGGAGACACACATAACTGGAAAGATAGCTCATGTTCACTAATTGAAAGAATTAACATCGCAAATAGATCCATACTACCCAAAGTGATATACAGATTTGATGTAATCCCTATCAAAAATCCAATGACATTTTTCACAGAAATAGAAGAAACAATCTTAAAATTTGTACAGAATCACAAAAGACTCTGAATAGGCAAAGCAATTTTGAGAAAGAGCAACAAAGCTGTTAAGAATTATACTTCCTGATTTCAAACTATATTGCCAAGGTACAGTAAATAAAAACAGTATGATACTAGCATAAAAACAGGCTCTTAGAACAGAATAGAGAGCCCCAAATTAAATGCCTTTGAGAAGAGTCCTAAGAATACACGATGGGTAAAGGATACTCTCTTTAATAAATGATGGGAAAACTCCATAACCACATGCAAAAGAATAAAATTGAACCATTATTTTATACCAAATGCAAAAGTTAACTTGAAATAGGATTAACAACTTATATGGGCCAGGCGCAGTGGCTCATGCCTGTAATCCCAGCATCTTGGGAGGCCGAGGCAGGTGGATAACCTGAGGTTGGGAGTTCGAGACTAGCCTGACCAACATGGTGAAACCCCATCTCTACTAAAAGAAAAAAAAAAATTAGCCAGGCGTGGTGGTGCATGCCTGTAATGCCTGTAATCCCAGCTACTCAGGAGGCTAAGGCAGGAGAATCACTTGAACCTAGGAGGCAGAGGTTGTGGTGAGCTGAGATCACACCATGGCACTCCAGCCTGGGCAACAAGAGGGAAACTTCATCTCAAAAAAAAAAAAAAGAAAACTTACATGTAAGACTTGAAACCGTGAAATTCCTAGAAGAAAAAAGAGAGAAAAAGTTTCTGTACATTGGCCTTGGCAATATTTTTTGGATATAACACCAAAAGCACATAGCATGAAAGCAAAAATAAATAAATGGGAATACATCACACTAAAAATCTTGTGCACAGCAAAGAAAACAATCAACAAAACAAAAAGCCAAGCTACAGAATGGGAGCACATATTTAAAAACTATATATCTGATAATGGGTTAATATTCAAAATACTGAATACACATACAACTCAATAGCAAATTAATAATAATAATGATGATGATGATAGTAACGTATTGAAAAATGGGCAAATGCCCTGAACAGACATTTTTTCAAAGAAGACATACAACTGTCCAACGGGTGTATGAAAAGCTGCTCAACATCATGAATCATCAGGGAAATGCAAATCAGAACCACAGTGAGACTGAGACATCACCTCACACCTGTAAGGATGGCTATTATCCAAACGACAAGAACTAACAGGTGTTGGTGCGGATGTGGAGAAAAGAGAATCCTTGTACACTGTCAGTGGGTATATAAATTGATATAGTCAATTTATATAGAAAACATTGTTAGTTCTGCAAACTATTAAAAATAGAACTACTATATAATCCAACAATCCTATACCTAGGTACATATCCAAAGAAAAGGAAAAGGATAGTGAAAGGAAATAAAATATCTTGAAGTGCTATCTACACCCTCATGTTTATTGCAGCATTATTTACAATAGGGAAGACATGGAATAACCTGTGTCCATTGACAGATGAGTGGATCAAGAAACTATTGTCTATATACACATATATATGATGTGTATATATACATATATATATGATGTATATATACACACATATATACAATGTGTATATATACATATATATGATGTATATATACACATATATATGATGTATGTATATACATATATATGATGCATGTATATACATATATATGATGCATATATACACACATATATACAATGAAATATTATCCAGCCATAATAAAAGAAGAAAATCCTGCCATTTGTGACAACATAAGTGAATCTGGAAGACATTATGCTATGTGGAATAAGCCAGATACAGAAAGGCAAATACTGTATGATCTGACATATATGAATCTAAAAAGTGCAACTCATAGAAGCAAGGAGTGGAACAGTGCATGCCAGTGTCTGAGGGGTGGGAAAAATGGGGAGATGTTGATTTAAGGGTACACACTTTCAGTTATAAGATAAATAATTGCTGAGTATCTAATATACCACATGATAATTATAGTTAATAATATTATTTACTAGAAATTTGCTAAGAAAAAGTATCTTAAGTGTTATCACAACACACACACACACAAAGGGTAACTCTGTGGTGATGGATAGGTTGATTAATTTGATGGTGGTAACCATTACACAATGAACGTGTATAGTATATGCACATCACATTGTACATCTTGAATGTATATTATTTTTATTTGTCAGTTATAGTTCAATATAGCTGAAAGAAAGAAAAAAAGTAACTCAAAATGAATCATAAACCTAAATGTAAATAGCAACACTTTGAAACTTTTAGAGGAAAATAGAGAAAATGTAGGTAACCTTGGGTTTGGCAATGAGTTTTTCAACACAACATCAAAAACATGGTGGATGAAAGAAAAATAGGTAAGTTAAACTGTATTAAAATTAAAAGCTTATGCTCTGCCAAAGACATTGCAAGATAATAAAAAAATAAGCCTCAGACTTGGAGAAAATATTTGCAAAACATATGTCTGATAAAGAACTTATATCTGAAGCTTACAAAGAACTTTTACAGTTAAACAATAAGAAAGCAAACAACTCAATTAAAATGAAGTTAAAAGATCTGAACAGAAAACTCAGCAAAGAAAATATACAAATGGCAACCTAAAATAATTTTTGAAATCATTTCCCAATTGGGAATTGCAAATTGAAACCACATACAGGTAGACATGTATTAGAGTAGATAAAATCTGCAAAAATTGCACCACCGCATGCTGGAGAGGATTCAGTATGGAGGAACTCTCTTTTGCTGCTGGTGTGAATGAAAAATGGTGCAGTCATTGGAAGATAGTTAGGCAGTTTCTTGCAAAGCTAAACATAGTCTTACTATGTGATTTAGCAATCAAGTTCCTAGTAAGAATTGATTTGAAAACTTATATTCACACCAAAAGCTGCATGAAAGTGTGTTTTAGCAGCTTCATTCATAAACTCCAAAACTGAAAGCAACCGAGGTAAACAAAGTAGAGAGCACCCACACAAGTGACTGTTACTCAGCCATAAAAAGAAATGAGCTATCAAGCCATGAAAAGACATGGTTAAATTTTAAATGCATATTACTAAGTGAAAGAAGCCAATTTGAAAAGGCTACATAGCATATGATTCCAGCTATATGAGGTTCAAAGAAATGCAAAACTATGGAGTCAGTAAAAATAGTTGTTGCCAGAGGGGATGGGAGGGGTAAATAGGTAAAGCGCAGGATTTCTATTTTTTATTTTTGTTGGTACATAGTAGGTATATATATTTATGAGGCGTATGAGATGTTTTGATACAGGCATGCAATAAATAACAATTGCATCATGGGGAATGGGGTATCCATCCCCTCAAGCATTTATCCTTTGTGTTACACACAATCCAATTATACTATTTTAGTTATTTTAAAATATACAATTGAATTATTGATTATAGTCACCCTGTTGTGCCATCGGATGCTAGGCTTTATTCATTTATTCTATTTTTTGTACCCATTAACTTTCACCACATCCCCTCCACCCCCCACCCCACTCCCCTTCCCAGCCTCTGGTAACCATCCTTCTACTCTCTATCTCCATGTGTTTTGATTTTTAGATCCCACAAATAAGTGAAAACATGTGATGCTTGTCTTTCTGAAAGCATACGTTTTTTGAGTGCTGAAACTATCCTAGTGGGCTTAAATCCCCACTCCTTAAGCACGAGGTGCTTCGTTCCAAAGAGTACGGTGTGGAAAGTGGGAAAAAAAGAGCAACTTTACGTGAAGAAGCCTGACAAAGACTCCCGGAGCCAGGTGACCAAGGTCCACATCAGCAGTGGTGGGCCATGCTGGCACCTGCCTAATCAGAGAAAGAATTCACATCAATTCCATTCGAGGGACATCTTACCAAGTATGACCATTACTCCTCAAATTTATCAGTGTCATCAAAAACAAGAAAACTCAGAGAATCTGTCACCACCAAGAGAGCCTAAGGAGCCGTGAGAGGTAAGTGCAGTGTGGAGTTATGAACAGACACCTGGAACAGAAAAAGAAGTTCTACAAAAAATAAGGAAATCTGGGCCAGGGGCTGTGGCTCACGCCTGTAATCCCAGCACTTTGGGAGGTCGAGGCGGGCAGATCATCTGAGGTTGGGAGTTCGAGACCAGCCTGACCAACCTGGAGAAACTCCGTCTCTACTAAAAATACAAAATTAGCCGGGCGTGGTGGCGCATGCCTGTAATCCCAGCTACTCAGAAGGCTGAGGCAGGAGAATCGCTTGAACCCGGGAGGCAGAGGTTGCAGTGAGCCAAGATCGTGCCATTGCACTCCAGCCTGGGCAACAAGAGCGAAACTTTGTCTCTAAATAAATAAATGGAAATCTGAATAAACTGTGGTATTTACTTAATAACAATCATATATCACTATTGATCCATTAACTTTAAGAATGTAAGATGTTAATAATAGGGGGAAAAGGTTATGCTGGCATATGCAAGATCTCTGTAGCTTCGCAATTTTTCTGTAAATTTAACACCATTCTAAACAATAAAGTATTTTTTAAAACACTGCTTTATGCTATTTCTATCTCACCTAAAACAGATCCAAAGTCAAATCACACATAAGTACATCTCATTGGCAGAGCTAAGTCATGCCTGTAATCCAGGGAGCTTAGCAAATGTAGTTTCTGGCTTTCTGGTCTCTGCAGTCCAGGGAGACACAAGGGAAGAAGATTGGAAATGAGCCAGTCCACAAAATTGCCTATCAGTTGTCATATCAAAACTCATTTAACCATTGTCTTTTAGTAGCTATTTAAGCTCTATCCAATTTTTTCTCTGTTACCAACAGTGCATCTAAGTAAATGTTTCTAGAAGGTAAATCAGAGGTCACAGGATTTGTATATTTTAATAGATATCCCCTGAAAAACCACCAATATATATTCCCATGCAAACCACTGCCAACACAGGTAGTTAATACTGGTTCATAATTTTATGAATCCATTGGGTAAAAATATTCCGTATCATTGCTGCTTCAGTTAATGTTTCTCTGATTACAAATGAGGTGACTGTTCTGACCACTTGCATCCACCCTGCGGGACTGGACAGATAAGCTCATAGCGGTTTGTTGCTTACATATGCTCAAGGCCTCGGGGAGGAGGACATTGCATTTTACACAGGGCCATAAGGGACTTGCACATGGGAACACAGAGAGCCTGCAGGGACTCTAGTGAAAAGGAGGCAGGCTTTGAACTAACAAGATGCTGAGGTGCCTCCAGGCCCCATGTGAGGATATGACTAGCTTTTTTGAATAATTTCATGAGCTGGCAGGGAAGCGAAGCCCATTAGAGTGAGGATCAGGTTAAGTGAAGCTAGTCCAGCTAATGGGGAACTGGCCAGGCAAGGAGCCTTTCCCACTGGCGGGGGTACACGTCTGGTGTGAGCATAAGGACTTAGGATTAGACCCTTGGGGCCTTGTGAGGGTCGAAGGCGTTAAGGTGGGAAATGAAATTTCAGGCCTTACGATACAGTGACCATTTTTTCATAGATTTATCGACTAATTGTATCTCTTTTTCTTTTAATTGTCTGCTTTGTTTTCTAACTAATTTTATTTATGTTATTTCTGGGAACATTTTGAAAAAAAATACTAGTTTTTAACTCTCTTTTTTTGGTTACACATATTAAAAACACTTTTGCCCAGTCTGTTGCTTTTTGCATTAAAAATGCCCTTTGACAACTTTAAATCTGATTTTGACACTGTGCTGCTTAGAGCACTTCACTGACTTTTGAAGCAAATTCTAAAAGTTTTCACCTGGCCGGGTGCCCTGCGTGAGCGGCCTCACTGGCTCTCACTTACACTCCCGCTGTCCCCACTTCTCGCCGGTTCCTTCCAGCCTCCTCTGCTTCTTCGCATCCCTGCCTCTTCCACCTCTGGGCCTCCTGCTGGAGATTCTCTTCTCTTGGTGCATTCCTGTGAGAGACTGATGGGCATTGAGGGGTGAGCAGTAGCAGTTGTAAAATTGATCAAAGATGGTCGTATACCCATTGTGGGGTTTATCACATTTCTTGTATTGTTCTTCACTGAGTTTCCAACAGCCATTTTATTGATTAATGCTAAAATGGAAACATATATCTATGGTTCAAAATTTAAAATATTTAAGAATCTGTAGTAAAAACAAAAACAAAAACACAGTGTTCTTCCCCCAGGGCTGGCGGCGGGGACAGTGAGAGGGTTAGAAGCGCCTGCTGAGAGCCGAGCTGTCCTTGTCTATCTTGCCCTCTCCTGGCCATTGTTTTGCTAAAAGCATTTTTAAGTTCCCTGGTTCTCTTTAATACGTAGTTTATGAGATTTTCCCAGGTCTATTTGTCAAGACCTCATGATATCATCTGTCTTGTTTTTCCTTTGTTGTCGCTTCATATGGATTTTTTATTTCTGCAGTGTTCTTCCTCCTTTCCATGTCCTAATGGACTCTGACAGCTCTGTTCACATCCTCTCCCACTGTCACACGGCCTCTTACTTGAATATCCTGACTCTTCCGTGACAGTTCTCGTTTCAGGTGCAGAAAATGCTGCCTGCTGCATAGAATCTTTGTGCAGAATGAAGCACTGTTGGTGAGAATCCCTCTCTGTGTCCTTGAAAACTGTCTTTCGTGATATCTGCCCCGATGTGCCTCTGTCTTTCCTTTTTTCCCTCCATCAGGTATTTGATGGATGCTGCCAATTGATTGTTTGATGGCAGTTGTTCTCCATGGGCCCAGGCCGTTCTTCTCAATATGACTCATCTTGGAGAAGGGACAGTCAGTAGCCCCATTGGCTGAGCTAGTACTGCCGAGGGGTGGGATGGGAGTGTGGCGGGATGCGGGATAGGGAAAGCCTATCTACGGCTTTCACGTGGGTGTGTTCTTGAGTGCCCTCCAACAAACCTGCTCTTTCTTCGCCCTGGGGACACTCCTTCACCTTCCCCAGACTTAGACTCTTAAGCCCTTCCAGCTTCTCCACTTTCCCGCTGTGTGCCTCTGGCCCTCTTCCATCAGGGAAAGCAGCTGGGGCCGGAACATACAAGTGAACACGGAACCTGCCCTTTTAAGAGCACGTGTATCCTGGCCCAAGGTCTCAGGTGGCAGAGATCAACTTTTTATTGGCTCTCGAGCTCCAGTCAAGATGTTTTGAGAATGTAGCCATTTTCTTGTTATATATAAATTGGATTTTTTGCCCTCTATTTTTTATTGTTGATTTGTGTGCATATACATGAGTGTATAAATATGTGTGTATATACACATATGTGTATACATTCATATACATATACACAAACAAATCAACAACAAAAAATATATATGCACATGTGTGCATATATATACATTTTTTATATATATATATACACACACATACCTAGTAATACATATATATTTGTGGGTTTTGAGAGATGAGATTAAGGAAAATCATCTTTTTTTTTTTTTTTTTTTTTTTTTTTGAGACAGAGTCTCGCTGTCGCCCAGGCTGGAGTGCAGTGGCGCAATCTCGGCTCACTGCAGTCTCCGCCCCCTGGGGTTCACGCCATTCTCCTGCCTCAGCCTCCCAAGTAGCTGGGACTACAGGCGCCTGCCACCTCGCCCGGCTAATTTTTTGTATTTTTAGTAGAGACGGGGTTTCACCGTGTTAGCCAGGATGGTCTCGATCTCCTGACCTCGTGATCCGCCCGCCTCGGCCTCCCAAAGTGCTGGGATTACAGGCGTGAGCCACCGCGCCCGGCCGGAAAATCATCTTTAAACAGAAATCAATTTATACTTTTTCTGAGTAAATTTCTATCCTCATCTTTGAATTTCCCTTACATAATAATGTAGCTGACATAAGATTAAAATGAATCAAAACCACTAAAGTAGTTTTACATACTTTCAAAAAGAGGATGTAGAGCTTTAATATCATCATTTTTTGGAAGAACCTAGGGTCCTTAGCTCAGCATTTATTATCTGTTAGGAACCTGATGAAACCCACTGAGACCTTTCAAATTGGTTCTTCCCCATGTTTTTCTGAGGCTATCTAAATGGGCAAGGAGATAATACAGATAGAAGGAAGTTGCTGTATTGGGAAGGAAACAGGAATTGGAGGCCAGGAAAGGAGCTTAGCTACAGCAGAGACAAGAGGATGATCAAATTCGGTGTTTTTCTATGACCAAGTTAAGAATTGCATTGATGATCTGCAACACTTTTTTTTTCTTTTTCTGTTTTAACACAACAATGTGGACGGAGAATCTTTTCTGTCATGATTATAATCGTTAATATAATTGCTGTGACTATTCAACCTTCAGAAAGCTGGTTTCCATCCAGCCCTGGCTCTGGGGCTCACAGGCTCTGTTGCCACATAAGGAAGCAGCACTGGGCAAGTTCCTGGACCACTTGCACCAGCACCATAGGGAGCATGAATCCACTGGTGATTTGTGGTTGTTCATTTATTTCGTATAATGAGAACAAACTCCCTGCCACATTTAAATAAAAGCCTAATTACATCTCCATTGCTACAGATGCTATTACTACCTTTCTGACTGGCTATAAAAGTTAATGAGTTTTTTATTGCTTTGCAGAGTTTCAAAATAAAATGCAAAGTTTAGAGATAGATGCTATATAAGGTGAGGTCCACTCTGCTTTGCTCTTTTTGAGGGAACCTAGAACCTTAATTTAATGCTTTTCATTTTAGAATATGGCCTGCTTTGCATTATTTCCCATTTTTTTGGACATAAGTATGGCACAGGGATTAAATATAACTAAGCACCATTGAAGAAAATTGCATCAAATCAGCTGAAGATAAGTGAAGAATGTTTTTATGAGCTACACGTTTTTGAAAGAGATACACAAGGCTGACAACCTAATAAAAGTTTAATAATGTGTGCTCACCCATTTGCTGTGCTTTCAAGGTCCTCTGCAACACTGATGTGCTTGGGAACTTCCAGGATGGATTTCCAACTGTTAGTCACCAACTAGCAGAGGTTAGTTGTATTGTGCTGCCAGTCTCATATATGTAAACCTGAATTTGTTTTTATTCCTTCCTGCATTGCTTGATTTTTAAAAATTCAGTTACTCTAGGAAAAGAAAAGCCAAAATAAGCCAGAAATTTATATTTTTTATTCATATTTCAAGAATCATTCTAAAAGCAAGTGATAAAGTTAACTAATTTCTCTCTGCATTTAGTACAGTTACTTTATCTTCCCAAAGAGGAAACCAAGGCCTGGAATCAATGCCATGTAGGCACGTGCAGGTCTGTGTGCTACACTGTGGTGGCACCGCACAGGGCACCTGGAAGCATGGATTTGAGCCTGGTCTGCACAGAAGCCTGCTTTTCAAGAGTTAAACGAGGCAAAATAACTTGGCACAATGCATTTCACATGCAGTGCTTACTGAATACCCTCCATGAAAAAGCTGGCACTATGCCAGGGATGGAAGTTCAGGGGCAAAGACATTGTCCCATCTTCCAGGGACTCTCCCTCCACAGCTGGGGCTTAGGAATCATAATGCAACCAGCAAGTCAACTTCCAGGATTAAGGTTAGAAGAGACACCTAAGTTGAGGAACCACCTGGAGGTCTTCCTGGAGGCTAAGGAGTTGGCTAAGGTTGTAGGCTGAGCTAGTAGTGGTGGGCAGGTGAGTATGGAGGAGCCGAGGCTGCAGGCTGGTGAGCCCCGTTAGCAGAGGCTGCAGGGCCAGCACTGCTGACTATGGATCTGGTGCCAGACCTTGTCTGGGTGGCAGCTGGACCAATGGGCAGGGAGCAGGTGGGGCATGCATTCTTCGGGCTTCAATCATGTGCCTCAGGGAATGGGGAGACATGGAGGATTTCAAGTGGAGGAATAGTGTATTAGATTTCCTTTTCATAACAGTCACCCTAACTGCCATTTGTACAAGTGTTGATATGTTTCAAAACTAAATGCTGGATACCTATGAGGAGTAAGCCAGACCAGACTTTACAAACTTCAAGACTCAGGAGAGGCAGGAAGAGAAAGTGGTAGTTGATAAGGAACAAACTGGAGATGAGAAATAGGAGTGTGTAGGTCACCCCTCTGCCCCGTTTTTGTCAGGGACAGTGCACCTATCAAGTACCAACCACATTCTGGATCCAACACCCTTTCATTTTGCAATCAGGGATGGGTCAGAGTGTGTTTCCTTGGTCATCTCCATGTTTACCTCCCCACCACCACCTGTGCTTAGACTCAACTGTGCAGAACTGGTAGAAAGATGAACTTATCCTCAGTGAGAAATCCCGGAGCTCACACCTTAAAGCTGCACTCTTGCCAACCCCACACCTACCACCAGAACCTGGAGACCTTCCTTCAAGTGCAACAGTGATTTATTACTCAAATGTTTACTGAAGATGCACAAGACAGGTTCTAAACGATGCTCCTGCTTCGAGGCTATTCTTCCCAATAAAAATGCAGGGTTTTCTCTTGACCTTCCTGAGTGATTGGATCAAAAGACATTTTATATCATTGCCAGAAAATCTGGATTCAAAAACTGTTGAGTGTGTGGGTTGGGGTCAGTGCCTTTCCTTTCTTTTTTAAAAATTATTTTTAAGTTGTGAATACACATAAACACTCATCATCTTAGTCATTTCTAAGTATATAGTCCAGTGGCATTAAATGCATTCACCTTTTTGTGCAACTATCACCACCAACCATCTATAAAACTTTCATCTTCTTAAAATGAAATTTTGTACCTATTAAATGCAAACATGCTATCCCCAACTCCTTATCCCCTGGCAACCACCATTCTATTTTCTGTCTCCATGAGACTGAGCACTCCAGACACCTCATGTAAGTGGAATCACACAGTGTCTGTTCTTTTGTGCCTGGCTTATTTCACTCAGCATAATGTCCTCGAGGTTCATCCATGTTCTGGCGTATAGAAGATGTCCTTCCTTTCCGAGGTTGGGTAATGTTTCATTATACACATGGACCACATTTTGCTTATCCATTCATCCACACAAGGACACCTGGGTGACTTCACTTTTTGGCTATTGTGAATAACGCCACTATGAACATGGAGTCCCCTGTATTTCTAATCATAGGTATTGGTCTTCGGTTTGGGGACTCATGAAATTCCACTCCTACTTCTCTGTTCTTCTACTGCTCCTCCACATCTTTGTTCTTACCGTGAGTGGTATTTTGTTTCTAATAAATGAAAAAGTATGATAGATATGATACTTCATTTAATGAAATGATCAACACAAACCTCGGGCAAATCACTTAATTTCTTCACAATGTGGCCTTCTCATCTGTAAAACAGTAATGTCATTCTTTACCTCTTTGGCTTATGAGGAAGATAAAATGAGACCATGTCTGTAAAGAGCTTAGCACTTAGACTGTCACGTAGCATCTGCCCAGCAAGTTGAGGTTGGTACTTGGTTCCCCACAGTGGGGAGCAGGGATTGAGGCAGAACTCATTCATGTGGGCATAGGGAACAGATAGAGCCACAAGCTCAGAGCCAGAGGGACTGTGAGGGCAGGTGCACCCTTAAAGATCTTTAGGAGAAAAGATTTCCAGCCTTTGTCACTGGGCACTGGAGTTCCCTGATAAATTCAATTGGCAACCAGTAGGGTTTTCAGGGTAGTAGTGCAAGACAGAACCCCCCAAGCCTGGTAAACAAGGGCTCACAATTCTTCAGCTCCTCTGGCCCTGTTACCCTTCCTGGGATGGTTTGAGTAACACAGCCCCAGAAGGGGAATCCACCCTGTGATGGGCTGAATTGCATCCCCCTCACTTTCATGTTAAATCCTAATCCCTAATACCTCAGAGCATGATCTCATCTGGAGGCAGGATTTCAAGTGAGGTCATTAGGATGGACCCTAACCCAATGACTGGTGTCCTTATAAAAAGGGAAATTAATAAGGTCATTAGGGTGGGCCTTAATCCAATATGACCTGGTGTCCTTATAAAAAGGGGAAATTTGGACACAGAGATGCACATACATACAGGGAAGATGATCTGAAGAGACAGAGGGAGAAGGCAGCTGTACTAGTCTGTTTTGTGTTGCTATAAAGGAATACCTGAGACTAGGTAATTTACAAATAAAAGAGGTTTATTTTGGCTCATTGTTCTGCACACTGTACAAGAAACATAGTGCTGGCATCTGCCTCTGGTGAGCCCTCAGGAAGCTTTTACTCATGGTGGAAGGTGAAGGGGGAGCAGGCATGTCACATGGTGAGTGAAAGAGTAAGAGAGAGAGGGAGGAGGCACCAGGCTCCTTTAAACAACCAGCTCCTGCATGAACTCACAGAGAAAGAACTCACTCATCACCACAGGGAGGGCACCAAGCCATTCCATGAGGGATCTGCCCCCATGACCCAAACACCTCCCTCCAGGCCCCACCTCCAACATTGGGGATCACATTTCAACATGGGATTTGGAGGGAAAAAATAACAAAACTATAGCTCAGCCATCTACAAGCCAAGGAGAGAGGCCAGGAACAGATCTTTCCCTCACAGCCCTCAGAAGAACCAACCCTGCCACCACCTTGATTTTGGACTTCCTGCTTCCAGAACTGTGAGACCATACATTTCTGTTGGTCAAGCCACACTCACTATACAGTATTTTGTTATGACAGCCCCAGGAAACTAATGCACACCTCTACAACCCTTTCAGGGACAATGGAAGATGCTGGTGAGAGCCCCTCCAAGCCAGTGGAACCCAAGGAAGCAGAGTGACTGACAAAACAAACTTCTGGCCTTCAAGGACAATTATAAAGTCTGTATAAGCTTCTAAAGTGTGGCTACATTGCATATTAGTAAATATCCTTTTTTTGGCCAAAGTATTTTATTTTACTATTATACTATATGTAATTTGCAAATCGTTTCACAAGAAATTTTTAAAGCAAAGTTATAAAAATGTATATAAAAAAGTACAGAGTTGACAGGAAAATTACTTTTTTTAATAGTTCAAATAAAATCTTTTTGTTTTTCTTATGCTGGCTGAAAATTGTATAATCTATTCTTCCATAGATAGTTGCAATATTACATTTTAATGAGCAGTCTCATAGTTAATTCATTTATTAAAAACAGGTTCACCCTTTGGATGATGAGAATCAATTGCTCGATTTTAAAGAGAACGATAATAAAATTTGTCATATACGACATGAAGTCATAAATAGCTCTTCAAAATTCAGATGTGTTCAGCCTTGTTTCTCTATTAAATTCTTCACAGTTCTAAGTTAAGGAAGTGTCTTTTACTTTAGCCCGACTTCAGAGCTAAAGTCTGGTTTAACTTCAGAGATCCAGAAGTTGTGGCTGTGAGACATTTTATGGCAGCAGCTGGTCTGATGACAGTGGCTGCTCCCTGGCTATGCTTTTCAACCCCCATAATCACAGAGAGGCATTTTGCTTAAATCTTCAGGTTTTTGCTGTAGCATTGTCATAAAATATTCTCTAGCTTTGTCCACATGCAGCCCATGGAGGTCTGAGACATTTGGTGACAACAGGGAGGCGTGATGAGCTTTGCACGTCTACTTATGGGGACTGACCTGGTGGGCATGCCCTCCACTTCTGTAGGTGCATGAGGGCATCTCCTCTGCAACCATCCAATGCCTAGAAATGGTCCACTTTTTTTTTTTTTTTTTAAGACAGAGTCTTGCTCTGTTGCCAAGGCTAGAGGGCAGTGGCGCAATCTTGGCTCACTGCAACCTCTGTCCCTAGGTTCAGGCGATTCTCCTGCCTCAGCCTCCTAAGTAGCTGGGACTACAGGTGCCCACCACCACGCCCCACTAATTTTTGTATTTTTAGTGGAGACAGGGTTTCACTATGTTGGCCAGGCTAATCGCAAACTCCTGACCTCAGGTGATCCGCCTGCTTCGGCCTCCCAAAGTGCTGGGATTACAGGCATGAGCCACCACGACCGGGCCCACTTCGTATGTCTTGAGTCTCTTTCTTTGCCTTTTCTCTTTAGCCTTCCATTCAGCAGAAGTGACATTTGCATTTTCATGAAAAACTCCTGTGCTATAACTTTTTGTAAACGATTCCTTTCAAGAACACAGTTTTAAAATTGCACTGTATGTTCTAAGAAATAACTGTGGTCCTTGAAAGTGTACACCTCCAAATTTTGGTTAATGGCGAGGAGTAACTTGGAGAGCTGCTGCTTCTTCAGTCTGATGACACATTCTATTACAAAGATAAGTGACTTCCTTCTTAAGTCGTGATTTTTCCTGTAAGGCAATTTCTTCTGTTAGCTATTTCTGTGAGTGACACTTTTTTTTTTTTTTTTGAGGCGGAGTCTCACTCTATCGCTCAGGCTGGAGTGGTGTGGTGCGATCTCGGCTCACTGCAAGCTCCGCCTCCCGCGTTCACACCATTCTCCTGCCTCAGCCTCCCGAGTAGCTGGGACTACAGGCGCCCGCCACCATGCCCAGCTACTTTTTTGTATTTTTAGTAGAGACGGGGTTTCACCGTGTTAGCCAGGATGGTCTCGATCTCCTGACCTCGTGATCCGCCCGCCTCAGCCTCCCAAAGTGCTGGGATTACAGGCGTGAGCCACCGCGCCCGGCGTGAGTGACACTTTTAAAAACTTGACTATTCCGATGATCCAATTAGACAGAGTAACACTTCGGGTGCTGCTAAAGTCTGCAGTAATTTCTTGTTCTCTGAGATGAATTTTGTTCAGTATGATCAAGTCCAACATGCCCAACCAGGGGAGGGCCTCCCGTAAGCTTGCCATAGGACACAGCTTGTTTTTGTTACTTCTAAACACATGTGCAGGACAAGAGATTGGCAAAGGACGGGTATATTAGTAAATATATTTATATTATTTTTTCTAGAAATCATTTCGCCTTTTAGAATTGTGACAAAATCATTCTTATTAAATGTAAGTCAACAAATAAAGCTGGATAAATAAAATTGTAAAGTGTGACTCCACTCACCATGGTGGAGCTCCAGGACACCTATGCGATCCCTCCACTTAAGAGAATTCGGCTGCTGCTTTAAAAAATAAAAACTGTTTTTAAAACTGAATCAATCAGCATTGCATTATTTAACTGAGAGAGTAAAAATCTCACGGTTTCGAGGTTTTTCCCCTCAGAAACAATCATTCACATTAAGTTTCATCACTAATGGTATAATTTGCCTAATCTGATATTAATCTAAAAACTTAGAGGAAAACAAAATCAGCAACGTGTTAACTGGTGAAAGTTCTCTCTCAAAATCAAAATTCAATAGAATTATTTCATGTAACATGGTTTATTTTGTTATAGAAAGTAAAGGTGACAAAAGTAAAGGTGACAAAATGAGCACAAAGGGAGTTCTTCATAAAAAGAAACCTGCCAAGAATTCTTGCAATTTCTCATAAGTCACTTTTGTCAGGTTCAAATCTACATGAACTAGACTATCCTCAACTGTTAGAGACCCTAAAATCCATTCCAACATGGCCAAATATCATGTGTTTCTTAATGATAGGAATATGTTCTGAAAAATGCATTGTTAGGTAATTTCATCACTGTGCGAACATCACTAAGTACACTTACACAAACCTAGATGGCATAACCTACTACACGCCTGGGCTCTGTGGTACAGCCTACTGCTCCTGGGCTACAAACCTGCACAGCATGTAACTGTACTGAATACTGTAGGCAACTGTAACACAACGGTAAGTATGTTTGTATCTAAACATGTCTAAACATACAAAGAGTGCAGTAAAAAATACAGTATAAAAGACACACATGGTACACCTGTTTAGGGCAGGTACCACTAATGGAGCTTGCAGGACTGGAGGTGGCGTTGGGTGAGTCAGTGAGTGAGTGGTGAGTGAATGTGAAGGCTAGGACATTACGGTACACTACCGTAGACTTTATAAATACTGTGCACTTAGGCAACACTAAATTTATAAGAAAATATATTTTTCCTCAGTAATAAATTAACCTTGGCTTATTGTAACTTTTTTACCCTATGAGCGTTTTAGTATTTTTTTGTTTTTGTTTTTTACTTTTTGACTACTGTGTAATAATACTTAGTTTAAAACACAGATTGTCCAGCTATAAAAAAAATTCTTTCTTTATATTCTTATCCTATAAGCTTTTTTAATTTAATTTTTACTCTTTCGACTTTTTAAACTTTTTTGTTAAAAATTAAAACATGAGCCCACACATTAGCCGAGGCCTACCCAGGGTCAGGAGCATCAGTGTCACTGTCTTCCACCTCCACAACTTGTCCCACTGGAAGGTCTTCAGGGGCAGTAACACGCATGGAGCTGTCACTTCCTAAGATAACAGTGCCTTCTTCTGGAATAACTCCTGACAACCTGCCTGAGGCTGTTTTACAGTTAACCTTTTTTATAAGTAGAAACATACATTCTAAAATAACAATAAAACCTATGGTATAGTAAATACATAAACCAGCAACATAGTTATTGCCATTATCAAGCATTAATACTGTACATAATTCTACGTGCTACCGTTTTATAAGACTGGTAGTGCAATAGGTTTATTTTCACAGCATCACCGCAAACATGGGAGGAAAACACTGCACTATGTTACGATGGCTACAACTTCAAGAGGCTATAGGAATTTTTCAGCTCTGTTATAATCCATGGGATCACTGTCGTATACGCGGTTTGTCACTGACTGAAACATTATTACACAGTGTCTGACTGTAATTCATTGATCTGGAAAGCCAGTTCAGCAGGTGTTGGCACCTCCAGACAGTGGATGGTAAGAGATTTGATCATCCCTGGCATGGCAGTCAACATATCAGCCTAATAATTGTCACTGACTCTGGCTGACAAAGTACCGCATGATATTAGAATTTTCTCCATTTCCTGTTCATCGTCATTCATAAATTCTTCTGTGTTTATCTAAAATTTCACATAATCTGGCCCGGCGCAGTGGCTCATACCTGTAATCCCAGCACTTTGGGAGGCCGAGGCATACGAATCACCTGAGGTCAGGAGTTCGAGACCAGCCTGCCCAACATGGTGAAACCCTGTCTCTACTAAAAATATAAAAATTAGCCGGGCTTGGTGGTGCATGCCTGTAGTCCCAGCTACTTGGGAGGCTGAGGAAGGAGAATCGCTTGAACCCAGAAGGCAGAGGTTGCAGTGAGGTGTGATCGTGCTACTGCACTCCAGCCTGGGCAACAGAGACTCAGTCTCAAATAACATAAAATAAATAAAATAAATAAAATAAAATAAAATAAAATAAAATAATTTAAACAATAAAATAAAATAAAATAATTTAAACAATAAAATAAAATAATTTAAACAATAAAATAAAATAAAATAATTTAAACAATAAAATAAAATTTCACATAATCCTTTGGAAATCTTTCATTTTTTTCTTTCTTTTTTTATTATACTTTAAATTTTAGGGTACATGTGCACAATGTGCAGGTTAGTTACATATGTATACATGTGCCATGCTGGTGTGCTGCACCCATTAACTCGTCATTTAGCATTAGGTATATCAACACAATTAATTTCCTCATTTAATTCAAGATGTGAAGAGCTCAACACAGAGTTCAAAATATCACACAGATTCAAAGAAGAATGTATACTGTGTCCAATGTCTGGAGCTACTGGGTTCTTCTCCATTCCATTCATGTCTTTAGGGGTTGTAGCGTTTAGATACCTAGAAAAGACTACTTGATGCTATGTAAGCCTAAAAGTTCTGCCTAACTATTAGGGAGCAGTTCGTTAGTATTCTTTGGGTCTACAACAGCATCAGGAAATACACTTGCTATTAATTCAGTTTTTTTGTTGTTGTTTTTATTTGTTTGTTTGTTTGAGGCAGAGTCTCCCTCTGTCCCCCAGGCTGGAGTGCAACGGCCCGATCTCGGCTCACTGCAAGCTCCACCTCCTGGGTTCATGCCATTCTCCAGCCTTAGCCTCCCGAGTAGCTGGGACTACAGGCGCCCGCCACCACGCCTGGCTAATTTTTTGTACTTTTAGTAGAAACGGGGTTTCACCGTGTTAGCCAGGATGGTCTCGATCTCCTGACCTTGTGATCTGCCCGCCTCAGCCTCCCAAAGTGCTGGGATTACAGGCGTGAGCCACCGCGCCCAGCCTATTAATTCAGTTTTTTCAGAAGTTACAGCTTTTATTTCTGCTTGTTCTGAGCTTTCCCTTTCTGCATCTTTGGTAGGCTCTGCACACATTATTGTTACTCATTCAAAACTGAATGTGAAGTTAAGGGATGTAAAGTGAATACAGGAAAAATTTCCTAAATTTTTATTATTCAAATTTGCATTTTGTGTAGAAATACATATAATACTTATAAACTCACTTGAGTCACAAAGTATTAACATCTCGTTAAGGCAAAATGAATCTATTTGGTCCTCGGGAAGAAAGTTCAATTTCTTTTCTTTCTTTTTTTTTTTTTTTTTTTTTTTTTTTTGAGACGGAGTCCCGCTCTTTCACCCAGGCCGGAGTGCAGTGGCGCCATCTCGGCTCACTGCAAGCTCCGCCTCCCGGGTTCACGCCATTCTCCTGCCTCAGCCTCCCAAGTAGCTGGGACTACAGGCGCCTGCCACCACGCCCGGCTAATTTGTTGTATTTTTCAGTAGAGACGGGGTTTCACCGTGTTCGCCAGGATGGTCTCGATCTCCTGACCTCGTGATCTGCCCGCCTCGGCCTCCCAAAGTGCTGGGATTACAGGCGTGAGCCACGGCGCCCGGCCAGGAAGTTCAATTTCTTAAAAGCATTCTCGGTTAAGGAATCCAAATCTTCGATTCGCTACATGTCCAAAAGTGAATCCATGTTTGAAGCTTCACTCCCTTCTTAAGAAAGCCACTTTTCCATGATCTCACTTCCTGATGCACTCTCCTGACTCTCAGAACCAATTCATCTGCCCGAGAAGATTCTTATTTCAGATAATCTTAATAGACAATCTATTGCATTTCAACTGAGAGGATTGCTGTGCGGACTAAACGAGATAATCCCTAAAAGCCTGCTGTGTAAGAAGACTGGCACTTAGTAAGCACCCAACTACGTTCCCTTTGAAGTCACATTCGGAGCGCATCCAGTACACAACATCCAGTCCAGGTAGAAAACGTCTCTGAGACACTGGGGAAAAGCTCTTTCTGATCTATTTTTGTCTCTTCCATACTTTTTCTTTCAGAAGGAAGATACTGTCAATATGACATTTCACCACTAAAAAATGTCCATTATATATCTCCTTAAAATGGAAATATCCTGCTATAAAATGACACCCCCATAATCAAAGCGAAGAAAATTAAACTAATCCCCACTATCATCTCGTACACAGTCCATATTCAAATTTCTCCAAGTGCTTCAAAAATGACTTTTATAATTTTATTAAAACAAGAATACAGTCTACATTCGCATATTACATTTTGTTATTGCGTCTCTTCAATAAAGAAAGCCCTCTCCTTTTTTCTTTTGTCGTGGTATTGATTTATTGAGGGAACTGAGCTTGTGGAATATTTTGTATTCTGGATTCATGGTTGAATCTTCTATTTTCCATATTTCATACAACTGAGAAACTAGATTTAAAAGCTTGTTTAGATTTGTACTAAATATTTTTGGCAAGAATACGGCTTCTGTGTATTTCATACCACCTTGCACCAAGAGGCACATAATATTAGGAAGTTTCTGTTAGTGATGTTAAGTGTATTGCATAGCTAAATGTGTAACGGTGCTCCGTTATCTAAGGTATGTTTACCCTTTCCAGTCCGCAAGCACTCCATGGGGTGATGTTATGAGACTGCAGGAATATCGTGTTCCTTATTACCCTGCCTTTACTGCTTTTCAGCATCTCTTGATGATCCTTATCTGAATCCCTTATTTTACTAGTTTACACTATGGTGATTTTTCTATTTTGTTCATTCCTTCTACATTTATTTACTGATTTTCCTCTTTCCCCCCTCATAATGACTACTGAAATGCTTCTATTAAAATATCAATTATCAAAATATTTCAACCCCACACTTCTCCACCAAGGCTGGCTTTGCTGTACCTTAAGCCTGAGTTTATGGGGGTAATCCAGCCCCTTGAGCAGGGCTCCTTCACCTGAGACCCCAGCTAGGCTGCTCAGTTCAGGTTCTGGAGACAACTTCTGAGTCATCTCCAAATTTTAGTGGTAGACTAAGCACCAGTATATGAGGTATTTATACATTTTTTACTCTTTATTTTACGATAATTATAGATTCACATGCAGTTCTAAGAAATAATCACATCCCATAAACTCTTCCCCCAATTTCACTCAGTGGTAACATATTGCATGACAAGAGTACAGTATCAAAAGTGGGACACTGGCATTGATGCAATCCATTGCCTCTATTCAAATTTCACCTGCTTTACATGCACTCATTTGTCTGTGTGTGGATATTTATTTCTATGAAATTTTACCTTACTTATAGATTTGTGTGACCACCGCCACAGTCAAGATACAAACAGACCCATCAACAATTCTTTACTAACCTTCATAGTCACAGCCTCTCCCTGTATCTTGAGCCCTTGGCAATCATTAATCTGTCTTCCAACTCTATAATTTTGTCATTTCGAGAGTGCTATATTAATGGAATCATATCACATGTAACTTCTTACGATTGGCTTTATTTTTCTTTTTTTTGGTGGGCACAAATTCCTGGAGTTCACCAAAGTTGTTAAGCATATTAATAGTTTGTTCCTTTTTATTTCTGAGTGTTCCATATGCATGTACCACAGTTGTACCATTTGCCCACTGAGGGACATTTGAGCTGTTTCCAGTTTTCAATTATTATAAACAAAACTGCTGTGAATATTCACATACTGGTTTTTTGTGAACATAAGTTTTCATTTCTCTGGGATAAATGCCCAAGAGTGTAATTCCTGGGTTGTATAATAAGTATACTGTAAGTGTTTTGTAAGAAGTGTTTCTGCTGAACCTTTCCCAGAGAGGCTGTACATACTATTGTCCCATTTTATATTTCCACCAAAAATCTATGAGTTATCCAGTTATGTGGCATTTCTGCCAGGATTTGGTGTCATCACTGTTAGTTTGCCTGTTTGTTTTAGCCATTTTGACAGGTGTATAGTGATATTTCACTGGGATTTTAATGTGCATTTCTCTAACGGCTAATGATATTGCATGTCTTTTCATATGTTCATCATCTGTCTGTCCTACTTAGTGAAATATATTTTGCTAATTTCTCATTGGATTGATTTTTAACTGTTGAGTGTTAAGTGTTCTATATACATTATAGATACAAGTCATTGTTTAGATACGTGGTTTATAAATATTTTCTCCCAGGTTTTTATTCTTTTCACATAGGCTTTCACAGAGCAAAAGTTTTGGTGAAGTCCTATTATCAATTTTTTCTTCCCCTTTCTAGATCATGATTTCTGTGCCAAGTCTAAGAAGTTTTTGCCTAGCCATATATCGTGGAAGATTTTCATTTGTCTTTTTAAAAAGGTTTTCTAATTTATGTTTTGCATTTGTGTGTGTGATGCACTTTGAGTTAGTCTTTTGTGTAGGCTGTGATGTTTAGGACAATGTTCGTTTTTTGGCTTATGAATGCCAAATTGTTCCAGCGTCACTTGTTAAAAAGACGATCCTTCCTCCATTAAATTGCTTTATCATCTCTGTTGAAATGAATTCCTTTATTAGTCAGTTGGGCTTATTTGTGTGGGTTTATTTTTGGGTTCTTTATCCTGTTCCATCTATCTGTGTATCTATTATTTGCTAATAAACATTGTCTTGATTATTGTAGCTACATAATATCCCTTATTGTGTATCTAATAAAATATGCATACAATTGACCCTTGAACAACATGGGTTTGAACTGTGCAAATCTATTTATATGTGGATTTTCTTCTGCCACCCCGAGACAGCAAGACCAAACCCTTCCCTTCCTCTTCCTCCTCAGCTCACTCAACATGGAGACAATGAGAATGAAGGCCTTTATGATGACTCACTTCCACTTAATGAATAGTAAATATATTTTATCTTCCTTACGATTTTCCTAATAACATTTTCTTTTCTCTAGCTTATTTTATTGTAAGAATACAGTACATAATACATATAACATACAAAGATTTTTTCACTCACCTGTTTGTGTGATCAGTAGGTCTTCCACTCAACAGGGTATTAGTAGTTAAGCTTTGGGGAGTCAAAAGTCATATGTGGATTTTTGACTGCACAAAAATCCACATATATGTCGGGGAGGGGAGCTCCTGATGCTCACATTGTTCAAGCGTCAACTTCATGTACAGTTATCCCTCGATATCAATGGGGCAGAGTTCCAGAACCTCCCACTGACAATCAGAATCCCCAGGTGTTCAAGTCTCTGATATAAAATGGCATAGTATTAGCATATAACTTATGCGCCTCCTCCCATATACTTTAAATCATCTCTATTATTAGTTATATTGCCTAGTACCATGTAAACACTATGTAAATAATTATTATACTTATACAGTATTATTTGCAATAATGATAAAAGTCTGTATATGTTCAATACGAACTCCATTTTTTTAAAATATTTTTGATTCATGATAGGTTGGATCCACAGATGCAGAACCTATGGATACACAAGATGAAATATATTTGGTTTTTGTCCCTGGTTCCTGGCACAGAACTGCAATTTCCCAAGTGATAGGCGTGTCTTTTGAATGAGTGTTGGATTGTGTCATATTTTTCTGAGGATATCTATATGATTATATGATTTTTCTTTAGCCTATTGATATAATTATTATATTAATTGATTTTCAGATATTGAACCAGATATATATCTCTGGAATATATCCCACTTGGTCAAACGTGTAATTCTTTCTATGCATTTGGATTTGATTTGCTAATACTTTTGAGGATTTTTGCATCCAAGTTTATGGGAGATATTGGTCCATAGTTTGGGGGTTTTTTGTACTCTTTGTTTAATTTTGTATTAGGGTAATACTAACTTCATAAATGAGTTAGTGTTTCCTTCTCTTCTATTTTCTGGAAGTGATTGCATAAAATTTGTGTCAATTCTCTCCTAAATGTTTGGTGGAATTCTCTAGTAAAACCATCGGGGCCTGAACATCTCATTGCGGGAGATTTTTATTATGTATTCAATTAATTTAATGATTGTAAGACTAATCAGATTTTCTATTTCTTCTTGATTGAGTTTCATAGCTTGTGACTTTTGAGAAATTGATCCATTTCTTCTCAGTTGTTGAATTTATGAGTGTGAAGTTGTTCATAATATTCCCTTATTCTTTTAATGGCTACATGATCTGCAGTAATAACTCCTGTTTCCTTCCTCATACTGGTGACACGTCTCTCTCTTTTATATCTTTGTCAACTTGCTAGATGTTTATCATTTTTTATTTTCTTTTCAAAAAAGCTGCTTTTGATTTATTGGTTTTCTTCCATTGTTTTTATATTTTTAGTGTTATAAATTCCTGCTTTTATCTTTATTATTTCCTTTCTTTTGCTTACCTTGAATGTATTTTGCTCTCCTTTTTTCAGTTTCTTGAGGTAGGAACCCAGACTAATGATTTGATCCCTTTTTCTTTATCTAAACTTTGAGAATTGTTATTGTTTCTTCCTTGAATGTAGAAATAATCAGTGGAGCCAGGTACGTCTGAAATTTTTATTGTGTGAATATTTTAACTATGAATGCAATTTTAAAAATAGATACAGAGCTACTCAGAGCTTCGATAATTTGGATATTCCAAGAAATATGTCCACTTTATCTAAGTTACCACACTTACCGTAATGAGGTGTTTATAATACTTTAAAAATCATCTTTTTAATAGTTGTAGGATTTGTAGTGATGTCCCTTTTTAATTCCTGATAATAATGAACTAATTTTATTACTGCTTTTTAAAAAGTGGATTTTAGTTTTATTTCTGATTGTTATTCTATTTCATTGATTTCTGCTGTCATGTTTATTATTTGCAAATATTTGAAGATTTTTCAGATTTTCATGTTACTCATTTCTAATTTAATATAATTGTTGTCAGAAGAATTGTGGATGATTTCAGTCCTTTTTTATTGAGAATTTTTCTATGGTTTATGATATAGTCTATTTTGGTAAATAGTGCATGTTCACTTGAAAGGAATATGTATGATGGAGTATTCTATAAATGTCTATTAGGTCAGGATTATGGTAATGTTGCTTAAGTTGGCTATATTTTTACTGATTTTCTATCTACTTCTCACTGATTATTGTCAGTGGGATGTTGAGATCTCCAACTATAAATGTGAATTTGTTTCTTCTTGTAATTCTCAGATTTTTTTCCTTCATGTATTTTGAAGTTATGTTATTAGGAGCATAACATTTAGGGTTATTATATTGTTTTGATGAATTGCTCCTGTAATCATTATGAAAGACCCTCTTTTTTCTTGGCACCATCCCTTGTCCTGAAATATACCTTGATATTAATATAGTTTCCCATCTGTTCTTTGTTCTCCTTTCTTATATTTTTCTGCCTTCACTTGGGTCAACTGAGCACCTTTCATACTTTTAATTTATCTTCTTAGTTATTTTTTCACTCATGGCTATTTGCTCTTAGTTTATAATGTGCATCTTGACTTATGAAAGTCTGATTTCAAATAATATTACCACTTCAAATCTCGTATAAGAGCTTTACAACTGTATACTTACATTTTCCTCTCCCATTATTGCATGATTGTTGTCACATTTTACTTCTGAATTTGTTTTAAAATTAAAATACATGGTTACTTTGCTTTAATCATCTATTTTCAGAGTGATTTCAAAATATAAAAATGTCATTGTATTCACCCAAATATTAACACACACATTTCCATTTCCAGTGTTCTTCATTCATTTAGGTAGATGCACATTCCTATCTGCTTTTATGGAGAAAGTCAATTTCTGGTTTTTCTATTTTTGTTGGGTGCAGAATTCTAGGTTGCCAGATTTTCCTTCAGTACTTGAAAGATGTTTTTCCACTATCTTCTGGCTTATTGTTTCCACTATTTCACTGTTGTTTTTCTTTTTCTTTCTTTCTTTTTTTTTTTTTTTTTTTTTTTTTGAGATGGAGTTTCGCTTTTGTTGCCCAGGCTGGAGTGCAATGGCGCAATCTCAGCTCACCGCAACATCTGCCTGCCTCCCAGGTTCAAGTGATTCTCCTGCCTCAGCCTCCCAAGTAGCTGGGATTAAAGGCATGCGCCACCACACCCACCTAGTTTTGTATTTTTAGTACAGACGGGGTTTCTCCATGTTGGTCAGGCTGGTCTTGAACTCCCGACCTCAGGTGATCCGCATGCCTTGGCTTCCCAAAGGGTTGGGATTACAGGCATGAGCCACCATGTCCAGCTGATTTCTTTTTCTTTTTTCTTTTTTTAGAGATGGGGTCTTGCTCTGTCACCCAAGCTACAGTGCAGTGGTGCAATTATAGCTCACTGTAACCTTGAACTTCTGGGCTCAAGTGATCCTCCCACCTTAGCCTCCCGAGTAAGCTGGGACTGAAGGTTAATTTTTTGATGTTGGTTTTACTTTCTCTGCCCAATCTGAAAATCTCTGCCTTTTATTTGGGAACACATTCAATTAAACCCAATTAGATTTTACTTGCTAAAAAGAGTCCAAGGCACAGACACAATGGTAAACCACATAAACTCTTCAGGTTCCCTGCCAGTTCCAGACATCAGTTTTTCTTCCCCCCGAAAAAACACAGTAAAACCCTGTCTCTACCAAAAAGGAAAAAAATTATTATTTTTTTTTTTGTAAAGACAGGGTTCTGCTGTGTTGCCCACGCTGGTCCCAAATTCGTGGCCTCAAGTGATCCCCTGCCTTGGCCTCCCCAAGTGCTTGGATTACAGGTATGAGCCGCTGCACTTGGACTTCTTATTCTTATCTTCGTTTCTCTGTATGTATTGAGTTTCAGTATGTGTTAATACATTACTGTATTTAAAAAAATTTTTTAGTTTTGTTTTAGGACGCAGATAAGTTATTTAGAAACAAATCTGATCTTTTCTAGCTTTGCTTTTAATCTTTCTTACGTGGGATAGATCAAACCTTTAATCAAGGGCTATTTTTTTTTTCTGTTACTGAGCCAATATATTTCCGATTACTGTACCCAATGTGTCATGCATTTTAACAGTTTGCCTTTCTGGCTGATAGAAACAAAATATCCCTAGTTCCATGTGATCCCTGGAAATTATTATGCCTACTTCATTAGACTGTACTTTGGTCTTGGATATTTTCATACACATGCACTTATCAATACTAACCTGGAGACTCAAGTGACATCTTTGCAGATATCTGGAGTTCAATGTCTCTCTCTTCTTTCCTCTCTTCCTCTCTTCTCTTCCTCTTCCTTTTGCTCTGCCTCTTCTTCTTCCTCTCTCTCTCTCGTTGTCTCTTCCCTCGTACTCTGTCCCATGAACTCTAGCTACGTTGGTTCCCCTGAGCCAACTCTGTCCCAATTCTGTCTCCTCAACTCAAATGCTGGCTTAAGTTATCCCTCCCTGGGCTCTTTCCTTAAGCAAGTTTCCTTTAATAGCATTTTATCCACTGTAGAACTTCAATCAGAATTGAAGTCAATCCTCTCAAACCCTGCCACTTCTTTACTAACTAAATTTATGTAATATTTTAAATCCTTTGTAGTCATTTCAATGGTGTTCATGGTATCTTCACCATGAGTAGATTCCATCTTAACTAATCACTTTCTTTGGTAACTCATAAGAAGAAACTCCTCATCCATTCAAGTTTATCAAGAGATGCAGCAATTCTCCACTTCTAATTCTAGTTTTCTTGCTATTTTCACCACAACTGCAGTTACTTCTCCCACTGAAGCCTTGAACCCCTCAAAATCATCCTTAGGGTTGGAATACACTTCTTCCAATCTCCTGTTAATGTTGATATTTTGACCTCCTCCCATGAATTACACATGTTCTTTGTGGCGTCTAGAATGGTGAGTCCTTTCCAAAAGGCTTTTTATTTACTTTGCCTGGATACATCAAAGCGATCACTATCTATGGCAGCTGTAGCCTTAGAAAATGTTATCTATGTAATGTATCCATGTTCAATTCAATTAAACTCAATTAGATTTTATTTGCTAAAAAGAGTTCAAGGCACAGACACAATAATAAACCACATAAATTCTTCAGGTTCCCTATCAGTTCCAGACATCAGTTTTTCTTCCCAAAAGCGTTGTTCTGGATTGCAGGCCTAGGTCAGGTGAGAGGGTACCAGCAGAGGGATGCCTGCATGCCTGCTCCAAACCGGTGCCTCCCCAGCAGTCCTGAGTTGCATGCACTAGAGCATTTCACAGTCGCCACCTCCTTTGCCATAGCAAAACTTGGTTTTGTTTGTGCCTCAGTAGAGGCTGAGGGCCATCACTGAAGAAAATCCACAATAACAAGCAGACAGGAAACCAATATATGAAGCAAAATAATTCTTTATTTTATAATAAAATTATCTACCACAAAACTGAAAGTTTATTCTGACTTAAGGGAAGTCAAATGAGAATCCGAAAGTTTTGTGGTGCATATAGATTCACAGCAATGGGAATTAGTTAGAGGTCTTATATGTAAGTTCACTCAGTGAATGTGTATGGCCCCCAAGCACAGGCCTGGAAGGAACTTCACTGACATGTTTTCTTAAATGACCTTCAACTTGCATCTCTGATTATGTCTTCTTGTAATCCACGCTGGACTCTTTTCTTCTAAGTGACACATTACTTCTTCAGGTAGATCAATATCATCAATTAAAATGCAATTTTGTCTTGTTTTTGCACGGTCTGTTTTTTTAAGTCTAACTTTGCATACTTACCCACTTACCTACACTTTAACTAAAGTGTGTTTATTAAACTTTCCAAACTCTGGGATGCCTTGCTTTCATGCCTACTTATAATTACTTTATGTGTGCTAAAAAGTCACAAATAGCACTTTTTGCCCTATGTTCTTTTCTTCTTTGTACTCTGGAAGAAGAACCAATGACGACAATGAAAAGCAGGCAGTAGCAGAGTTGAAGAAGAGCATAGGACTTGGCAGTGCACAGCATGAATCCTCAGTCCTTGGCCAACAAACGTCATCATTTCAACAGACCAAATCTATTGTCAAGATGTGTTTTCTGTTAAGTCTCCATTGGCCCAATGAGAAACACTTAAATTGAGCTTCCCTAGACAACATTTTGCAAAGGGACTGTGATGCTAACTCTCCCTTGAAAACATTACAATTTATATATTAATAAAATCTTCTTATTTTCATGTTTTAAAACTTCAGCTTGAATTTGAGCCCATTAAGTACAACTGGCAGTAATTTCTTCGCCATGGTCATGTCCAAATGTTGTGATGAACACAGAGATAAGGCTAATTGTCATAGATTTAAATCATCTAAAACAATTGGGATTGCTTCATGTCACCGGTACTCTCTGCTCCAGGCTCAGACGTGATAACTTTATGATCAGCATCTTAAATATCTCACATCTCTCAACTCAATTCATATCTTGAGATTGGTTCCAGCTCCAGCATGAATTTTGAAGAGCTCCCTGTGGCTACAAGTCTCTGATTCTTCCCTGTCTGATAGGGGAGCTGGGTCCTGCCCACTGCTTTGTCCTGTGTTCCAGTCCTCCTGGAAAGTCCAGTCCCCCAGTCCCTTGTCATGATGGTCTGTGTCTCTTGGCCAGCTAGGGTTAGGCTCAGAGTTAAGCTAACTGTTGTAGACTCTAACCGTGGCTTGCTTATTTGCACCTGTCTTCTTTGGCTACTAAATAGTTTTTTTTTCTTTTGACCGATTGCATCTGGCTTCCCCACCTGCTCTGTGCCCCTAGTGTATTAGTTTATTAGGGCTGCCATAACAAAATACCACAGACAGAGTGGTTTAAGTGACAGAAGTTTATTTTCTCGCAATTCTAGAAGCTAGAAGTCTAAGATCGAGGTGTCAGCAGAGTTGCTTTCTCCTGAGGCCTGTCTCTTTGATGTGTAGATGGCTGCTATCTTCCTTTGTCTCTGCCTGTTCTTCCCTTTGTGCAGGACTGCATCCTAATCTCCTCTTAAGGACGGAAGTCATATTGAATTAGGACCCAGGCATATGACCTCGTTTAACCTTAATTGCCTTTTTAAACACTCTAGCTCCAAATCCAGTCACGTTCTGAATTTTGAGGCACCAAAGGGGTGGTTAGAACTTCAACATCTGAATTTGGGGGGGATGCAATTCATCTTACAACACCCAAGATGGTTCTTACATCCGTTCTCAGCCTCAGATGTCCTCAGTCCTGGTGCTGCCTATGTGGCGTGCCTGAGGGCAGAGCTCACTGCCAGCCTGGTGCTCCACAGCTGAATTTCTGACTGTCCAGCAAAGTATCCTTTGTCCAATTTGTACCCACAGGTAGGCTTTAGCTTTCAGGCCAATGTTAGATTCTTCTCCTGGCTTTAGAACAACTTGGTGGTCTCCTCCAGTTTCTAGGGACATCTCTATGCCTCTCAACTCCTGATTCCATTTGGACCCATCTCTGTATGACCTCTCACAATGCGAGCTTGGGTATCTTTCCCTTCTTATTGTGACTCACCACTAATAGCAGTACAAAATCCTGTTTCATAAAGTGGGTTCCTCAGAACATTAGTTATGTTGGATATAAATAGATTTCGTGTAGGATACCAAGAATGTTTGAGAAATGTTGCATGACAGAAAACAAAGTTTCTTTCATGCAAAACTTCCTATATGTCCACAGGTGGGAAAGTGGGAAGATAGACCTTGCGTGATTTCCAAATGTTTTTGTTTCCAAATGTTTTATTTGGGTTGGGGTGTGAACTGTGAACTTCCCAATGACCCAAAGGACTTGCCCACATGCAGTGCTGAGATCCTTGGCCACACTTCAGCCTGGCTTCTACCTGCACTAGTCATGTGCCTAAAAGTGACACAGCTCTTGTGTGAGTCTCTGCTCAAGAAAATGCAATGCTCCTGAACTGCCAGATGTAAATTGTCCCAACCCACAAGGCCAAACCATTTTCAGTAATCCTCTGCAACTCCACTCTGTAGCTTCCTACTTATAGCCCCCAGTCTCTTTTCTGGTCCCCCTTTTTTTACTTCCCATAATCTCGTTGTGTGCCCTATCAGATCTCCCTTTGAAAACCCCAGTCACCTTTGTCTTATTTGGAATTAAACTGATTCATACTGGAGCCTCTCTGCCCTACTGCAGTAGTCTGAGTGAAATCTGTCTTGCTGCCTCTAACAGTGTCCAGTGCTCTTTCTCTGACAAGGGGAGGTGCCTCACCAACCCTGAGATATCTGTTAGGAAAATGCTGCTCTGGCATTATGCTCCAAGTGAACCAATTCCAAGATATTCTGCAGAAACTATGGCCCAAAGACACTGAGAACACACAGAAATATGCTTGTGCTTTCTATAAGTTTTCCACTTTGTATTAAGTGAAAAAAATTCTATAATAAAACAAACAGTGAATTTGTGTCACATGTCAGGTATATATGAGTGAGGGCCACATGGCCTCACAGTACATTACACGAATGATGACGCCATGATAACCTGAATGATGAAAGGACTGAGCCTTCCAGGGAACATTCCCATGCTGAGGCCAGGGTCCCCCCTCTGCCACACTGGCAGGATGTGCTGCCACATCCACATTGCAGGCAAATGTCAGCTGGCTGCCCCTTGAACACACACTGACTTGGACATTCACTGACAGTCAACATAATTGTCACTGGACTGCAGAGGGAGTGTTAGGGCTCCCTATGTGGATGTCAGCTCTTACAAATAAAGCTACCCTCATGTTTGTATGGGGGCAGCAGTCTGCAGTCTGTCATCCAGGGGTAGGGGAATAAACCTGAGGATCAACAAAGTCCATTCAATATTAAATAAACCTAATTACATACAAAAGAGGGGTCATGTCTTAGTCTGCTCAGGTTGACATCACAAAATGTCATAGATTGAGTGCTTCAAACAACAGAAATTTTTTCTCACAGTGATGGAGGATGCAAGTTCAAGATTAAGTTTCTGGAGGCTGGAAGTCCAAGTCAAGCAAGTGACACCTGTGACCACCTCCAGCAGCAGAGTCCCACTAAACAGTGGAGAACAGAAAGCATAACAATGCCTGCCTCCAGGAGCAGTAATCCCAAGACGTCAACCCACCACATGATTTTCAGGCACGACTCATGCAGGCACTGGATGGAACAACGCTTTATGCACATAGAGAAGACACAGAGCAAGAGCAGCTTCAGTTTCGACTGTTGATCCCTCATGGCCAGTGGGTCTCACCCCACAGCCAGCACAGGGAGATGTTCCACACACTCATGCTATAGACAAAGGCCCCTGTTCCCAGCAGTGGGGTCGTTCAGGTGCCATATGATGCACATGCTTTAGTAGAACGAAGAAGTACGCCTCCAGTCCAGAACAGAGAAAGAGGTTCCCCATAAAGGGTAATGGACAGCGCAGGCTGTGAAAGCTCTTTATCTCTTTGTAAGAAAATGTTCCTAACCCAAGGCACACTCCTATGCAACTGTACAGAGGTCAAAAGACTACGTTTGTGTGACTGCTTCTCTCAACATGTTCCTGGTGAGGGCTCTTTTCCTGGCTTGCAGACAGCCACCTTCTCCATGTGTCTTCACATGGTCTTTCCTTGGGGCTTGCATGAAAAGAGACAGAGAGATGCTGTGAGAGAGCACTGGGGTGTATCTTCTTATAAGAACACAAATCCCTTCGGATCAAAGCCCCACCCTTAAGATCTTATTAACTTTAGTTCTTTATAGACCCCCCTCCCCCACCTCCAAATATAGCCACACCGGGCATTATGGCTTAAACCTGTGGATCTGGGGGAGACACAAACATTCTATTCATAATAGGCCAAGATGCATAAACAGAATAATTGACTCAGGAGAAAGATGGCAAAAATTCAAAAATTCATCAAATGTAGTACACTTTTAAAATATTCTAACTTGTATCTTAAAGAGAAGCTGGACAATATTGCACCCATTAAACAAGGGCATATGTCAATGAAAAAGAGGAAATCAGAAAATAAAATATTCTTAAATATTAGAAATATAATCATTACAATAAAGATACGATGTCTGAAAGAAAACTTGAAGGACAACTGTCAGCATGTACATAAAAAGAGAAAACATGAAGAGAGATATGAGAAAAAAAGTTTAATAAGAGCATTTAAATCCAGGAAGTCCAAAGAGTTACATAAAGAGAAAATACAGAAACTGATAAAAATGAAATGATCAAAGAATAGCCTATTAGGAGAACATTTTCCAGAGCTATGAGGAGGTGCTGCGTGCATCTCGACTTAAAAAGTCACCGACGGTTGATCAGGAGATATAAAAAAATCACCCACCCCTAAATGCATCATTGTGATGTTTTAGAAGACAAGGAACAAAACAGGGCATCTGTAAAGAAATCACAGTCAAACTCGCATCAGATTTCTCATTAGTAACACTGGAATACAATGAGGCAGTAACTTCAAAGTCCACAGAGGAAATTATTTTCAACTTAGAATTCTACACCTGGTAAAAAAAAATTATACTGAGTGTCGATGCCAAATAAACACATTTTCAGTCATCCTAGGCCTCAGAATGTTTACCCTTTATGCATCTTCAGTGAAAAAGATAAATCCTTGATGATATTCTGCAGTAAAACCAATAAAAATCCTAGACAAAAGGAGACATAGCCCCATCCTCAAGACAATAAAGGACTATCTCAGATGACAACTGAGCAGCAGACTTAGAGAGCAACTGGTCTACCACAGTGCAAGGTCAGGGGAGTGCAGGTGCAAATGTTGCTAGGGAGAAACGTTTAAGAAGAAAGCAGACTTGTGAAAGCAAAAGCATCACGATGGTGGAAAATCTTGGTGATAAGTCAGAGGACAAGTTTAAAACAAAGGGAAAATGTTGGGAATTCTAGGAAACTCACAAATATGTAGAAGAGAGTCATGCTTTAGTGCCAAGCAACAAGCACATGCCATGGGCTAGCAGCATGGACACCTCCTGGAAACTTGTTAGAAATACACATCCTTAGGCCACCCCAGACCTGCTGAATCAGGAACTGTGGATGGCACCCAGCAATCTGCCTTCAGCAAGCCCTCCAGGGGTTTTTGATCCTCTGCATTGGACCAGGGTTTGGCAGTGGCCTCTTTTTGTAAATCAGTTTTGTTGGAACTCATGACACTTATTTTATCCTGCAGTTTCTATGGCTGCTTCCACTCTGCAACAGCAGAGGGTAGTGGCTGTGACAGACACCCTATGGCCCCAAAGCCTAAATATCTGCTATTTGATTCTGTACAGAAAATATTTGCGAATCCCTGCTTTATACCTTTAGATAGGCTACAAAAGTGTTTGAGACTTCATTTGACTTGACTTTGAATTTTAGTATGTGCTTCTTAGATGTATCAGTCTGGGAATCCCAGGTCCTTCTATCTGCAGCCAAGTGCACTACACTCCTGTTTGCAGTGACAATCCTCCTAATATTGTGAAGGCTGCTTCTTAGTTTTCAGTCAACATCTAGAGCAAGCCCAGGAGACTTGGGATTAAGGAATAGGAGTGTAAGAGTTAAAACGTCATAAATGTGAAAGTCAGGTACAGCTCCGGAAACTAGCAGAAGGGAAGCACAGGGAAAAATATTTCCTCATCTCAGATAAAAGGGAGACAAGAGAGACTGTCAAATTGGTGCAACCAGAAAAATATGCTCACACAACTCATAAAAAGTTTTAAAGGCAAAAGAAGTAAAAATCAGACCATAACTAAGAAAAATTGAGAGGGAGTGGAAAGAGAGAAGAGGCAAGGAATAATAGAAAGTATCTAAATCAAGAAACGAGGGATAGAAGATCCTCCAGAGGAACAGAAGAAGAAACAGAAACAAGAGCTGGCTTTGAGCAGGCATCCCAGATGTTGGTTTGACATGGGGCAGACTTTTGTTTTCATTTCTTTGTTTAGTTTTTGTGTGCAAATGTACATTTGACTCCAATGATAGTACAGATTTTGAAAGGTAGAGATAAACACTGGCAGGACCCTGGCCCATGGAATTAGGAAACTTCCAAGCCTCACTCTCCAGCCCTCCTGCCCCCACCAGGTCTGCCCAGTGCTATGTGCTCCCTAAGCCCCCTCTTCCCCACAAACTGCCTTCTGTCTTTTTTAACTGCTGTTGCTTTAATGTTTGTTTTGTCTGATATAAAAATAGTTACTCCTACTCACTTTTGGTCTCTATTTGCACGGAATATCTTTTTCCACCCCTTTACCTTAAGTTTATGTGAGTGCTTATGTGTTAGCTGAGTCTCCTGAAGACAGCAGAAACTTGGTTGGTAAATTTGTATCCATTCTGCCATTCCTTTTTGTTTGTTTGTTTGTTTTGAGATGGTGTCTCACTCTGTCACCCAGGCTGGGGTGCAGTGGCATGATCTCAGCTCACTGTAATCTCCATCCTGGGTTCCAGTAATTCTCCCACCTCAGTCTCCTGAGTAGCTGAGATTACAGGCATGCACCCACATGACCAGCTAATTTTTTTGTATTTGGGTTTTCACCATGTTGGCCAGGCTGTTCTCGAACTCCTGACCTCAGGTGATACACCTGTCTTGGCCTCCCAAAGTGCTGGGATTACAGGCATGAGCCACTGCACTGGGCCCATTCTGTATCTTTTTTTTTTTTTTTTGAGACAGAGTCTCGCTCTGTCGCCCAAGCTGGAGTGCAGTGGCATGATCTCGGCTCAGTGCAACCTCCGCCTCCTGGGTTCACACCGTTCTCCTGCCTCAGCCTCTCACAGGCTGAGGGCGCCCAACAACACGCCCGGCTAATTTTTTTCTATTTTTTTGTATTTTTAGTAGAGATGGGGTTTCACCGTGTTAGCCAGGATGGTCTCGATCTCCTGACCTCATGATCCGCCCGCCTCGGCCTCCTAAAGTGCTGGGATTACAGGCATGAGCCACCGCACCCGGCCCCATTCTGTATCTTTTAAGTGGAGCATTTAGGCCATTTACATTCAACGTTAGTATTGAGAAGTAAGGTAGTATTCTATTCATCATGCTATTTGTTACTTGAATACTTTGTTGTTTTTTTCATTGTGCTATTGATATACAGGTCCTGTGAAATTTATGCTTTAAGGGGGTTCTATTTTGGTGTATTTTGAGGATGTGTTTCAAGATTTAGAGCTCCTTTTAGCAGTTCTTGTAGTGCCAGCTTGGTAGTGGTAGATTCTCTCAGCATTTGTTCGTCTGAAAAAGACTTTATCTTTTCTTCATTTCTGAAGCTTAGTTTCGCCGGATACAAAATTCTTGGCTGATAATTGTTTTGTTCAAGGAGGCTAAAAATAGGACTCCTATCCCTTCTAGCTTGCAGGGTTTTTGCTGAGAAATCTGCTGTTAATCTGACAGGTTTTCCTTTATAGGTTACCTAATGCTTTTGCCTCACAGCTCTTGAGATTCTTTCCTTTATCTTGACTTTTGATAACCTGATGACTATGCGTCTAGGTGATGATATTTTTGTGATGAATTGCCCAGGTGTTCTTTGAGCTTCTTGTATTTGGATGTCTAGATCTCTAGCAAGGCCATGAAAGTTTTTCTCAATTATTCCCTCAAATATATTTTACAGACTTTTAGATTTCTCTTCTTCCTCGGGTACACCAATTATTCTTAGGTTTGGACACTTAACATAGTCCCAAACTTCCTGGCAGCTTTGTTCATTTTTTAAAATTCTTTATTCTTTGTCTTTGGTGGATGGGGTTAATTCGAAAACCTCGTCTTCGAGCTCTGAAGTTCTTTCTTCTGCTTGTTCAGTTCTATTGCTGAGACTTTCCAGTGGATTTTGCATTTCTATAAGTGTGTCCTTGATTTCCAGAAGTTGTGATTGTTTTTTATTTATGCTATCTATTTCACTGAAGATTTTTCCCTTTATGTCCTATATCATGTTTTTGATTTCTTTAAGTTGGACTTCACCTTTCTCTGGTGTCTCCTTGATAGTTTAATAATCAACTTTCTGATTCTTTGTCTGCCAATTCAGTGATTTCATCTTGGTTTATATCCATTGCTGTTAAACTGGTGTGATTTTTTGGGGGTGTTAGAGAAGCCTGTTTTGTCATATTACCCGAATTGTTTTCCTGGTTCCTTCTCATTTGGGTAGACTATGTCAGAGGGAAGATCTGGGACTCAAGGGCTGCTGTTCAGATTCTTTTTTCCCACAGGGTGCTCCCTTTATGTGGTTTTCTCCTCCTTCCCGTAGGGATGGGACTTCCTGAGAGCCAAACCGCTGTGATTATTTTTTGCCACTCAGCAGAGCTACCAGGCTCAGGCTGGTACTGGAGAGTGTCTGCAAAGAGTCCTATGATGTGATCTGTCTTCAGGTCTTCAGCTGTGGATACCAACACCTGCTCTGGTGGAGGCAACAGGGGAGTGACGTGGACTCTGTGAGGGTCCTTAGTTGTATTTTTGTTTAGTGTGCTGGCTTTGTGCTGATTTTGTGTTGGTTGGCCTCCAGCCAGGAGGTGGTGCTTTCAAGAGTGCATGAGGTGCATGAGGTGCATGAGGGAGGATGCAAACTTGGCCTAGGGTCACCTGGTTAAGCATTCAGGTTTCTCAGGTGTTGGGCAGGGCCACAGAGCTCCCAAGAGACTATGGCCTTTTTCTTCAGCTACCAGGGAGGGTAGAGAAAGACTACCAGGTGGGGACAGGGATAGGCATGTCTGAGCTCAGACTTTCCTGGGGCAGGGCTTGCTGTGGCTGCTGTGGGGGTGTGGCCCCCAGGCCAATGGAGTTATATTTCCAGGGAGATTATGGCTGTCTCTGCTGCATTACACAGGTTGCCAGGGAAGTGGGGGAAAACCGGCAATCATAGGCCTCACCCCACTCCCATGCAGCCGGCAGTCCTAGAGGCCAGTATTACTTCCACTGTGCCCCGGCAACAGCACTGAGTCTACTTCCAGGCAGCTGGTGACCAGGGCTGAGAACTTGCCCCAGACCACCAGCCTCCCCACTGAGAAAATAAGCAGACTCATAGTTTTTTGGCATCTCAGGGAGCCTGTAGCAGGGATCCAGTTCCTTCAAAGGGTCTGTGGATTCTCTTGACTTTCTTGGTAGATTCCTGTGGTACTTCTTGGAGCAGAAGTTCACAATGTGAGTCTCCACACACTGCTCTGTCCGTCCAAGTGGGAGCATTAAGCTAGTCCTCCTCTCCACCATCTTAATCTCCTTGCTGTCTTGTGAAAAACCATCTCCACGGCTGCCTCCTGCCTCCTCTGCAGGATGTGAAATGGTAGCTGGCAAGGTGAACACGAGCACCGCAGCTCCAGCCAATCCTGCGTTGCCACCAAATGACCCTGAACACTGGTGTCCCTCTTCTGCAAGCCCCTCTGAGCCCATCCATCAAGATACACTTCTTGATTCTCCACCCCCATCCAGTCCCAGAGACCATCTTGTTGCATATTCTATGACAACACATCCTTCTCCTTGCTGGTATTTATCACAAATGTAATTATTAACTACATGTGCAATTATTTGTTGAATGTTCTCCATATCCAGCTGGGCTGAAGACAGAGAGACGGTGTCTGGCTCATAGACAGCTGGACCTGCCACTCCTCCCCGATGCCTGTGATACAGGGAGGACTCAATCAGTGCCTGTTACTGGAAGGAGCGAATCCTGCTGGCAGGCAGGCCTCAGCACAGGGCCTGGCACTGCTCTGCTGCAAGACTCAGTACCTGCATCAAGGCACACAGGGAGAGAGGTCGTCAGAGTGTTTGGGGGTAAGATGATCTTTGAGCCTCAAGGTGACAGTCTGTCTGGATTGCTAACAACTTTGGCAGTGGAAAGGGGATGTTGCAGGCTGAGTCTGTCCATCTTCCTAGTGATGTCCTGTCACATCCTCCATATGGGCAACAAAAACTGTTTTCAGGGACATATCAGAGGAGCTGTTTCCAATTTTGTGAAAATTACCTTTGAGATTCCAATCTGAGCTGGGAAATCATTTGACAAACATCAGTGGGGATGGATGTGCCAGCACTTCAATGACAAAATCAGATGGATCCCTGGGGCCAAAATATAAGCAGCAGCCAGGACTGGCCCTGGGCCCCCTGTTGTCCTGTGTGGATGCTGGGTTGCCATAATCAACAACATAGTGGCCACACTTTAGAAAACTACTGGAATGAAATGATGAAGGGAATGAATGGGCTGGGAGGCAGTGTAGACCTTCACTATGGAAATTCAGGCAGATCTTCCAATTATAGGCAGGCTTGGTGCCTGTTCTCATGCAGAGCACGCTGCAAGCAGAGACTCCGAATACAGTCATTGAAACAGCTCTGGAGACACAAGCATAAAGCAGAAAAAAACTGATTTGAGTGTCATGTGCAGACAGAGGTGAGGTTTAGGCCACAAGAGAGAATAAGCTCTCCGAGAGAAAGAGAGGCAGAACCTTGCAAAGTATACCTGTGACCTTGTAGAATAGTACTAGGGCAAACCTCCCAGGTTGCTGAACACTGAACCGTTAGTGAGGAAATAAATGTTTTTCAAGAATCACAGTGGAAGTGAGGCTGAAGGCCCACATTTCATTAGACAGAAGAGCACACTCCTCCCGTGCCCCTATGAAATGTAATGTCTGATGAAGCCCAGCAAGAATTTTACTGACCCTTTGGGGCTTTGCAATTTGGCTGAAACAGGTTGTGAAGTCAGCAGCCATTTTCTTCAGCCTTCACAACCTGAAAATCTTTCACTCAATCCAGAAAGGATAGGAATGAGAGGGTGAGGATTTGTGAGCGAGCTTCTCAATCATAGCAAGTTAACCAGATTCGAAATGGAGGAACGTGAGTCTCTCACGCACCAGTCTTAGGTACAGATTTTGCATCTGGCTTTTCAACAACTGTGCAGAACTTCAGAGGTCCCTTCTCTCTTCTGTAAGCCACGGGTCTTCCAGCACCAGCTGACCAAGAGCCACTGAATTTTTATATTTCTGATATCTCATTTTTGATAAATTTTTTGCCTTTGGAGGGTTATTTATGTGTTTATTATTTCTATGGTGACAAAAGTGATGAAGGATCTTATGGGATTTTAAAAGAATGCCCTTTGGAGGCTATTTTGATTACCAAAAAGATTGAACAGGAGAATGGGCTGTTTAAGAAAAGCCCAAAAGTTCTCATGGTAACTAGAGCTGTTATTGACAGAAGGGGATTGGAGATGGAGGTATCTCTGCCCAAATTAACCCATTAACATATCAAATCCTTTAAAAGAAAAAAAAAGTCCTACATGATTCAATATTTGAGAATATTTTCTCATACAGATGGTATAGGAGGGTTCGGGTAAAATAAACAGAACAACAGCGAAGCCCCAGGAACCCGGACCTCATGGCGAAATTCACACCCTTTTTGAGTTTTTGTCCATTCTGCAGCTCTGAGGGCCCCCCCACCTCCACGCGCCTCTGTCAGGTTAGAAAGCAGAAGGGTCTTCCAAGGCCAGGGCTTGGCTGGACTTCAGCTGTGCGGGGATGCGGAGCTGCAGGAGAGGGGCGCCCTCTGGTGGCCGCTACGGGCTGTGCTGAGGCCGAGTGGATGGGAAATGGGCAAAGGGGCCTAGAAAACCCTTCCTGCAGACTCGCGGAAGGAGGAAAGTAGGGAGGCATGATGAGAGCGCTCATGAGAGATGAGTGGTAACCACAGCTGTGGCCAAGCCGCTTTTTTACAAGACTGAGATTCCCCCAGGGCCTCGGGTCACCCTGGCTTTCCTCAAGACACCCCCGACCCAGCCCTACTCCCTGAGGTCCTGAAGGGACCTCTGGGGTCCTGGTTGGTACGGATTCTGCTTGATTCGTGTCGGGGTTGATGCTTGTCCCATGTGGTGGTTAAGGATTTGGGACGTGAATCCCTGGGGAAGCTGGTGTTTGGGACAGATTGGAAGAGGTGAAGAAGGAAGGAGAGGAACTGTTACACTCAGAAAGGGAGGCAGACAGAGCAGTAAAAAGAACCGGGCGCTCCCAGGCTGAGCTGAGACCTGGCCTCTGTGTGTGGCGCTGGCTATGCTCCCAGCGAGGATGGAGAGCCTGCCCTTGGCACTCTCTGGACACTTCCAAGGGGGGACGCGTCCATCCATCCCGCGTGTCTGTGTTACGGTCCACATGGTGGGGCATACCTGGACACCTCTACACGATCTGGCACATATGTCATCAAACTCCTTAGGATGGATTCTGAGCCTCCTCCAGGTAGCTCCTGGGGAGACGGGAGTCCCTGCCTCAGCAGCGCCAGGCGGCACAGGTGCGGGAAGATCTGGACACACTGGGCTGCAGCAAAGGCGCTCTTCGCTGGACCTGTCAATGTCTGTGTCTAAGGCAAGGAGCAAGCTGGTAGGAGGGGGAGGGCGACGGAAAAGAAGAGCCAGGAGAAAGGGCAGTGCAGGAAAGGGAAACAGATCCTAGGCACAGGGACCCAGGACATGCCCTCCTGGAAGAAAGATGAGGACCAAGAGAACAAGTGCTAAAGAGGGGACGGAGGGAAACAGGGCGAGGCTGGAACGACAGGCGGCCAGCCGGGGGCAGAGCAGGATGGGCTCGGGGAAGCCATGAAGCTAGAATGGTGCTATTTACCCCACACTAAACTGTCTACTGGGCAGGCAGCCTTAAATTCGTCCCCGTACCTGGGAGGCTGAAAATACAGTGGTGTTTTGGCAGAAAAAAATAAGTGAAGCGGCTGAATCCAGTACTGAAGGAAAGCATTAGGTGTGGAGCCTCATTTTTATCTCTGCCAAGTTCTAAATGCAAGAGTGCTGCCTGGCTCGTGTCACATGGCTGTGGGCAGGTTCACACAAGAGAATGCAGGGCAAGGTTCTTCAAATCAGAGTGCTATATTGTATAAAGCTGTATTATTTCCAGCATAGACATTTTTGCACATGTAAGTCATTTTCTCAAATATGAAGAAACTGGATTCCTAGAACATCATTGCTATGATTCCATCACCTTTCCCCAAAGGTAGATCTTTCATCCTTGTTGGGTTGAGATGAGAATGTGTCAGCTGCTAAGGGAACCCATATAGCTCAGGCTGTCACCTCCATCTCCCAGTGTACCAGGAGGAGTGGCTCCCCTGGTCCTCTGCCCACAGCTGCCCCGCAGCACCAGCCACTTCCAGCACACTGCCAGCAGACCCTGGGAGAACTGGCATACGAAAGAAGTGCTAACTCCAGAGGTAGCACTAGGACCCACAGGTGCAAATTGCAAAAGAAAAAGTTCAGTTGCACTCTGACCCTTGGAATTTTCCAAACCCGGACAAGGAGGTCTCTGCAGCTGATAAGCCCCATCTCAGGAGTGGGCATTGCTTAGAGCCCGCACAGCTCTATGGCCTGAGCCTAGTGTTCATGGCATTATCAACAACCAAGGCTGGCGGCAGGCATGAATGTGGGGGTGGTGACTATACAAGGCTTAAGAAAGAGAAACGTTCTGTATTTTCACCAGTACTGTAAATGGTATCCTTGTTTCCCACAGAGCCTTTGAATCTGGGCAATAGGATCTCTTGTTAAGAATGGGGCTGGGCTGGGTGTGGCCCAGCACTTTGTGAGGCCAAGGAGGACAGATCATGAGGTCAGGAGTTTGAGACCAGCCTGCCCAACATGGTGAAACCCTCTCTCTACTAAAAATACAAAAATTAGCCAGGCATGGTGGACATGCCTGTAATCCCAGCTACTCAGGAGGCTGAGACAGGAGAATTTTTCGAACCCGGGAGATGGAGGTTGCAGTGAGCCAAGATTGCACCACTGTACTCCAGCCTGGGTGACAGAGCAAGACTCTGTCTCAAAAAAAAAAAAAAAAAAAGAATGGGGCTGAGACAGTACAAGCAGCTTAGAGCTCTGGACTTGGAGCAAACAGCTATGTTTAACTCCTTATCATTCACCATCTGTGGGCATTTAGCAAGGCATTTTGCAACACTTTTGCTTTCTTGTAAAATAAAGTTCAAATAGCTTAATTTACAATGTTATTGTACAATTCAGCTAAGCTTATCCTTGTAAAAGTCTCGAGTAAAAAGTATAAAAACTGTGTGTCATTTATCAATCGGCATTATTGGGATGTGAATAGCACACTGCATGTGGGCTCAGAGAATATGGGCTAACTATGGGCCTTTCCAAGAGAAGTGGGAATCACTCACGACCTTTCCCTCCTTCTGCAAAGGCAAATTTACAAGTCTTCTTTTAAGCATGTCATATTGATATATGCATAAAATTTTGGTTTTTTAATTGAACTTATTATTGAGATAACTGTTGATTTATATGCAGTTGCAAACAATAATACAGGGAAATCCTAGGTATATTTAACTCACCTTCCCCCAGCAATAACCATTTTAGTATATCACACCAGAATATTGACATGGATACAATTCACTGATTTTGTTCAGATTTCTCCAGTGTTACTTATACTTATCTGTGTGTCTGTGTATGTATTTAGGCGCGTTTAGTTCTAGATAAATTTACCACCCATGTTAAGTTCATGTATGCACCACCAAAGTTAAGATTCTTAAGAGTACTGATCAATAAATACCTACATTAAAAGAGAAGATGGCCCCAAATAAATAGCCTAACATTACACCTCAAGGAGCTAAAAAATGAACAAAGCAAGCCCAAAGTTACAAGAAGGAAGGGAATAACAAATATCAGAACAGAAATAAATCAAAATAGAATAAAAAACCATAGAAGAAATCAATAAAACTAAGAGTTAGTTTAAAAACAAACAAACAAAATCGACAGACCCTGAGGTAAACTTAAAAAAAAAAAAAGAGAAAAGCCTCAAATAAATAAAACCAGAAATAAAAGGAAGGACATTACAACAGATGCCTCAGAAATAAAAAGGATCATAAAGGACTATTGTGAACAATATTATGCCAACAAATTGGATACCCTAAGGGAAACAGACAAACTCCAAGAAAAATTTAACCTACCAAAATTGAATTAGGAAGAAATAAAAAGCCTACACAGACCAATAACAAATAAAAAGATCAGAGTAGTAATTAAAAATTTCATAACAAGTACGACAACAACAAAAAGCCCAGAATCAAATGGTTTTGCAACTAAATTCCTTCAAACATTCAATGACAAATTAATACCAACATTTCCTAAATTCTTCCAAAAAATACACCTAGAGGGAATACTTCCTAACACATTCTATGAGTGCAGGATCACCCTGATACCTAAGCCAGACAGATACTGTAAGAAAAGAAAACTACAGGCCAATATCGCTGAAAATATTGATGAAAAAAACACAATAAAATATTAGCAAACCAAATTCAACAACACATCACAATATTATACATCATGATCAAGTGAAATTTATCACTGACATGGACCCTCATTTAACATATACTAATTAATCAATGTGATACATTAACAGACTGAAAGATAAAAATCACATGATCATCTCAATTGATGCAGAAAAAGCATTCAACGAAGTTCAACATTGTTTCTTGATTTAAACTCTCAACAGTTTAGGTATAAATGGAAAGTTTGTCATCATAAAAAAGGCTATGAAAAAGCCACAGTTAACATCATAGTCAATGGGAAAAAAATTAAAGCTTTTCCGCTAAGATCTGGTACAAGGCAAGGATGCCCACTCTTGCTGCTTCTATTCAGCGTGGTACTGGAAATACTAGCAAGAGCAATTAGACAAGAAAAAGAAATAAAAGGCATTTAAATCAGAAAGAAAAAACTCAGATTATCTCTATGGATGGCATGATCCCATATTTAGTAAACCCCAAAGACTCCACCAAAAAAAAAAAATGTTAGAACTAAAAAACAAACTTGGTAAAGTTAAAGGATACAAAATCAGTTGCATTTATGTGCACAAATAACAACCTACGTGAAAAAGAAATCAAGGAAACGATTGTATTTATGAAAGCATCAAAAATACAGTTAGGAATAAGTTTAACCATGGAAGTAAAAGACATGTACACTGAAAATTATAAACCATTGATAAAATTAATAGAAGACACAAATACGTGGAAAGATAACCCATATTCATGGATCTGAAAACTTGATGTTGTTAAAATGTCCATATTACCCAAAGGAATATGCAGATTCAATGGCATCCTTATCAAAATCCCGATGGCATTCTTCACAGAAATTTAAAAAATCCTGAAATTTGTATGGAACCATAAAAAAACTAAATAATAAAAGTAATTTTGAGAAGAGAAAATGACATTGGAGTTATCACACTTCCTGAGTTAAATTAGATTGCAAAGCTATAACAATCAAAACACTATGATACTGGCATAAAATCAGACCACAGACCAGTGGAACAAAAGAGAGAGCCCCAAAATAAATCTATATATATATATACAGTAAACTAATTTTTGACAAAGGCACCAAGAAGACAAAATGGGAAAAGGATAATCTCTTCAATAAATGATGCTGGGGAAACTGGATTTGCATGCGCAAAAGAATAAAACTGGGCCCTTGTACCATACACAAAAATCAACTCAAAATGGATACAAGACCTAAATGTAAAATCTGAAACCATAAAACTCCAAGGAGAAAACATAGGAGAACAGGTCCTTGACATTGCCCTTGGCAATAATTTTTGAATATCACACCAAAAGGCTACAAAAGCAAAAATAAATAAATGGGAATATGTCAAACTGAAAAGCTTCTGCACAGCAAAGAAAACAATCAACAAAATGAAAAAGTAACCTATAGATTGGAAAAATAATTGCAAGACATATATTTGATAAGGTTTAATATCCAAAATTTATAAAATGTTCACACAGCTCAATAGCAAAAAACATATAACCCAATTAAAAAATGGGCAAATTATCTGAATAGTTATTTATCCAAAGAAGACATCAAAATGACCCACAGGTTAATGAAAAGATGCTCAATGTCACTAATCCTCAGGGAAATGCAAATCAAAACCATTATGCATTATCACCTGACACCAGCAAGTGGAGCTTCCTAAAGAAATTAAAGTTAGAAGTACCACAAGATGTAGCAATTCCTCCTCTGGGTATGCATCCAAAGGAAAGGAAATCAGCACTCAGGGAGATATCTTCACTGTCATGTCCATTCCAGCATTATTCTCAATATCTAAGATAAGAAACAACCTAAATGTTCATTGGCAGGCAAATGGGTAAAGAAACTGTGATATATATGTACAAAGGAATATCCTTCAGCCTCAAAAAAGGAGATCCTGCCATTTGCCACAACATGGATGGAATTGCAAGACATTATGCTAAGTAAATATGTCAGATGCAGAAGGAAAAATATTGCATAATCTCACTCATATGTAAAATCTTTTAAACAAATTCAAATATACAGAAATAGAGAATTACACCGTGGTTACCAGGGGCAGTGTGGCAGGAAGGAATTGCAGAGAAGTAGGTCAAGGGTTACAAAGTCGCAGATAAAGAGGGCGGACAAGTCTAGAGATCTAATGTAAAACATGAGGACCGCCAATACTAACAGTGTCTTGTATTCAGGATTTTTGCTAAATGAGTTGATTGTAGATACTTCAGCCCCACACACAAAACATGGGTACATTAATTTGCTTCACTATATTAACCAATTTACTATATATATATATATATATATATATATATACATACATATATATATACACATATATATATATAAACATCATGATGCTTACCTTAAACATACACAATTAAATGTATTTAAAAAATCCATCATGATGTACAACTTATATACATAAAATAACTAAAATAAAATTTAAAAAATAAGATTCTCCCCCTCCCACAACAAGAAAGGCTTTGGAAGGACTTGAATATAAGATGGCAGAATAATTTGGTAATAAATGCCAACGACTGAGATCTGGGACATCTGTTGACTGAGATGCCAGGTGCCATGTTGCATGGCATGGCATGAGGCCAGAGCCATGGGGCAGGCATTGTAGGATATGTACCAATGTCCAGTCTCCTCCACGGTGACTCTCTATGTGCTCAGACCATCAGGAATTATTTTCTTTTGCTCTTTTGGTGTCTCTGTAAATCCCATCTTATCTCCCAAAAATTTCCTCCTCTCCTCTGCTTTAAATGCAATGTCCTTTGAGGCCCAGCTCACAGGCCACATCAGCTACGCAGCGACGCAGCCCTGGAGGAACGAGCCCAGAGCCTGGGCTGTATCTCATGTTGCAGATTTCTGGCATCTTGAATCTTCTTATCCTGACCTCTCCAATCGCTGCCACCCTTCATCTTTGATCCCATTGGTGGGCTTGTGCAAGTGTGCAGGATGGAACCTGAGTTCCAGCCCCTTACGCTGACAATTACAGTAGTTGCTTACCAGCATCCTATGTCTGGGCCCTCTTCCCCTCAGAGGCAGGTTGCCTGGAAAGAACAGAAAGAACAAAGGGATCCATTTCTGTCTTTCTCCGAGGGACTGTCTGGAGCATCTCCAAAGATGGGGACTACAAAATGCGATTTGCATCACAGCCCACAGCAAACACAAAACTGCACACATCTGTGTCCAGTGGCGTATTAGCCATGTGGCTCCACCTCCAGAGGAGGATATCTGATCAGCCTCCAGGGCTTCATCCCCTAAGTCCCTGGCAGGTGTTGCAGCTGTTCCTTTCCTCAGGCTGCAGGTGAACAAGTGGGTGGCCACGCTTTGTTAAGTGGCATGGCCATCGAGAGTCATCCGGCTCTGTTGAGGCATCATTGTCCTTTCTGCTGGAAAAGTTGAGTCTTCCTGAACCTTGAAGACAAACCACAAGCTCATCGGTTGTTGTTTGTATGCATGTGTGACAGAAGAAAAAAAATTTCTCTTGAGAGAGGTGTTCAGTGCTCCCCTCATCCTCTTGCCCAGAAGGTGCCCCTGTTAGCACAGAACGCCCAGTATCTGTGAGTGGAGCAGGGGCAGGTGCTATGCGCCTGGGGACAGGCCACTTCATCTTTATGTGCCTCGATCTCCCCACCCACAATGAGATCTGGATCACACTTCTGAGTGACTGCTACCAGGTAGCCACTGGCCCATGTTTCAGTGGAAAGGAGAACAGGAGCCCAAAGATGACAAAAGACACAGCCCCACTGTCCAGAAGCTCACAGCTAGGAAATGAGATGCCCTTTCCTTAGTTCCTAATCAAAATTCCCATTTCAGGCCAATAACCATGAGCTGCTCTGTTGGGGTGATGCTGCAGTTAGCAAGACGTGCATCCCACCCTCTGGAAATTCATGGCACCAAAAGTTGTCACAGAGTGAGTTGGGGGCAAAATGACACTAAATGGTGCATCTTTAACCTTATGTCACAGATGTTAGCAAACTCAGTCCAAGAAAAAAAAGGCAATTAGTGCTCGCTTCGGCAGCACATATACTAAAATTGGAACGATACAGAGAAGATTAGCATGGCCCCTGAGCAAGGATGACACGCAAATTCGTGAAGCGTTCCATATTTTTTATTCACAATAGCAAAGACTTGGAACCAACCCAAATGTCCAACAATGATAGACTGGATTAAGAAAATGTGGCACATATACACCATGGAATACTATGCAGCCATAAAAAATGATAAGTTCTTGTCCTTTGTAGGGACATGGATGAAATTGGAAATCATCATTCTCAGTAAACTATCGCAAGGACAAAAAAACAAACACCACATGTTCTCACTCATAGATGGGAATTGAACAATGAGAACACATGGACACAGGAAGGGGAACATCACACTCTGGGGACTGTTGTGGGGTCGGGGGAGGGGGGAGGGATAGCATTAGGAGATATACCTAATGCTAAATGACGAGTTAATGGGTGCAGCACACCAGCATGGCACATGTATACATATGTAACTAACCTGCACATTGTGCACATGTACCCTAAAACTTAAAGTATAATAATAATTTTTTAAAAAGGCAATTAATACTGTTTTTACACATTATTTTGAAAGGCATTTTGATGATGCAAATAACCCACGTTACATACAGAATAATTATGAAATATAGGTAAAAGGAAAATGAAAATTACAAAATTACGGATACCTGGAAATATGTGCTTCTGACTGTGGGTCTGTCTCTCCATCTTCACTTGCTCAAAAGTAAAAATAATGACATCTTTGCTGCTCTGCAACCTGCTTAGTACTTAAATGAATTTTCCATATTTATATAAATGATGAAATCCCAGCACTGCTGTTTTAATGAATGCAGGATGATTCAGTTCAGATGTACCATGATTTGATTATCCTAAAGAAATTACAATAACCATCTTTACATCTATATATCTGTACACATCCTTATTTATTTAGAAGGAATTCTTAGAAACTGAATTGCTGAATAAAGGCACGTTTTATACATACTGCAAAATGGCTAAGTTTTTTGGGTAATCTACTTCATGGATAATAAACTGCAATATGGTATACTAAACCTGACTTCTTCCCAGCATGTCACAGATCCGCCTCCACAAGTTACCATTCTGACTTCAAATGACTTGCTTGAACAAACTCACGTGCCTGATGTTGACTCACCTATGTTATTGCACCATGAAAGATGTGGAGCGCATCATGTTTTCACACGAATTAGCATGGAAAGCTGGTAACTTTATAGTTTTACCACCTCAAGCTTTTAATACCTTTCTTGCTGCAATGTATTGCCAACCAATGTGAACCATAATAGCACCGAGAGAAAACAGGATGCAGGAGGGAAGGAAGAAAAGTAATATTCCTTAAAATGTGCAGCACCATGTTCTCTAAATTTTGAAATACTGAACAAAAAGCATTAACAGGTTTGTAAACCTTTAACACAAATTGAGTTCTATTTCCTCTGCTGGCCCCTGGGAAGGGTATGTGGCCCAGTGGTGGGGACCTGAGACTTGGCTGGAAAGTCAGGGCTCTGGGTCTTTTTCCACACTTTAAAGCTCAGTGAGCAAATTTGAGATCAATTAAGTTCCCCATCTGGAACCGGATGAAAAAGCTTGCCAGATCCACCTCACGTGATACCACAATTTCCTATGAAGATTACTATTAAATTAAGGAACTATGATGAAGACCAACTGGCGTAACTGCTTGGGTTTAGTTATCTTCCAGAAATGATTCATGCTATACGTATTTAATTAGTTTTTTTCAGTTATTTGAAAGGCTCCTTTCAGGAGGATGTTGGGACACAATTACATGTGACATTTGGCTGAGAGCAGTGACTCCTAGGTCGTGACCTGTCCACCTGCGTGTGCCCGTAGCAGCATTGAGCAGGTCTTCCCAGAAAAGCCAAGACAGTGGGAAAATGATCACCTGGTATAGCTAAGTGTGAGTACAGGCTACAACATTGTTGAGCTACACATAGCCACAGACACCAAATGCATTAGGTCGTTCTAAAACCATAAAGGATTCCAATGTTTCATAGCTACATTTGTGGACTAGAAATGATGGAGCTACCTAAATTCCACAGATATTCTGATTAGAGTCTCCTACTAGATGTAATTTTTTCCTCAAGCTATCAATAGCAAAATTAACAAGTGAGCAAGCTCCTCTCCATCTCCCTGTGGAACAGCCAACAATTAGGAGAAAGAAAAGTCTTATAGCTGGTGAGAGACTAGGATGTGAAGGCTGGAGGAGCTGGGATTGGTGCTGCAAAGGAGATAGCACGGACAGGAGTGGCTAGTGCTGACCTTGTCCCAGGCACTGCAGCCAAAAGAAGTTTGCTTGTGACCAAACTTCTCAGTCATTAGGATTCATCTCCATTGTACAGATAATGAAATAAAGACTCAGAGATGAATCACTTTCAGATGCATCCACAGTCAGTCAATAGATGTTTGAAGTAGTTTTCTGTGTTTCTCTTGTGCCAAATACTAAACTGTTTCTTCTAGAGAAGAGAGATCTTAAAATCATGAAGTCCAACAATGGCCAAGGTGTAGCTAGGCAGAGCTGGGGCTGTTCAAATATGAACATCATTAGGAATGATGACAGGAATAATCATTATTATTATAACAATAATAAACATTTGCTGAGTACCAACTATGGGCCAGACACGAGTTTGGGCACTTTAGATTCTGTTTTCCTTAAGATGGGGGAGGCTGGCCGGGCGTGCTGGCTCACTTCTGTAATCCCAGCACTTTGGGAGGCCGAGGCAGGTGGATTGCCTGAGGTCAGGAGTTCGAGACCAGTCTGGCCAACATGGTGAAACCCCATCTCTAATAAAAACACTAAAAAATTAGCCAGGTGTGGCAGTGTGCTCCTGTAATCCCAGCTACTCTGGAGTCTAAAGCGGGAGAATCACTTGAACCCGGGAGGTGGAGCTTGCAGTGAGCCAAGATCACGCCACTGCACTCTAGCCTGGGTGACAGAGTGAGACTCTGTCACAAAAAAAAAAAGATGGGGGAGGCCATATTGCAATAATAAAATATCATCAATATTTTCTGGGACCTAAACCGACAAAGTCCCAGAAGATTTTATGGTACTATGTGTCAGTTTTGGACTGGCCAGGCTGTGCTGTATGTCATTTTGCACTACCTGGCAGATAAAGAGAAATATCAAATCACACGCTGTCTCCTGAAGCTCCAGCCAGAAGTGAACAAACAGATACCACAAGCCAAAGCACAATCCCAAGGCCAGGCCTGATTTGAAGGGGAGCAGGCTGTGCCTAAGGATCAGAAATATTAGGTGCCAGCAGCAACGACCCCCATACATGTGTTCTGTCATTTACCTCCCCAAAAGACTTTTACAGAAGAGAAAATGCGGCATGGAGAGCTTCAGGGACCTGTGTAAATGCCACACAGCTAAGTAGAGACAAGCTTGGCCTTGACTCCAGGCAGCTGGACTCCACAGTCTGTGCTCTGTTTGTAAATTTTTACTTATTTATTTATTTATTTATTGAGAAGGAGTCTCGCTCTGTCGCCCAGGCTGGAGTGCAATAGTGCGATCTCGGCTCACCCCACCTCCGCCTCCCAGGTTCAAGTGATTCTCCTGCCTCAGCCTCCCAAGTAGCTGGGATTATAGTTGTGCACCACCACGCCCGGCTAATTTTGTATTTTTAGTAGAGACGGGGTTTCTCCATGTTGGTCAGGCTGGTCTCAAACTCGCAACCTCAGGTGATTCGCCCATCTCGGCCTCCTGAAGTGCTGGGATTACAGGCGTGAGCCACTGCACCCAGCCATAATTTTTTTTTTAATTGACGGACACGAACTGTATATATTTATGGTATATGACATAATGTTTTTTCTTTTTTTGTCCTCATCGCCTGTCCTAAGAAGAACATAGTGTTTTGATATACAGTATGCGTACACTATGGAATGGCTAAACTGAACTAAGTAACATATGCATTGCCTCACCTACTTGCCAGTTATTTGTGGTAAGAACACTTAAAACTACTCTCTTAGAAGTGCTCAAGAATACAAGACACTGTGTTTAGCTGTGGTCACCATGCTGTGCAACAGATTTCTTGAAGTTTCTCCTCCTAACTGAAATTGTGTATCCCTGGCCAACCTCTTCTCAGTCCTTCCCCTGCCCCAGCCTCTGGTAAGCACCATCCCACTCTCTGCCTCTGTGAGTTTGACATTTTTAGCCTCTGTATATAAGTGAGATCATAAAGTAGCTGTCTTTTGGCACCCAGCTTATTTCGCTTAGCATAATGTCCTCCAGGTTCATCTATGGTGTTGCAAATGACAGGATTTCCTTGTTTCTTAAGGCTGAATAGTACTCAACCGTGTATTTATAACACATTTTCTTCACCTGTCGATGGACACGGAGGTTGATTCCATATTCTGGCTGTTGTGGATAGTGCTATGATGAACATGGGTACAGGTAGAGTAGCCTGCACTCTTTACCATCATTCATTTCTCTCTCTCTAGCTACTGTCGACAGCACCAACTACGTACCAGGCATGGAATGCAATATTATTTATATCCTTTACTCCTCCCAGTCCTGCAGATTTTATTCATCACATTTTACCCGTGAGGACCATGAATCTTTCCATGAGGACAATGAAGATGTAGAACTTATTCTAGTATCCTAAGCAGTAGTCAAAGTTTGAACCTTAGCTTGCCTGACCCCAAAGCCCATGCTCTTCAGCATTACATTATGAAATTCTTGGGAGACCTAGCACAACTCTGAATTCGAGAAATATTAACTCAGCACCTACTCTGCACAAGATACATGAAACTCAACCCTCTCTCTTGTTGGCTTGTAGTCAGTCATTAGTGATATTTGAGAGCAATAGGTCATCTGGAGAGACTGGATGCAAAGCAATCACAGTCCATGAGCTGTCTCCATGAAGATTAGAAAAGAGGCACTTCTTTCTCAAGACATGTTACTTCTATCTCTTGGGATGCTGTCATATTACACTGTTTTGTTAGAATAAGATCTCCTACTACCATCTTCTAGAGAACTGTTGTAAAGCACATGTGAGTCTGTGGAAGTTGTGATGTGCATGGGGCCTGCAAGGATGTGCACCAACACAACCTAAATGGGTGGCCTGGCTATGCTCACCAAAGGGCTTCTTGCTCTCCTTCCACATTTTTACCAGGCTGGATTCCATTTGCATTTTGTATTCTAGGACACACAGAAGCAGCTTTGTTGTCATGATGCAATGGCAGTGATCAGAAATGATCACCCCTTCCATGAGAAAAATCATGAGAATCTAAAAATATGCAGACTTCCTACCTTACTCTAATGCTGAAAGAGAGTGATTTGAAGTCACCACTTTTTTTTTTAAATAGGTTTTCACTTTGCCTCCCAGGCTGGAGTGCAGTGGTGCGATCTCAGCTCACTTCATCCTCGACCTCCCGGGCTCAAGCGATCCTACCACCTCTGCCTCCCAAGTAGCTGGGACTATAGTTAAGACTATTTTTTCCAGCCAGGTGCAGTGGCTCACTCCTGTAATCCCAGCACTTTGGGAGGCCAAGGCAGGCGGATGACCTGAGGTCAGGAGTTCAAGACCAGCCTGAACAACATGGTGAAACCCCGTCTCTATCAAAAAAAAAAAATTAACCTGGTGTGCTGGTGGGTGCCTGTAATCTCAGCTACTCGAAAGGCTGAGGCAGGAGAATTCCTTGAACCCGGGAGGCAAAAGTTTCAGTGAGCCAAGATCGTGCCGTTGCACTCCAGCCTGGGCGACAGAGCAAAACTCCATCTCAGGAAAAAAAAAAAAAAAAAGCTATTTTTTCCCCTCTTTTTAGAGGTGGGATTTCACTCTGTCACCCAGGCTGGAGTGCAGTGCCATGATCATAGCTCAGTTCAGCCTCAAACTTCTGGGCTCAAGCAATCCTCCAGCCTGAGCTTCCTCAGTGGCTAGGACTATAGGCACACAGCACAATGCCTGGTGAATTTTCTATTATATTTTTTGTAGAGACAGGTCTTGCTATGTTTCCCAGGCCAGTCTCAAACTCCTGGCCACAAGAGATCCTCCTGCTTTGGCCTCCCAAAGCACTGGGATAATAGACATGAGCCACCATGCCTGGCCCTGCAAATGACTTATAGTCTGCAGATCTGAGTGTTCATTTCAGCTTTGCCACGTTCTTCCCAGTGACCCTTCACAAGTCACTCTACTTCTGAGCATTCAGTTGCTTCTCTTTGAAAAGGAATTGTGTCCCCAGCCTGTGTGCCTCACATCGGGGCCACGGTTCTGCTTTGTAAGGACTTTGAAGCACTAGGGGAATTGGGATGCACCACATGCCTGCTAGTTCTGCATCACCAGGCTCTCTTCGGAGTGCTCCTTACCTTCATCACACACATGTGAGTTCCCGTTACCAAGCCAGGGTCTGTGTCAGATGTTGAGATACAAGAATGAAGAAAACTTTACCTGCATAGTTAACTAGTGTCTATTCACCAGAATGAGTCGTTTGAGAGTAGAGAGTCTACATTAAGCTTTTCTCTGCCACCCCACCCTTGTACCTAGGACAGCTCCAAGGTCTCCAGATGTGCCTAATGAGCTGTTTTTCAGTTAGGAAATATTAAGAATAAATCTCTGCATATGACCCAGTGTCTCTGTGGTGTTAGATTTTTCTGTGGTACCAGATGACCAAACTGAAGTTAACCTTAACTAGTTTCCTCGTTCCAGAAAATAAGGACTTATTATCTTAACCCAACCCCTTATCTAGTTTTTAAACAATGAATTTGGGAGCATTTAGAGGATAGTGTATTGATTAATACAAACTGATAACAATAATACTAATGCGTACACTTTGTTGAATGATTCCTACGTATCAGCTTTACAGCTCCAGGTTTACCAGGAGTAAGTCCGTTCTAATGGGGAAAAAAAACTGTTATTGCCCTTTAGAACAGAGTGTGGTATGTATCTCTACTTCAGCCGAGTACTTGACACTGTGTCTGTATCTTGATAGATTAGTGAATTTCCTGGGTAAAGAGAATTTGCCTGGGTTTAGAGATCAACCCAAGTGATTTCCTGGGTTTAGAGATCCTAAACTAGATCTCTAAAGAGTATTACTACCAGGTCTGTGTCAAATTGAAAGGTGATTCTGAATGTTGGGTCATCAGCATATATTGTTTAGTATGTTTATCAGAAGCTCAAGTGGAAACAGATTTGCAGCTCTGCTGTAGAAGACAGCTTCAAGACTTGTAAAATGACATTGACAGATAAGAATGAGGAGCTACAGAAAAATGAAATAAAATTTATTAGGAAAAAGTTTGATAGCCTGTATTCCAGAAAGTCGCTTGCAAGGTACAAAAGATTCCTGGCTTGGTGATGACTCATGTGAGGAAGGAATGAGATTTAGGCAAATAAAACCTCACATAAGGAATCCTGTGACAAGGCTGCCAAAACAGTGAGAACAATTGAAATCTACCACCCAATTAAAAGGTGGCAATAGTTCTACTTTCTCTGTGAATACTACTATAAGTAGAATTATTATTCCATTCTGAATTCATTTTTACATTCTAAATACATTTATATCTATTGAAAATTTTCCCATCAGATAATGATATATTATCAATGGATTTGAAAAATTAGAAATATCTTAATATTTCAAAATAAATATTTAACTCCAGAGAATAGGATAGCTTTTCTCATGTTCATCATTGTTGAAAATGCTTGTAGCAGTTACTTATATACATACTTTTAAAATAATTTTTATTAGTTCTGTTAATTGACAATTTATAATCTGGGAAAGATTATAAATTCCTTTTATAAAGAGAAAAATGAAATTGAGATGTGACCCTGTCATAGTAATGCATTCAGGAATCTCATATAAGCATTGCTAGATGAGTCATTTTGCTGGGAGCAGGGCAGCTCATTTTAAGGATGATATTGACAAAGAGGGTATAATACAGATGGCAGAAAACATGAAAATCATC